>NC_000014.9:35066258-35369288 GCF_000001405.40 Homo sapiens
GGTCTCATTATGTTGCCCAGGCTGGTCTTGGACTCCTCGGCTCAAATGATCCTCCTATTTTGGCCTCCCAAAGTGCTGGGATTACAAGCATGAGTTCCTGGCCTCAAATCCATTTTTCTTGTGTTGTTTAAAGTAGTAAAAGAGCATCTTTTTTTTTTTTTTTTTGAGACAGAGTGTCACTCTGTTGCCCAGGCTGGAGTGCAGTGGCGTAATCTCGGCTCACTGCAACCTCTGCCCTTGGGATCAAGCAATTCTCCTGCCTCAGTCTCCCTTGTAGCTGGGATTACAGGTGTGCGCTACCACTCCTGGCTAATTTTTGTATTTTTAGTAGAGACGAGGTTTCACCATGATGGCTAGGCTGGTCTCAAACTCCTGACCTCAAGTGATCTGCCCGCCTCAGCCTCCCAAAGTGCTGGGATTACAGGCGTGAGCCACCGCGCCTGGCCATAAAAGAGCATCTTGATGCCAACTTGATGTATATATTTAAATGCCATTGTTATAGTTAATGGAATGTATACATAATAGAGGCTTTTGAATCTTGAATCTTTTTTTTTTGAGACGGAGTTTTGCTCTTGCCCAAGCTGGAGCGCAATGGCACAATCTCAGCTCACCGCAACCTCTGCCTCCTGGGTTAAAGCGATTCTCCTATCTCAGCCTCCCTTGTAGCTGGGATTACAGGCATGCGCCACCACGCCTGGCTAATTATGTATTTTTATAGGGACGGGGTTTCTCCATGTTGGTCAGGCTAGTCTCAAACTCCCAACCTCAGGTGATCTGCCCACCCTGGCCTCCCGAAGTTCTGGGATTACAGGTGTGAGCTACCATGCCCAGCCCAATTTTCTGTTTTTATTAAACATATTTATTGCCTCAAGTACTTACCATTTATTCTTCCTAACTGTAACATTGAGCTCTTTGACCAACATCTCCCCATTTCCCCTTAACCCCCAGCCTCTGGTAACCACCATTGTGCTCTCTGTTTCTATGAGTTCAGTTTTGGATTCCACATAAAAGTGAAAACGTGGCATTATGCCTTTCTGTGCCTGGGTTATTTCAGTAGCATAATGTCCTCCAGGTTCATCCACGTTGCACAAATGACAGAATTCCCTATTTTTAAAGGCTGAATTGTATTTCATTTTGTATATATGTCACATTTTCTTTATCCATTCATCTGATATGGACACCTAGGTTGGTTCCATAATGTGGCCATTGTGAATAATGATGTAATAAACATGGGAGTGCAGATATCTCTTTGATATACTGATTCCAGTTCCTTTCAATATATATTCAGAAATTGAATTGCTGGATTATATAGTAATTCTGTTTTTAATTTTTTGAGGAACCTCCATCCTGTTTTCCAAAATGGCTGTACTGATTTGCATTCCCACCAAGTGCACCTGGGTTCCCTTTTCTCTACATCCTTGCCAACATTTGTTATCTTTTATCTTTTTGATAATATCCATTTTGACAGGTATGTGGTGATATCTCATTGTGATTTTAATTTGCCTTTCCTTAATGATTAGTGATGTTGAACATTTTTTCATATATCTGTTGACTATTCATATGCCTTCTCTTGAGAAGTATCTGTTCAGGTCCTTAGCCTAGTTTTTAATTAGGTTGTTTTTTTGCTTTTGAGTTGTTTAAGTTCTTTACATATTTTGGATATTAACCCCTTATCAAATGTATGGCTTGCAAGTATTTTCTCCCAATCCATGGGTTGTCACTTCACTGTGTTGATTGTTTCTTTTACTGTGCAGAAGCTTTTTATTTTGATGTAATCCCATTAGTCTGGTTTTGGTTTTGTTGCCTGAGCTTTTGGGGTCAAATCCAAAAAAGTATTGCCCAGACCAATGTTATGTAGTTTTCCCTTATGTTTTCTTCTAGTAGTTTTACATGGATAATTTTTCCAATATGTATTTCAGAATCTCCATCGGTGGCAGTAAATAGGTTTTTTATTGTGTAAGTAGAAAATCTTTTACATGGTGGAGTATGTTAACAGATGATTGGTATCTTAATGTTAGAGCATTTTGATAGCAGGTAACCATAAAACTACTTCTAATCACCATATCCTTTCTTGTGTTTGTGGACTAGGCATCATGTGAAGTTTCTGTTTGCTCCTGTAGATTTACTCTCTACTCGTCTGCATGCTGCATTGTACTTTGGCATGTATGCACTGTATTAGTAGAGTCCTTTGTCCTCTGGCTTTTTATTGAGTTTAGCCAATGTGAACCACCGGCAGGAAATTAGAGGGCAGGGAATAAAATGAGGTTGTGTTATTTACTCTTCACCATTCTGATTCTGGGATTCCTTCCTTATTATATGCCATGGGTAACTGGATTTTCTACTAAGGCCACAGCTACTATTGGGAAGCCTTCTCCATTTGGGTATTCTCCCGGGGTTCCCAGTAACTGCTCTCTCTTTTTACCCCTTCAGATATTGGGTTTGTGATAGCCCATTTTGTGCTGCTATAATGGAATACCACAGACTGGGTAATTAATAAAGAACAGAACTTCATTGGCTTACAGTTGTGGAGGCTGGGAAGTCCAAGATTGAGCAACTGGCATCTGGCAAGGGCCTTCTTGCTGCATCATTGAATGTAGCAGAAGGCAAGAGGGTGAGAGAGAGACAGAGAGAGAAGGGGCCAGAGCTCATGATTTTATAACAAACCCACTTCCATAATAATGGCATTAATCCATTCATGATGCTGGAGCTGTCATGGCATAATCACTGCTCGTTCAGTCCCAGCTCCCAACACTGTTATATTGTTTCCAACACACGTTTTTTAGGGGACACATTTAAACAACAGCAGGGATATTAATGGTTTTCTCAGTGCTATTAGCTCTGGGGTACTATTCTGTTCATTGTTGGAAACCTTGTCCGCATCTTTGTAGATAATACCCTATTAGCCAATTAAAAAAATTTTTTTAAATGTGTATAGCTAAATCTCACCATTACCAGCCAGTTTGAATGTATCGTTGGGTTTCCTGCCATAGACCAATACAACAGCCAATGCTTATCCATTGGAGTAGGTTTTTTTTTTTTTTTTTGAGACAGAGTTTCACTCTTATTGCCGAGGCTGGAGTGCAATGGCGCAATCTCGGCTCACCATAACCTCTGCCTCCCGGGTTCAAGCGATTCTCCTGCCTCAGCCTCCCAAGTAGCTGGGATTACAGGCATGTGCCACCATGCCCGGCTAATTTTGTATTTTTAGTAGAGACGGGGTTTTGCCATGTTGGTCAGGCTGGTCTCGAACTCCCAACCTGAGGTGATCTGCCTGCCTCGGCCTCCCAAAGTGCTGGGATTACAGGCATGAGCCACCGTGCCTGGCCCCATTGGAGTACTTTTTAACAACTGAAGATAAACCTGGCTTCACTTAATGTTAAGAGCAGACTTTCAATTTTCTGTTTCCTCTTAATACATCATAAATATGATAAGACAAAGGAATTTTGAAAAGGTCCTGTATTTCCATAGTACATTTGTAAAACAGACTCAATTTTTAAAACCCTGACATTTAAGATAAAGATTTAAGATTAATACTCCTGGCATATGATACTAATAGAGCATAAGAAGTGGAGACCTATGCTAGACGTGGTGGCTCACACCTGTAATCCCAGCATTTGGGGAGGCCGAGGCGGATAGATCACGAAGTCAGGAGTTCAAGATCAGCCTTGCCAAGATGGTGAAACCCCGTCTCTACTAAAAATACAAAAATTAGGTGGGCGTGGTGGTGGGCGCCTGAAATCCCAGCTACTCGGGAGGCTAAGGCAGAGAATTGCTTGAACCTGGGAGGTGGAGGTTGCAGTGAGCCAAGATTGCACCACTGCACTCCAGCCTGGGCGACAGAGTGAGACTCTGTCTCAAAAAAAAAAAAAAAAAAAAAAAAAAAAAAAAAAAAGAAGTGAAGACCTAGATCTTTTTATAATCTTATAGTAACTCACTTCAATTTTACCTTAGATGTACCTTAAGGTACATGTTGGCCAGGATGATCTCGATCTCCTGACCTCGTGATCCACCCGCCTCAGCCTCCGAAAGTGCTGGGATTACAGGCATGAGCCACCGTGTCCGGCCTATAACAATATTTTTTTTTTCTTTGCGTCGGAGTCTCGCTCTGTCGTCCAGGCTGGAGTGCAGTGGCATGATCTCGCCTCGCTGCAACCTCAGCCTCCCGGATTCAAGCAATTCTCCTGCCTCAGCTTCCCAAGTAGCTGGGACTACAGGTGCATGCTACCACACCTGGCTAATTTTTGTATTTTTGGTAGAGACAGGGTTTCACCATGTTGGTCAGGCTGGTCTCGAACTCCTGACCTTGTTATCTGCCCACCTTGGCCTCCCAAAGTGCTGGGATTACAGGCGTGAGCCACCACACCCGGCGGAGCTACAAGTTAATGGACAATCACATACATTGCTACTGCATATTTATAGGCAAATTTTCTAGTGTGAAGTTTTGCAATGTGAATGAAGAGCTTCCTAAATGATTATATTTTTGGCCTAGTTAATTCCACCTTTAGGAATTTAAGCAGATTAAGTAAATAGGCTTAATATTATAATTATATTAATATGATATAATACATGTGGAAAAATAGGATAGAGAAAATATGTAAGGGACAACAATGTTGTAAAAATAAGTGTATGCTCAGGAAAAGACTGGAAAGGTACCCTGATATTTGGATAATTATTTCTAGGTGGTGGAAAATGGGTGAATTACATTTTTCTTATATTGACCTCCATTTTCTTTCTTTCTTTCTTTCTTTTTTTTTTTGAGACGGAGTCTTGCTCTGTTGCCCATGCTGGAGTGCAGTGGTGCGATCTCAGCTCACTGCAAGCTCCGCCTCCCAGGTTCACGCCATTCTTCTGCCTCAGCCTCCTGAGTAGCTGGGACTACAGGCACCTGCCACCACGCCCGGCTGATTTTTTGTATTTTTTTTTAGAGACAGGGTTTCACCGTGTTAGCCAGGATGGTCTCGATCTCTTGACCTCGTGATCCACCCTCCTCGGCCTCCCAAAGTGCTGGGATTACAGGCGTGAGCCACTGCACCCGGCCGACCTCCATTTTCTAAGTGTTCTACAACAAATAAATATGACTTTTATAATCTGAAAATAAATTGTTTTAATAAGAAAAGGTAGTAGGTCTTAATAGGGAAGGAAGAGATACTTATATTTTTGGAGGAAAAATGAATCATTTTGAGTTTTAGCACTATATACAAGAAGTCTTGAAGACACAAGATCTTGTCCCAGTTTTGCTATTACTGGGATAGTCTAGGTGGTGGAATTCTGGCATAGACTCTAGCTACTTCTTTTTTTTGATTCAATCAAGTCAATGTTCAAACAAAGGGCCCTATATATTCATTCTGTATAGTTGTGTGGGATGATGATAAATGTTATTCAGGAATTATTAACCTGTTTTTCAGCTCTGGAGCAGATTTGATTCTTTGGTAGTCATAGCTTGGATATTATCAATTATTCTCGCCAGAAACAACCCCAGGAGAATTGGTCCACTGAGAAACATATTTACAGTTGAACCTTGAACAATGTGAAGTTTAGGGGTGTGACCCCCCAACTACCCTGCACAGTTGAAAATCTGCCTATAACTTTTTATTCCCCCCAAACTAAATTGCTAATAGCCTAGTGTTGACTGGAAGCCTTACCTAGAGCATAAAGTCAATTAACACATATTTCTTATGTTATATGTATTATATGCTCTATTCTTACAATAAAGTAAGCTATAGAAAAGAAAATGTTGGCTAGGCGTGGTGGCTCATGCCTGTAATCCCAGCACTTTGGGAGGCTGAGGTGGGCAGATCACAAGGTCAGGAGTTTGAGACCAGCCTGGCCAATATAGTGAAACCCCATCTCTACTAAAAATACAAAAATTAGCCGGATGTGGTGTTGGGCACCTGTAGTCCCAGCTACTCGGGAGTCTGAGGCAGGAGAATCACTTGAACCTGGGAGGCGGAGGTTGCAGTGAGCCGAGATCGCAACATTGCACTCCAGCCTGGGTGACAAAGAAAAGATAAAAGAAAGGAAAGGGGAAAGGAAAGGAAAAAGGGTTAAGAAAATTATAAGGAAGAGAAAATATATTTACTATTCATTAAGTGGGAAGTGGATCATCATCATAAGTCTTCTTCCTCATTGTCTTCACATTGAGTAGGCTGAGGAGGAAGAGGAGGGGTTGGTCTTGCTGTGTTAGGCATGGCAGGAGGTGGAAGGGGAGGCAAGAGAGAAAGGCGTACTTGCTGTGACTTCATGGAAATACGTAGTAATTTCTGTCTGACTGTTTTACTTTTTTATTTCTCTAAAAATTGTTTTAGGTGGTAACAGTTCTTTTCCCACCATTTGCTTTAGTTTCATTGCCTGTATAGAAGGGTCCATGTTGTAAAAGAAGTCAAGTAGTCTTGAAAAATCGGAGCCCTTCTGCCAGATTGTCTAATGTCAGTTTCTTTTCTGGCACTGCTGCTTTTACATCTTCTTCATTATCTGGCAGTGGTTTGGAGGCACTCATCTCTATCAAGCCATTTTCTGTTAATATCTCTGGTGTTGTGTCTGTTAGCTCTTGAATTTCTCCGAGATCCAAATTTTGAAACGCTCCACCCTCCACCCCCCCTTTCCTTTCATATCTACCATATCTTTCATGATTTCATTGATTGGCTCTGTCGTAAATCCTGTGAAGATGTGCACAACACTTGGGCACAGTTTTCTCCAGCAGAAATTTGTTTCGTGTTGATGTCTTTCACAGCTTTTTCTATAACAATGGCATCTTCAGTGGTGTAATCCTTCCAGACTTTCATGATGTTTTCTTTATCAGGGTTCTCTTCTTCTTCTTCTTCTTCTTTTTTTTGAGACGGAGTCTCGCTGTCACCCAGGCTGGAGTGCAGTGGCGTGATCTTGGCTCACTGCAACCTCCATCTCCTGGGTTCAAGCAATTCTCCTGCCTCAGCCTCCCAAGTAGCTGGACTACAGGTGCACGCTGCCATGCCCAGCTAATATTTTGTATTTTAGTAAAGACAGGGTTTCACCATGTTGCCCAGGCTGGTCGCAAAATCCTGAGCTCAGGTAATCTGCCCGCCTCAGCCTCCTGAAGTACTGGGATTATAGGCGTAAGCCACCACACTGCCCAGGGTTCTCTTCTATGGCATCAACAATGCTTTCCATAGAGTACTGTGTGTAATGAGCCTTAAAGGTCCTTATGACCCCTGATCCAGAGGCTGAACTAGAGATGTTGTGTTTGGGGGCAAGTACAACACTTTGACACCTTCAGTGTTGAACTTGTGGGGTTCTGGGTGGCCAGGAGCATTGTCCAATAACAAAAGAATTTTAAAAGGCAGTCCCTTATTAACAGAATACTTCCTGACTTCAGGGACAAAGCATTGATGGAACCAATCCAGGAAAAGGGTTCTTGTTGTCTAGGCCTTGACAAGTACAGACAAAAGACTGGTAGCTGGTGTTTATCTTTTTCCTTTAAGGCTTGGGGGCTAGCAGCTTTATAGATAAGGGCAGTCCTAATCATAAACCGGACTGCATTTGTACAAAATAGTAGAGTTAGCCTATCCCTTTCTGCCTTGAATCCTGGTGCTTGCCTCTCTTCCTTACTAATAAATGTCTTTTGTGGCATGTTTTTTCAGAATAGGGCACTTTGATCTCCACTAAAAACCTGTTCTGATAGATATCCTTTCTTCTCAATGATTTTCCTAATGATGTGTGGGAACTCATCTGCTATCTTTTGTTTGGCAGAAGCTGCTTCTCTTGTTTTGTTGACATTTTTAAAGCCAAACTTCTTTCTAAAATTATCAAGCCATCCTTTGCTGGCATTAAATTCTCCAGCTTTAGATACTTTATTAGGGTTCTCCAGAGGGACAGAACTAATAGAATATATGTATATATGAAAGGGAGTTTATTTATTTATTTTTTGTGAGACAGGGTCTCCCTCTGTTGCCCAGGCTGGAGTGCAGTGGTGCAGTCTTGGCTCACTGCAACCTCCGCCTCCCGGGTTCAAACGATTCTCCCGTCTCAGTCTCCTGAGTAGCTGGGATCACAGGCGTGTGCCACTACAGCCCAGCTAATTTTTGTATTTTTATTTATTTTATTTATTTAGAGATGGAGTCTTGCTCTGTTGCTCAGGCTGGAGTGCAGGGGCTCAATCTCGGCTCACTGCAACCTCCGCCTCCCAGATTCAAGCGATTCTCCTGTCTCAGCTTCCCTAGAAGCTGGGATTACAGGTGCACGCCACCATGCCTGGCTAATTTTTGTATTTTGAGTAGAGACGGGGTTTCTCCATGTTGGTCAGGCTGGTCTTGAGCTCCTGACCTCAGGTGATCCACCCGCCTCAGCCTCCCAAAGTGCTGGGATTACAGACGTGAGCCACTGCGCCCCGCCCCATCCACTCAGTCTTAACAGATATTCTTGTGTTTGCCTTTTTAATGCCCTTTTAATCATTAGTATATATAAGAAGATTATGGACAAGTTTTTCTCTTTCTCCCCTCCTTGGAAGCCATATTAAAACAATTATTTCCCAGATGCAGTGGCTTACCCCTGTAATCCCAGCACTTTGGGAGGCTGAGGTGGGTGGATCACATGGGGCCGGAATTTGAGACCAGCCTGGCCAACATGGCGAAACCTTATCTATACTAAACATACAAAAATTTGTGCAATTGGTGCACGTCTGTAATCCCAGCTACTCGTGAGGCTGAGGCACAAGAGTCACTTGAACCCAGGAGGCAGAGGTTGCATTGAGCTGAGATTGTGCCACTGCGTTCTAGCATGGGTGACAGAGTGAGACTCTGTCTTAAAAAAAACTCCAGAAAACAATTATTAATGCATTTGATTCCTTGAAGGCTTTATACTGTGTTTTCTTTGGATAAACGTATTGGTACAATGAAGCATGCCTTTATCACTGGCTTCATCTAGAGAGGCAGATAACATCTGTTTGGCAAGCTTCACAAAATTCATTTGGAATTATAGAACCAAGATTAACTACGTAGGTGTGCATTGTGGATTGCATTCTGCCAGTGGCCCTGGCTTACCAAATATGCACTGAACTTGTCTTGGGTTCTATGGTCTAGTCCTTTTTTAAGACTTAAAGAAGGGATCCAGTTTCAGCTTTCTACCTATGGCTAGCCAGTTTTCCCAGCACCGTTTATTAAATAGGGAATCCTTTCCCCATTTCTTGTTTTTGTCAAGTTTGCTACAAAAATTAACTCAAGATGGATTAAAGACTTAAATGTTAGACCTAAAACCATAAAAACCCTAGAAGAAAACCTAGGCAATACCATTCAGGACATAGGCATGGTCAAGGACTTCATGACTAAAACACCAAAAGCAATGGCAACAAAAGCCAAAATTGACAAATGGGATCTAATTAAACTAAAGAGCTTCTGCACAGCAAAAGAAGCTACCATCAGAGTGAACAGGCAACCTACAGAATGGGAGAAAATTTTTACAATCTACTAATCTGACAAAGGGCTAATATCCAGAATCTACAATGAACTCAAACAAATTTACAAGAAAAAATCAAACAACCCCATCAAAAAGTGGGCAAAGGATATGAACAGACACTTCAAAAGAAGACATTTATTCAGCCAACAGACACATGAAAAAATGCTCATCATCACTGGCCATCAGAGAAATGCAAATCAAAATCACATACCATCTCACACCAGTTAGAATGGCGATCATTAAAAAGTCAGGAAACAACAGGTGCTGGACAGGATGTGGAGAAATAGGAACACTTTTATACTGTTGGTGGGAGTGTAAACTAGTTCAACCATTGTGGAAGACAGTGTGGCGATTCCTCAAGGATCTAGAACCAGAAATACCATTTGACTCAGCCATCCCATTACTGGGTATATACCCAAAGGATTATAAATCATGTTGCTATAAAGACACATACACATGTATGTTTATTGCGGCACTATTCACAATAGCAAAGACTTGGAACCAACCCAAATGTCCATCAATGATAGACTGGGTTAAGAAAATGTGGCACATATACACCATGGAATCCTATGCAGCCATAAAAAAGGATGAGTTCATGTCCTTTGTAAGGACATGGATGAAGCTGGAAACCATCATTCTGAGGAAACTATTGCAAGGACAGAAAACCAAACACCGCATGTTCTCACTCTTAGGTGGGAATTGAACAATGAGAACACTTGGACACAGGAAGGGGAACATCACACACTGGGGCCTGTTGTGGGGTGGGGGGAGCGGGGAGGGATAGCATTAGGAGATATACCTAATGTAAATGACGAGTTAATGGGTGCAGCACACCAACATGGCACATGTATACATATGTAACAAACCTGCATGTTGTGCACAGGTACCCTAGAACTTAAAGTATAATAATAATAAAAAAAAAGACTTAAAGAAACAAACGAAACTTATCTTGCCGCTTATTTGTCCCTTATTTTCCCACCATTAAAAGCTCATTTGATGTTCCCTTACATATCCTGCTTAATTTCTCTGAACCTTAATTTCCCTGCTATAGCATAAGTATGTCAGATGGCATCCTTAAGTTTCTTTCTATTGACTGAACACCCCCTCTGGTGTTGTGTTTATAAATAGTGGAGACAAAAATGCAGCAAGACAGGAGAAAGGAAAGCTCTGGATTGTCAACTCATAAAATAATCCAGACTGCGATTACCAACTCCATTTCAGCGGCTGCATCTTTTTTTGATTCTTCTATGGGCTTAAGGTGGTGGTAGTTATATGGGTGAATGTAAAATATCTTTGTGGAATTTTAACTCTACAGATTTTAAATTGTTGATTGGATTGCAGTCTCTTTGTAGTACTGCCTATAGAATATTCTCGGTGCCTACCAAGTATTTGACTACTTCATTCTGGCCTAAATATATGGAATGAATTTAGGTATGAATGTTGCTAACATGATTTCTTGTTGCAGACAAAACTTACCTGGGGTCCCTACTTATGGTTTTACATGCTTCGGGCTGCTACATCAACTCTCTCAGGTATTGCTTTTCTGCTTGAATATTGTATAATTGCTGTAACATGCTTCAGCAACAGGAACTTTGCTAAATAGGATGTTTCCAAACTGAAGGAGAAACAATAGGGAGTTAATCACTGTCCTCAAGAGCTAGCTAGCATTGGGAGATAGTAACCTAACTTGTACTTCACATTAAAACATTCTTCAGCTTCCAATATAGTTTATTTTTTGAGGAATGAAAAATGACTATGTTAGTTTAGATATGGTTTTCAAGTTCTTTTTTTTTTTTTTTTTTTTTTTTTGAGACGGAGTCTCGCTCTGTCGCCCAGGCCGGACTGCGGACTGCAGTGGCACAATCTTGGCTCACTGCAAGCTCCGCTTCCCGGGTTCACGCCATTCGCCTGCCTCAGCCTCCCGAGCAGCTGGGACCACAGGCGCCCGCCACCGCGCCCGGCTAATTTTTTGTATTTTTAGTAGAGACGGGGTTTCACCTTGTTGGCCAGGATGGTCTCGATCTCCTGACCTCATGATCCACCCGCCTCGGCCTCCCAAAGTGCTGGGACCACAGGCGTGAGCCACCGCGCCCGGCCTCAAGTTCTTAAACCCTTTCTCTTAACAGCTATTTTGCTGCTTTGTCATTTGGTTTCCAATTGATAACATTCTCAATCTGTCTCACTGCTTATTCTAAAGCCTGTATTATAGTTAATTTATATTTCTATTTCATTAATATTCCATTTCTTAAATTGAGATGTGACTAAGTCATATTTGAAGGAAATGAATTATCAACTTATAACTTAATAATGCTAATTTAAAATATAGGTTTTAAATTATGAAGCTTTCTTCTGCTTCCATTTTTAACTCCCTCATAGCTTTTTATCACTTTCTGCATTTTATTAGAGCTAATTGTGAATAGTAATTGATTCAACAAACATTTACTGAGCACTGAATATATGCTAGACAGGTTGGTGTAATGGAAAGAGCATGAGCTTGAGATTCAGACCTAGCTTTGAACTTTGGATCTGCCTTATCAGTTTGGGTTAAGTTCTTTAACCTCTCTACGCCTAACCTTTCACAGTACCTGGCACATGGTAGGCACTCAGTGAGTATTATACTACAAGCCATTCCCCTCCTCCAGCCCAGTGATATCCCAGCTTTCTGAGTATACATTTTTCTTTTTTGAGACAGAGTCTTGCTCTTTCATCAAGGCTGGAGTGCAGTGGTGTGATCTTGTCTCACCGTAACCTCCACCTCCCAGTTTCAAGCTATTCTCTTGCCTCAGCCTCCTGAGTAGCTGGGATTACAGGTGCCCACCACCATGCCCAGCTAATTTTTGTATTTTTAGTAGAGATGAGGTTTCATCATGTTGTTCAAGCTGGTCTTGAAGTCCTGACCTCATGTGATTTGCCTGCCTCAGCCTCCCAAAGTGCTGGGATTATAGACATGAGCCGCCATGCCTGGCAGTATACACTTTTCTTAAAGACATAGATATATAACAGATACACCTAGTGATAAGTATTCTAATACAGACATGAAAAGACTTGTTGGGAGTTTTGAAGCCACCGGTACTTCTTGAAGAAAATCAGGGAAGATATACAGAAGATAGATCTATTAGGTTTTTATAATCTCCTTGAGAGCAGGAACAGTAACTCTTGTATTCCTACAGTGTCTTACACATAGAAAGTGCTCAAGAAATGTTTATAGAATTATATAAGTCTTTTAACTTTTGTATTTTCAGTGTGTGACTTCCTTGGAGAGAAGATTGCATCTGTTTTGGGTATCAGCACCCCAAAGTACCAATATGCCATTGATGAATATTATCGGATGAAGAAGGAGGTATGCCTCCTTTTTACATTTTCTTGATTCAGTTTGGTTTGCTATGGACTTGATGGGTTGCATAATGAGCCTATGTATTTTCTAACTGCCCAACATGTAGCTCTCTTATGCTAGGCATTTCATTCTAGAATCATTAATTTCTTTTATCAAAGTAACATACATTTTGGAATTCCTTTAAACTGGAATTTTCCTATGATCTGTGTGCAAAACTAAGCTAGATTTCATTGTCTTAGTGCTATGTGAGATGCCTTATATACATTATTTAATCTTCACATGCCTCTCTTTGGATTATCATTCTAATTCTAAGATGAAGAAACAAGATACTTAGAGCACATGGACTGGATATAGGAAAAGTGGAGTGGGTTTGGCACAGATAAAAATTTAAGTACAAGAAATGTGTATGTGCCAGGTGTTAATGCACAAAAATTTGAGGGCAGTTTAAAAGTAGTGAGGTCTTAAGGTGAGAGTGAAGTGAATTTTGTCTTAAAAAATAAAAGCCTTTAGTGCTTAAGAGCATGGGCTCAAGAACCAAAGGGCTTGAATTCAAAATCCGTTCTACCACTTAAAACTTTGTAACCTTGGACAGAACACTTAACCCCTCTATAAGCCTCAATCTCCTCATCTTTGTAATGAGGAGAATTGCAGCATCCATGCTCGGGGGCTGCTCTACAGATTAAATACATTAATATATAAAATGTTTAGAACAGCACCTAGTGAGCACAACAAATATTGGCATCTGCTATTCTTCAAGCAAATAGAGGGCAGCAATTCAGGTAAAGCTAGAATGTAGAGGCATGAAGGTACATTGTTATGGTTGGGGAAATGGCAAAAATATAATAGTTTATTGTCACTGGAGCATAAGGTACAATGTGGGAGTGACTGGACATGAGCCTGGAAAGGTCAGCTGACTTAATATTTGTCATATGGTTTCAAACCTGTTTTATGAACAAATAAGTATTTCTTAACACTGTAAGCCTTGCTTAGAGCCTCATTACCTCATCTGGGCTATTATACTAGCCTCCTAAATGGTCTCTATTCTCAAGCAAGCCCCAGAGTAATCTTCTGGGGTTACTCACTGTGTACTGACTACCCGTTCTGCAGGGTCCAATACAAATGCCACCTACTCAATGAATTTAGTAGTTCTGCAACTAGAAATTATTTACCCTTTCAAAATCTGTACATCTGTCATAATACTGTTTTTACATGTCTTAACTTCCCTACTAAGTTGTAAACTTCTTGAGGGTAGGTGCTGCCTTATCTATGTATTTGATGCTTATGGGAAAACTAACTATGCTATATATCATGTAGTAAATGAACCAACCTATTCAACCGAATAGACTGACACCCTACAATTGAAGTGATACAGTTGAAGCTAACTTTTTATTTATTTAGCTTAGACTTAATCTGAAAAAAATAAAGTCCTTGTCAAAGTTAATTCAGGTCTCATCTACGTGATGTAGTGCTGGACCCTGTTTTAAAAAGTAACCTCTTTTGGGCTGAGCGCGGTGGCTCATGCCTGTAATCCCAACACTTTGGGAGGCCGAGGTGGGTGGATCACTTGTGGTCAGGAGTTCGAGACCAGCCTGGCCAACATGGTGAAACCCTGTCTTTACTAAAAATACAAAAATTAGCTGGGCGTGGTGGCAGGTGCTTGTAGTCCCAGCTACTCAGGAGGCTGAGGCAGGAGAATTGCTTGAGCCTGGGAGATGGAGGTTGCAGTGAGCCACTGCACTCCAGCCTGGGTGACAGAGCAATACTCTTTCTCAAAAAAAACAAACAACAAGAAAAAACTACTTTCCTTAAAATGTTTTACAGTGGTTATTTCAATTAGAGAGCAGGAGAAGGGAAAGTATGTCTTAATTAGACCAAACTGATTTGAACATGACACTTTTTTTTTTTTTTTTTTTTAAACATAAGCTGACAGTGGGGAAAACAGCACTATATACCTTTTGGACTTTCGTATTTCAACTATTCTTGATATTGCTCCTTTTTTTTAGGAAGAAGAAGAAGAAGAAGAAAACAGGATGTCTGAAGAAGCAGAAAAACAATATCAACAGAATAAATTGCAGACTGATTCCATTGTTCAGACAGATCAACCAGAGACAGTGATATCCAGCTCATTTGTGAATGTCAATTTTGAAATGGAGGGAGACAGTGAAGTAATTATGGAAAGCAAGCAAAATCCAGTCTCTGTCCCACCATAAAATGAAATGACTATCAAGCTTCAAACTCTTAAGTTTTTTTTTTTTAATACAAAAACTTTCACATTCTTTATTCAGTGGGACTTAATACAATTATTTATATTTTAAATTATTAAAGTATCTGGAAAGGGAAAATGTTTTCTTCATTTTTAGGATCTATCTAGCAAAAGCCAGATCTGAAATTCAGATATTTGTACTGTTTTTACTGTGTATAGAAATTAGTGCTTTGGTTTTAAAATGATCTTTTAAAAAAGTTAAGGACATCCTAGAGCCTTAATAGTTAAGAAGAGTTAAATTATCAAGCCTATTTGTGCATTTGCTTTTTTTGAAAAAGGTAAGTTGCTGATTAAGTCTAATTGGAATTGATAATTCCATAGTCTTAGATTAAAATGAGGATATTTTCTCCTAGATTTTCTCATGTTATGCCATGCATTTATATATCTAACCATTAATTTCACACTAAGGATGCTTCACCATATAATAAAAGGAGCAAGATGGAAGCACTTTGAATTTTCTTTCATTGAGAATAACTGTTTTATGTAAGAATCTGTATTTATAACACCAGATATTAAGATAGGCTTCCATTTTTTAATGCAAGCCACTTACTTAATCTTGTATTCTTTTTCAGGACTCAAATAACTAGCTTTGAACATAATATTAAAACACTACTTATAGAATAGATTTATTAATGTTAATACCTAGTGAATATCCATGTGGCATCCTGGTTATGTTATCGGTTCAGCGTTAATCCTATAGAAAAGTGGTTTGGAGGGGATTGGGGGATAGTGGGACAGGTATAGATTTAATCCATCAGGAGCAATTAGATATTGTATAAGGTGCAATGATAGCCTAATGAAATTACCCGTCATTCATCATTTAGAAGTAGCAACAGTGAAGACTGGACAGTTTACTTGAATCTGGTTGGCCACTCCTCTACCTACTTGGTTATTTGTAAACCTTACAAATGTATATATTGTGAAGCTAATTTTGAAAATATTCCTAAATATGGCCAGGTACGGTGCTCACACCTGTAATCCCAGCACTTTGGGAGGCTGAAGTGGGCAGATTACTTGAGGTCAGGAGTTTGAGACCAGCCTGGCCAACGTAGTGAAACCCCGTCTCTACAAAAATACAAAAATTAGCCAGGCGTGGTGGTGCACGTCTGTAATCCCAGCTGCTCGGGAGGCTGAGGCAGGAGAATCACTTGAACCAGGGAGGTGGAGGTTGCAGTGAGCCAAGATTGCACCACTGCACTCCAGCCTGGGCGACAGAGTGAGACTCCATCTTGGGGGGAAAAAAGTATATATATATACACACACACAGACACACACACACACACATATATCTCTAAATGTGTGTATAGAACCTTTTATCAGTATAACATTGATTTATAATTAAATGTGGGTGAGGAAGAATGTGTGGAGTGTTTCAGAAATTTTGATCTTAAAAGCCTTTTCAGAAACTCAAAGCTTTCAGAAATTAATAGTTATATTAATAGCCTTCTAAACAGCATTAAGTTTTCAATTTTAATATATCTATATAAAATATAGTGTCAAAGAAAGTAACATCAATATAGTGGGTCTGTAATGGAAATCTGTCAATGAACATGAACTGAGTTCTTCAACTACAGGTTGAAGGATAATTAAACTTTTCATTAGGAGTGTTCAGCTACATGGATTCATGGAATGGTGGTTCATAGTAAGTGATGGTAATCTTTTTATTCATGGGTGTAAACCCTTTATAACTTAGTGCTTAAAATATTAATCTTTTGATTATATAATGTCCCATGAATTATAGTTTACCAATAGTTCTAAAACATGCTAACCTGACCTTTTCCTTCTAATTTGTTTTTAACTTCATTCGAGATAGTACCTCTCACTCACAGATATTTATTTGGTTATCAAGTGAAGATAGGTGTGTCTAAAAGTGATCTTCTGAATCCTGTCTCCCTAGAGGTACTAGTATCTAGAGTTTACCCAGAAAATTTTATGATTGTAACAAAAGGAAGTAGTGACTTATGAAGGTTTTGTTTCTTGAATTTTACTTTTGCTACTTGTCCAATAGTGGCTAGTTTATGTTTATCAATATAGTTATTCACTGTGCCTTAAGTTTATACTTTGTTTATGCAAACTATAAAATTTCCCATAAATGTATTCAATGGTTTGTCTTACTTTAAGCCTCTTTCACTCACTTTTTCCTATCTCCTTTTCAGTCCTTTTAAGAATTCCAGTTCCAGCTGGGCACGGTGGCCCACGCCTGTAGTCCCAGCACTTTGGGAGGCCAAGGTGGGCGGATCACTAGGTCAGGAGTCCGAGACCAACCTGGCCAACATGGTGAATTAGTAGAGATGGATTTCTACTAAAAATACAAAAATTAGCCGGGCATGGTAGCAGGTGCTTGTAATCCTAGCTGCTCGGGAGGCTGAGGCAGGAGAGTCACTTGAGCCTGGGAGGCGGAGGTTGCAGTGAATGGAGTTTGCACCATTGTACTCCAGCCTGGGCGACACAGCAAGACTCGTCTCCAAAAAAAAAAAAAAAAACAGAATTCCAGTTCCTTCTGGATCATAGTTCATATTTACCTTCTTCTAATCTTTCAGCATCTCATAAAAACTAAATGTAATGTATAACTGAAGTCTTTATCCTGAATTAACATAAATTCTTTAACAAAAATCCTTAACAAAATGAAGTTTGTTTTTTGGTTTGGGACAGGGTCTTACTGTGTTGCCCAGGCTGGAGTGCAATAGTGCAATCATGGCTCACTCCAGCCTCGACCTCCTGGGCTTAAGCAGTCCTTCCCTGTCAGCCTCCTAAGGATCTGGGACTACAGGCTCACACCACCATGCCCAGCTAATGTTTTTTATTTATTTTTTGTAGAGACTTGGTTTTGCCATGTTGTCCGGGCTTGGAATTAAGTTTTGTAAAATGTAACTCTGGTATTGGTTAATAAAACTAGACAATTTTTTTTTTTTTTTTTTTGAGATGATGGAGTCTCACTCTGTTGCCAGGCTGGAGTGCAGTGGCTCAATCTTGGCTCACTGCAAGCTCCGCCTCCCGGGTTCACGCCATTCTCCTGCCTCAGCCTCCTGAGTAGCTGGGACTACAGGCACCCTCCACCACGCCCAGCTAATTTTTTGTATTTTTAGTAGAGACGGGGTTTCACTGTGTTAGCCAGGATGGTCTCAATCTCCTGAACTCGTGATCCGCCCACCTCAGCCTCCCAAAGTGCTGGGATTACAGGCGTAAGCCACCGTGCCCAGCCAACAAATTTTTTATACCAATGATTTTCATGAAAGTAAAATACTAGTTTGAATACATTTTATTAAAACATCCAATTAAAAGAAAGAACAAGGCTGGGCACGTGGCTCACGTATCACTGTGAATCATGGTGGCTATAGTCCCAGCACTTTGGGAGGCCGAGGCAGGCGGATCACCTGAGGTCAGGAGTTCGAGACCAGCCTGGCCAACATGGCAAGACCCCCATCTCTACTAAAAATACAAAAATTAGCCAGGCATGGTGGTGCACACCTGAAGTCCCAGCTGCTTAGGAGGCTGAGGCAGGAGAATCGCTTGAAGCTAGGAGGTGGAGGCTGCAGTGAGCAGAGATCATGCCACTGCACTCCAGCCTGGGCAACAGACGGAGACTGTCTCAAGAGAAAAAAAAAAAAAACCGCAAAACAAAAAGGCTGGGCGTGGTGCCTCACACCTGTAATCCCAGTACTTTGGGAGGCCGAGGCGGGCAGATGACTTGAGGTCAGGAGTTTGAGACCAGCCTGGCCAACATGGTGAAACCCTGTCTCTGCTAAAATACAAAAATTAGCCAGGTGTGTTGGCAGGCGCCTATAATCCCAGCTACTCAGGAGGCCGAGGCAGGAGAATCACTTGACCCCCCCTAAAAAAAAATCCTAATCCTAACCCAGAAATAAAATGGCTCTACTCATGAATGGGAAAGTTTGTCATCTTTGAGATTTTATATATATAGACACACACACACACACATGTTGTGTGTATATATATATGCACTGTCAGTCAAATATTCACATTCTAAATGACTGTCAGAAATATTCCATGGAAACTTCATCTCTGAAGATTATACAGATTTAAACTGAACATCATCTACCTACAGCAAATCACACTTCCCATCTTTGAACTAAAAGGAACCAGAACTTACCCCACCTCCTAACAAGCAATATTTGGTCCTATTGCTTCTAAACTATTGCAACCAAAATTCCAGTAACCAAAACATTTGCTGTGTTCTCTAGGCATATCAAGTGTTTTATTTAGACCATTTCTGAGGATTTTGCTTTAAAGGCTTTACATGCAGCATTCAAGTATCTCATAATATAAGACAGTCTAGTCTTTCAGAGATCATGTATCATCAAGGTCTGCAGAGTTTTCACTGTCATTTGCAACAAGAGCCTCTCTGTTCTCGTAAGTCCAGAAGCCATTCAAATCGATTAGAATGGTGGTTACTGTGTCTCCTTGATTACTGTTGATTAAATCCTGAAGAGAGATTTTCAAAGGATCCTTTGGTTTTACCATGTCAAAGATTTCATCCTGCAAGAGAAAAAAAAATACAATGAAATTTGATCCACTTAATTTCTATCACACATAGTGATCCAAAATTCAGGGCTGTTTGCATCCACTGAAGTACAGAGGAATAAAATTGAGGGCTGCCACTTGGGCTTATGTTAATTTTTTGTTCTACTTTTTTTCTTTTCCATTTAACAGGCAGTTTCCTTTTCTCTACCTACAACCACAAAATTTTATTGGATAACTCCTTAGCTATGTGATAGCTATCCTTCGTTTTATAGATGAAGAAACCAAGGCTCAGTGCCTAATCTAGCTACATAGGTAATTAGTGGCAGAACTATCTAATGCAGTGTTCAGGGACTGCACGTTAACTAGTTTCTTATATATTTTTCTGTTGCCTTCTAATTGGTGAAACAAAGTTTTGTCTGTAGTTTTTGTTTTTGTTGTTTTGTTTTGTTTTTGAGATGGAGTCTCACTCTGTCATCCAGGCTGGAGTGCAGTAGTGCGATCTTGGCTTACTGCAACCTCCGCCTCCTGGGTTCAAGCGATTCTTCTGCCTCAGCCTCCCGAGTAGGTGGGACTACAGGTGCACGCCACCACACCCAGCTAATTTTTGTATTTTTAGTAGAGATGGGGGTTTCACCATATTGGCCAGGCTGGTCTCAAACTCCTGATGTTAAGTAATCTGCCTGCTTTGGCCTCCCAAATTGCTGGAATTATAGGTGTGAGCCACTGCGCCCAGCCTTTTTTTTTTTTTTTTGAGACAGAGTTTCACCCTTGTTGCCCAGGCTGGAGTGCAATGGTGTGATCTCGGCTCACCGCAACCTCTGCCTCCTGGGTTCAAGCGATTCTCCTGCCTCAGCCTTCCAAGTAGCTGGGATTACAGGCGTGTGCCACCACATCTGGCCAATTTTTGTATTTTCAGTAGAGACGGGGTTTCTCCATATTGGTCAGGCTGGTCTTGAACTCCCGACCTCAGGTGATCCGCCTGCCTTGGCCTCCCAAAGTGCTGGGATTACAGGCGTGAGCCACCGTGCCCAGCCCCTTCTTTTTTTGTGTGTGTGAGATGGAGTGTCCCTCTGTCCCAGGCTGGAGTGCAGTAGTGCGATCTTGGCTCGCTGCAAACTTTGCCTCCCAGGTTCAAGCCATTCTCCTGTCTTGACCTCCCAAATAGCTGGGATTACAGCCGTGTACCACCACACCCGGCTAACAAGGGTTTGGTTTAATTTTTTTTTGCTAACCGTTCAACTCAATTAAACATCTAAATGTTTCAGAGATAGTGACAAAGCTTCATTTCCAATGTTGATGTCAACATTTTGTTAGGATGGGAGAGGGGAGTTTTCTCTGGATATGCATTAGACATCCAAAAAGAAGCTAAATTCTGCTAAAACTTACTGGAACATATAGAAGACCTCCTTCTATATTATGAAGTGTACAACAGATATTTACAGGGAATTAGTACATGTTTTCTAATCTTTTTGTAGTAAAATAACTACAAAATTTGTAGTAAAATAAAATTTGTAGCAAAATTACTAAAAGTGAACAGGCTGTTTGAGGTAGCATACTAAAACAGTTTCCAAGGTAAAAAATCAGTTTACAGTTGAACAGACTGCCGTAGGATATAGACTGTACTGACTGTCTTAATTTTCTTTTTTTTCTTTTGAGATGGAGTTTCACTCTTGTTGTCCAGGCTGGAGTGCAGTGGCACAATCTCAGCTCACTGCAACCTCCACCTCCTGGGCTCCAACGATTCTCCTGCCTCAGCCTCCCGAGTAGCCGGGATTACATGCATGCGCCACCATGCCCAGCTAATTTTTGTATTTTTAGTAGAGACGGGGTTTCACCATGTTGACCAGGCTGGTCTTGAACTCCTGACCTCGGATGATCCGCCCGCCTCAGCCTCCCAACGTGCTGGGATTACAAGCATGAGCCACTGAGCCCGGCCCCCTGACTGTCTTAATTAAAATGAATGAATGCTTCCAATGAAAACATAATGATGACAATACTAAAATTATAAACTACATAAATAGTCCAAATGTGGTCTCAGTTCGTAATGATTTAAATATCAGTTCAGAACAAAAAGCAAACACTTGATTCAAATAGTACTTCATTAGTTGCTTTCATATAAAATTTCATGTAATACAAATGACTATCTCATAATTATCTGGTAATACGTAAATTAAAGGAAAAGATAACCTTGACATCTTGAAATGAAACAGGATCTTGTCCATGGATTTTCATTAGTTCCTGTATGGCCTGTATTTAATAGAAATAAATCTGTAAATAAAAAATGAAATACACAACATCCCTCTTTTGCCCTACAACCCCTTTCTACTTATACTTCCTTTCCTATCAGGCCACAAACCTCATCATTCTCTCTCTTGCCAATCTTCTTAGCTTTCTTGACCTTATTCCACATCAGTGAGCAAAACCTAAATTCTCGATTAGTGTATTGACCTTTTTAGACCTATATCTTAACTATTGAGAACTTCAGGAAAAAAAATAAAAAGATTACGGATTGCTGCTTCTACATAGGAATGTTCTCCAACCTCAAACAGGCCCTCAGCATGGCCTCACAATTATTCTGTTTGATCTGCTCCTCTCATTTTCCATGAATGTTATTCCTGCCTTCACTATTCTCTTAAGATCCCCAATCTACTGTCTCCCTTCCTACCCTACACTTTGCTTTCTACGTAATACAAGAAATGGAGGTAGACCTCCCAAAACTCTTCCTTTTCATAAACTTTAACAAAAAAATGAAGAAACTGCTGTCATCCAGTAGGAATACAAAATACTTCAGGTGAGCATTATTCACTGGAAATGTGAAGTTTCAAATTCTTGGTGAACAGTCAACTTTGTTCCCGATGCCTACTCTGTTACCACTAATAATCAGAGTATCCATAAAGGAATCCCTTTGAAGTAGATAAGAATCTGAGTACATGCTCTGTTAATATAGTAATAGATGGTATGATCTAGAGTGAATCATCCAGACCCAGCTTTATCATTAGGATAGTGATGTCCAAACGCTCTGTGAACAGCCCAGGATTATAGGGCTCAGCATTGGACACTTTTTACCTTATCCCATATAACCAAGCCTAAATAAGCTTTGACAAAATGCCTATATGAAATATTTTTAAAGTAGTTTTAAAACAATTTAATATTCTAAGAGTAGAAAATACTGTAAAGAAATCTTTATGAAAAAGAGCAGTGTTTAATTTCAAATACATTTATTTTCTTAAGACTGGATTTTTACCTAATAGGTTTGTCTAAAGTAGGGGCATTCCTATGATGGGTTGGTATTTATTTTCTCAGATGAGCCGCTGATATAAGCCCATATAGCATTCAGTTTTTTTAATTTTTATTTTTAGAGATAGGGTCTTACTCTGTCATTCAGGCCGTAGTGCAGTGGCAAATCATGGATCACTGCAGCCTTGACCTCCCGGACTCTAGTGATCTTCCCACCTTAGCCTCTCAAGTAGCTGGGACTGCAGGCATGTGCCACCACACCCAGCTAATTTTTAATTTTTTTGTAGAGATGGAGTCTCCCTATGTTGCCCAGGCTGGTTTCCCAACTCCTGGGCTCAAGCAACCCTCCTTCCCTGGCCTCCCAACGTGCTGGGATTAGAAGCATGAGCGACCACGCCTGGCCTAAAAATTATTTTCATGGTTTATTTCAACATAGCAAATAAAAGTATCTACAACTGGCTGGGCACAGCCTCCCCAGTAACCGGGACCACAGGCATGTGACCACTACACCCAGCTAATTTTTTAAATTTTTTGTAGAAGTTGGGGTTTCCCTGTGTTGCCCAGGCTGGTCTCAAACTCCTGTGCTCAAGTGAACCTCCTGCCTCAGCTTCCCTAAGTGCTAGGATTACAGGTGTGAGCCACCATGCCTGGGGTATGATTTTTTAATTTTTTTTTTTCTTTTTGAGACTCAGTCTCGCTCTGTTACCCAGGCTGCAGTGCAGTGGCGCAATCTCGGCTCACTGCAAGCTCTGCCTCCTGGGTTCATGCCATTCTCCTGCCTCAGCCTCCCGAGTAGCTGGGACTATAGGCGCCCGCCACCACGCCCGGCTGATTTTTTTGCATTTTTAGTAGAGATGGGTTTCACCATGTTAGTGAGGATGGTTTTGATCTCCTGACCTTGCGATCCGCCCACCCTGGCCTCCCAAAGTGCTGGGATTACAGGCATGAGCCACCGCAACCCGGCCGATTTTTAAATTTAATAAAAGCATTTACATAACAGATTTCAGAAAGAAATCAAGTTTTTAGTTTTCTTTCCTACTTAAAAAAATTGAGTGAAAGCTGATTTGACTAGATGTAAAATAAAAATATGTAAATATACGTCAGGGGCTGTACTACCATTGGAAATACAAATATGTGATAAATTCTATACTTGTGATGAAAAACTTGTAAGATGCTAAGCAGTTCAGAAAAGGTAGCTCCTTTCCACAGAAATTTTTATAGACTTTGGTAGTTGTAGTTTTTTTTTTTTTTTTTTTTTTGAGACCGAGTGTTGCTTTGCTGCCCAAGCTAGAATGCAGTGACGCGATTTCAGCTCACTGCAACCTCCGCCTCCTGGGTTCAAGTGATTCTCCTGCCTCAGCCTCCCAAGTAGCTGGGATTACAGGCATGTGGACCCAGTTATTGGGGAGGCTGAGTGGGAAGACTGCCTGAGCCCAGGAGTTGGAGGTTGCGGCGAGCTATGATCATGCCACTGCAGCCTGGGCGACAGAGCCAGACCCTTTCTCAAAAAAAGAAAAAAATAAATAAAAATCACGAGTTAGGTAAAATGGTTACTAAATATTTAATTTAAACCAAATGATATATCTTTAATTTGCTCTTCTTTTTCTAATTTCCTAAAGTAGATGCTGATTTTAGATCTTTAACATTTTCCAGTATATGCATTCAATACTATAAATTTCCCTCTAGCCACTGCTTTTGCTGCATCTCACAATTTTTTTTTTTTTTTTTTTTTTGAGACGGAGTCTCGCTCTGTCGCCCAGGCTGGAGTGCAGTGGCACGATCTCGGCTCACTGCAAACTCTGCCTCCCGGGTTCACGCCATTCTCCTGCCTCAGCCTCCCAAATAGCTGGTACTACAGGCACCCACCACCACACCTGGCTAATTTTTTGTATTTTTAGTAGAGACGGGGTTTCACCATGTTAGCCAGGATGGTCTCTATCTCCTGACCTTGTGATCCACCTGCCTCGGCCTCCCAAAGTGCTGGGATTACAGGCGTGAGCCACTGCACCGGCAGCAACAAAATGATATATCTTAAGGAACAATGACTCACTTATGCAAATGAGACTTACCCTAAAGAAATAATTAAGTGAAAAGACATTCAGGTATCCTTTGTTCTCAATATCAAGCAGTTTGAAAATATATTGTAGAGCTGCAGGTTCCTTTCTGTTTTCTAATGCAAGGACAAAGTCCAAGTAGGTCTTATAGTCCTACAGAACAGAAAATAATGTTCATTAGAGGCCTTAGTTGAAATTAACTTTCAAGTGAATATCTTATGATTTGAAGCTATTTTGCAATCAAAGGTGGCAAATTTAATTTTTTCCCTAAGTTATGATATGAGAAATCCATTTATATACTTAATATTGGTTTCTAGGGAATTTTTTTCGAGACAGAGTTTCACTCTCATTGCCCAGGCTGGAGTTGCAATGGCACAATCTTGGCTCACCACAACCTCCACCTCCCGGGTTCAAGCAATTCTCCTGCCTCAGCCTCCGGAGTAGCTGGGATTACAGGCATGTGCCACCATGCCTGGCTAATTCTGTATTTTTAGTAGAGATGGGGTTTCTCCATGTTGGTCAAGCTGGTCTCGAACTCCCGACCTCAGGTGATCCGCCCGCCTCAGCCTCCCAAAGTGCTGGGATTATAGGTGTGAGCCACCCTGCCCAGCCATAGGAATTCTATATATAATCTACACAGGACAGTTTTGAGGACATAGTTCTTTTTTATTTATTTATTTTTTTGAGACGGAGTCTTGCTCTATTGCCCAGGCTGGAGTGCAGTGGTGCAATCTCAGCTCACTGAAACCTCTGCCTCCCAGGTTCAAGCGATTCTCCTGTCTCAGCCTCCCAAGTAGCTGGGAATACAGGTGCACACCACTATGCCCAGCTAATTTTTATATTTTTAGTAGAGACAGGATTTTCCATGTTACCCAAGCTGGTCTCAAACTCCTGACCTCAAGTGACCCGCCTGCCCCGGCCTCCCAAAGTGCTGGGATTATAGGCATGCACCACTGTGCCCAGCCCTAGTTCATTTTTTTATGAGAGATTTGCTGTGTTAAACTATAATTTTCTTTCATTATTCTTGTTTTTGAGACAGGGTCTCACTTTATCAACCAGGCTGGAGTGCAGTGGTACGATCATAGTTCACTGCAACCTTGATCTCCCAGGCTCAAGCAATCTTCCCACTACAGCCTCCGAGGCAGCTGAGACTACAGGTACACGCCATCACACTTGGCTAATTTTTTAAATTCTTTGTAGAGATGGGGTTTTCCTGTATTACCCATGCTAGTCTCAAACTCCTGGGCTCAAGCAATCATCTGGCCTCGGCCTCCCAAAGTGCTGGGACTAGAGGGATGAACTACTGCATCCTGCTTCAAACTTTTGAAACAGATGACTAAGCTATAAACTTATAACTTCATTTCAGTGCAGTTATTTTGAAAAACAAATTTTTTATCTGGAATGAACAGAACAGTATAATTTTTTTTTTGAGATGGAGTTTCGCTCTTGTTGCCCAGGCTGGAGTGCAATGGCGCGATCCTGGCTCACCACAACCTCTGCCTCCCAGGTTCAAGTCATTCTCCTGCCTCAGCCTCCTGAGTATCTGGGATTACAGGCATGCACCACCACGCCTGGCTAATTTTGTATTTTTAGTAGAGAAGCGGTTTCTCCAAGTTGGTCAGGCTGGTCTCAAAACTCCCAACCTCAGGTGATCCACCCACCTCGGCCTCCCAAAATGCTAGGATTACAGGTGTGAGCCACCGTGCCCAGTCTCAGAACAGTATATTTAAATTGCTATTTTAAAATATTGTTTAAAATTTTTAATTCAGATTTCCAATAAGAAGCTGTCTTGAGATTGCCAGACATTTTACAGTGAGCTGACACTGCTCTCATCCATAAAAAGGCAAAATGGAAAGGCCAGAAAGACATGAAGAGAACAGAAAGCCTTCCCTATAAAAACAGGATACGCACTTCGGGGGGCCGAGGCGGGCAGATCAGAAGGTCAAGAGATCGAGACCATACTGGCTAACACGGTGAAACTCCGTCTCTACTAAAAATACAAAAAAAAATTAGCCGGGCATGGTGGCGGGCGCCTGTAGTCCCAGCTACTCGGGAGGCTGAGGCAGGAGAATGGCGTCAACCCGGGAGGCGGAGCTTGCAGTGAGCCGAGATCGCGCCACTGCACTCCAGCCTGGGCGACAGAGGGAGACTCCATCTAAAACAAAAACAAAAACAACAAAACAAAACAAAAAAACAGGATACTCAGATTTTTTTTTTAATGGTAAAAAGTAGTAATTGGGAGGTTCTCACTTAGATAAAAATTTTATATTCTTAGAAAAGTTCCTTTCTGCATAAATAGCACTAAAGAGTTAAAGAATGCAGATTGTGATCTGACTTCATCCATAGTTGTAGCCTGATTTTCTCTATTCATCAGGAATCATTATATTAATAATATAAGCTCCTCACTGTCTATTGTTTACAGCTGTGGGAGTTACAAAGTAAATTTTCTGTGCCTTTTCCCCTCTTTTCTTTTGTTGTTACTAATGGTGTTATTTAGCAAACTGCTATTGAAGCTAAATGATAAATGTAAGACCCCCCCATTCTCATGACAATATGACTATTTTTTAAGCATAACTGGTTTGGGAAATTTATCAGATTCTTTTTTTTTTTGAGATGGAGTCTCGCTCAGTTGCCCAGGCTGGAGTGCAGTGGCGCCATCTCGGCTTACTGCAAGCTCCGCCTCCCGGGTTCACACCATTACACCATTCTGCCTCAGCCTCTGGAGTAGCTGGGACTACAGGTGCCCGTCACCGCACCCAGCTAATTTTTTGTATTTTTAGTAGAGACGGGGTTTCACCGTGTTAGCCAGGATGGTCTCCATCTCCTGACCTTGTGATCCACCCGCCTCGGCCTCCCAAAGTTATCAGATTCTTAACCCATGTTTTTAGCAGCAAAAATGGTGATTTTAAAATGCTGTTTAGAATTTTCCTTCTCAAGTATTTTGCATTGTTATAATAAAAAGACAAGTGCATGTTATCTTCAGCTGTTCATATAGCCACTTCTAGAGACTAATACAACCTGATTCTCAGAATTAAATCATGGCATATGTGTTACTACATTTGACCTGGTAATTTAATGACGGAACTATCTAGCTGAAAATAGCCAGAATAATTTACTAATGTTTCAGCTTTTAAGAGACATGGTCTCACTCTACTGCCCAGACTGGAGTGCAGTGGCCTCATCATAGCTCACTGCAGCCTCAAATTCCTCAGGTCAAGCAATCCTCCTGCCTCAGCCTCCCGAGTAGCTATACTACAGGCACATTCCATCCATGCCCAAGTAATTTTTTTATTTTTTGTAGAGACAGTCTCGCTGTATTGCTCAGGCTAGTTTTGAACGACTGGCCTTAAGTGGTTCTGTGGCCTTGGCCTCCCAAAGCGCTGGGATTATAACCATAAGCTACCAAGCCTGGCCTCAGCTTTTTTTTAAAAAAAAAAAAAAACTAGAATGCACTACTGTACAGTAGGTGCACTGACAATGAAATGAACAATAAGCTTTTCTATTTGCCCTGAGGCCATAATGCAGATGTTTTAATTTACGTTAAGACCAAAGACTCTGAATCTCAAGTAATTTGATCAGTTTACACATTTTAAAGACACTGTTACACAGTGATATCAATAATGCTGGGCCGAGTGTGGTGGCTCACGCCTCGTAATCCCAGCACTTTGGGAGGCAGATCACCTGAGGTCAGGAGTTCAAGACCAGCCTGGCCAACCTGGTGAAACCCCATCTCTCCTAAAAGTACAAAAATTAGCTGGATGCAGTGGCATGCACCCATAATCCCAGCTACTCCGGAGGCTGAGGCAGGAGAATCACTTGAACCTAGGAAGTGGAGGTTGCATTGAGCGGAGATCACACCACTGCACTCTAGCCTAGGCGACAGAGCAAGACTCTGTCTCAAAAAAAAAAGGGCTGTATTACATCAAGAAAAGGGTTTGTGGAAACTCTGGGAGCCTAAACTTTTAAAACTTAGCAGCAGATTTAAACTACTACCATTTCTCCATCATAAGTGAGACACTCCTGGAAAACACGGTCTAAGAAGACATTGGTCATGGTAGCTGTTCCATAGCGTGAGAGTTCTTCTTTACTG
Source organism: Homo sapiens (assembly GCF_000001405.40). Lineage (NCBI taxonomy): Eukaryota > Metazoa > Chordata > Mammalia > Primates > Hominidae > Homo > Homo sapiens. The sequence continues at coordinate 35,095,145 of NC_000014.9, forward strand.
AGCATGCCATTGTGATCTTTATCAAGATTCAAGTACTGGCCTTGGGAAGAAAAATAATAAAGACACTTATGACCACAATAAAATTTTAATCAGAAGAATAGACTAACAAAAAGTTTTTTCTTGGTTAATATTTTGATTTTCAAACTATTCATGTTATGATTAGGGTAGTGGCCTATGTGTAATACTATCAGCTACCTTTGCAATCTTGATCAGAAAAACCCTTGGGCTAGAAACAGCCAAAAAAACCCATCATGAAGGCCATAGTCTCTGGGCTGTTTCACTTACATCATTATTTGTTTTCAGTTTGCAGTCTTTTTAAACATTCCTAGGTTTCTAAATTAAATGGAGGTAGAGGCCAACAAAAAGCACTGAAATGCTAGCACTTGAAAGTAGAGATAAGAATGCCAAAAGGAGGTCGGGCGTGGTGGCTCACGCCGGTAATCCCAGCACTTTGGGAGGCTGAGGAGGGCAGATCAGAGGTCAGGAGTTCCAGACCAGCCTGGCCAACATAGTGAAACACCGTCTCTACTAAAAAAAAAAACAAAAAAAAAAAACATTAGCCGGGTGTGGTGGCGAGCGCCTGTAATCCCAGGTACTTGGGAGGCTGAGGCAAGGAGAATCACTTGAACCTGGGAGGTGGAGGTTGCAGTGAGCCGAGATCATGCCACTGGACTCCAGCCCAGGTAACAGTGCAAGACTCTATCTCCAAAAAAAAAAAAAAAAAAAAAAGCCAAAGGAGTCAAAAGACCACCCAACAAGATAATGTAGATTAGCTCCATCAGTAGACCCTGGGAATAGCATTTTATCAACAAAGCATGACAATAGCTAATGTTCATAATGATGCTCCTGAGTCAACAAGGATCAAATTACATTCTGTTCTATTGAAAAGGAAGTGTATAACTTAAAAAGGGTTCTGCTGGGTGCAGTGCCTCATGCCTATAATCCCAACACTTTGGGAGGTCAGGGCAGGTGGACTGCTTGAGCCCAGGAGTTTGAAACCAGCCTGGGCAACACAGTGAGATCCCATCTCTAAAAAAACATAAAATAAATTAGCCAGGCATGGCGCCTGTAGACCCAGTACTGGGGGTGGTGGGGTGGGTGGGGTAGGGGCACTGAGGTGAGAGGATTGAGCCTAGGACTTCAAGGCTGCACTGAGCCGTGATCATGTCACTGCACTCCAGCCAGTGTGACAGAGTGAGACCCTGTCTTCAAAAAGAAAAGGTTGGGGGGAGTCCAAAAAGTTAAAACATCGGTATTTAAACAAGTAAATTTTGGTAATGTAGAATACTAAAGCTTAAGGTAATTAAATATTTTGATCTTAAGGTATATCAGTGTATGTATAAAACTGTCCTCTGAACACCAATTTCCTGAAGAATGGATAATTCAAATTTTAGCATTATGATAGGAACATACCATAAACTCTTAGGGCAGAAGGAGCAGAAAACCAATTTGTTTCTTGACTCTCCTTGGACAGTTCCTCATCCCTTAGCTAATGGAACACAAAGACATAATTAGAAGATAGCAACTGTCAAGTGATACAATTAAGTAGTTTAAAAACATTTACCTCCAATAAATCATCTAGGAAGCTGCATGCTAAAATATCTTGAATTTTTATCTTTCCTTTAAGAACATAAAGAAACACAATTAATTTCATTTTAAGAAAAGAGCAACTCAATTAATTAAAAAAAAATTTTTTTAACAAGAGCAATCACACAATTGATATTTTAAAGCTTCTAGCTCTTATGCTCCAAAGTCCTTATTACATATTGCTACAAAAAGGGAAATCTCGGCTGGGCGCGGTGGCTCACCGCGTAATTCCAGCACTTTGGGAAGCTGAGGCAGGTGGATCACCTGAGGTCAGGAGTTCCAGACCAGCCTGGCCAACATGGTGAAACCCCATCTCTACTAAAAACACAAAAAATTAGCTGGGTGTGGTGGAGGGCGCCTGTAATCCCAGCTACTCTGGAGGCTGAGGCAGGAGAATCGCTTGAACCTGGGAGGCAGAGGTTGCAGTGAGCTGAGATCAAGCCATTGTACTACAGCCTAGGGAACAAGAGCAAAACTCCATCCCCACCCTGCAAAAAAAAAAGAGAAACCTACAGGCAACATTTAATAACATCTCTACTTGTATACCTCAACTATATAAATCTAAGTGGTAAATTCTAAAATTATACTGATGTCAGATTTTCAAAAAAGTTGTGATTATAGATATAGTACTGCTGGTACACGAACAGGGACACTGTCTCCATTTATTTTTGGCAGGTTCTGGACTAGAAAGCAATACGCAGGTAAACAGGTGTGGTTTAAGAGCAGAGTTTGTTTTGTCTTGTTCTTGTTCTTTTTTTTTTTTTTTTTGAGACAGAGTTTCGCTCTTGTTGCCCAGGCTGGAGTGCAATGGTGTGATTTCAGCTCACTGCAATCTCTGCCTCCTGGGTTCAAGCGATTCTCCTGCCTCAGCCTCCTAAGTAGCTGGGAATACAGGCACCCACCACCACATCCAGCTAATTTTTTCTATTTTTAGTAGAGATGGGGTTTCACTATGTTGGCCAGGCTGGTCTTGAACACCTGACCTCAGATGATTCACCCATCTTAGCCTCCCAACGTGCTGGGATTACAGGTGTGAGCCACTGCGCCTGGCTGCTGCTGCTTTTTTGTACAGAAGAGGTCTGTCTTGCCAGGGCTGGTCTTGAACTCCTAGGCACCAGTGATTTCTCACCTCAGCCTCCCAAAGTGCTGGGATTACAGGTGTGAGCCACCACACCTAGCCCAGATTGGAGTTTGAATGCCACTTTTAAATATGTAACCTAGCAAAGTCTCAGTTGCCTTACACATAAAATGTGGACAATAATGTACCTTCCTTATGGGGTTATGAGATGAAAATGAATGAATCCATGTAAAATGCTTAGCATACTACATAAGTCAAAACGTGATATTATTTTGTAAAATTTGAAAAAGTATATATGTGTGTACTTATAGTAGAGGAGTTCAAAAAACACTGTCAGCTACCATATGCTGTGATTGGATTCATAACTGGATTTTTTTTTTTTTTTTTTGGACACAAGGTCTGGCTCTGTTGCCCAGACTGAAGTGCAGTGGCCCGATCTTGGCTCACTGCAGCCTCTGCCTCCTGGGTTCAAGTGATCCACTTCAGCAGCTTCCCAAGTAGCTGGGACTACAGCCGTGTGTCACTACGCCTGGCTAGTTTTTTTTTTTTTTTTTTTTTTTGAGACGGAATTTCCCTCTTGTTGCCCAGGCTGGAATGCAATAACGCGATCTCGGCTCACCTCTGCCTCCCGGGTTCAAGCAATTCTCCTGCCTCAGCCTCTCGAGTAGCTGGGATTACAGGTGTGAGCCACCGTGTCCAGCCAATTTTTGTATTTTTTTTGTAGAGAAAAAGTTTTGCCATGTTGCCCAGGCTGATCTTGAACTCCTGAGTTCAAGTGGTCCACCCAACTCAGCCCCCCAGAGTGCTGAGATTACAGGCGTGAACCACTGTGCCAGGCCCATAGCTGAATTTTCAAGGACAGAAGGACAATCAGGCACTTTGATTTGGACCTTCTCTGTCCTTTCCTCTGCTCCAGTTACATGTAGTTAAGTCTGGGCAGGTTTGAACAGTTAATAAAACAAACTGTTAATGAGGCCATATTTACCAATCCGATCCTTATAGAGAATAAGAAAAATATGCATCACTGGCTAAATGGCTCTCATATTTCCAAATACATATTTTTCATCAAAAAGAGAATAATTCTGCAGTATGTCACACAGCAGAGACAGCAAATTATATGCAAATAACTGGCTTCCTAGAACTGGAAGGAGGTATTTATGACTGACTACCCAGTTCATACTTCTTCACTGTTAGGTGATGTCCCCCCATCTGTCACACAGCAGGTTATGGTCAGTGCAAGTAAATCATAAAAGATCTTCAGATAAACATAACCAAAGTACTGCTACTGTTTTTTCTACCTTTTTATCTCCTTGAAATTCACCAAATTTTTAATGGCAGTGACAGGAAAATAAATGATATTTTTCAAGAGTTTTCTCTAGTTATTGAGATTTAGATATAATAATATCCTCATAATATCTAAGTTAGATAAGATTTTCTTTTACCTGTTCTTAAAGGATCTAAAAAGAAGAAGAACTTCCTAACTGCTGTACAAACATAAAAGGAGTAGAAAGATTTTTCCAGACCATCTAATTGTGGCAACGTAGGGATAAGTTCCAATATGTAGTTTTCTAAATCCTGAAAATAAAACAAAATAAAGTGTTAAATGTCCAGTCTTGATTCATTAGATATTAGAATTTCATTACTAAAAATTATTCAGCATTAATACTATATTGATAAAGAAATAAATGCATGACTATTTTAGTGGTAAAACTATTTTACATTAAATTTTGTTTCTAATTTGTTTTAGCATTTTTGAAAAGTAGTAAATTCTACATAGTTCCAAATTCAAAGGGAACAAAGATATTGATTAAAAAGCCTCTCACCTATTTCTTCTCCCCAAAGGTTAAGTAACTTGTATTATCAACTTCTGATGCAGCTTCCCAAAGGTAACAGATGCAAATATGAACCAATACATATATATTTCTTTCCCTCTTTTTTTTTTTTTTTGAGATGGAGTCTTGCTCTGTCACCCAGGCTGGAGTGCAGTGGTGTTGATCTCAGCTCACTGCAACCTCCGCCTCCCAAGTTCAAGCGATTCTCCTGCCTCAGCCTCCTGAGTAGCTGGGACTACAGGCGCGCACCACCATGCCCAGCTAATTTTTGTATTTTTAGTAGAAACGGGGTTTCACCATGTTGGCCAGGATGGTCTCGATCTCTTGACCTCGTGATCCAGCCACCTCTGCCTCCCACAGTGCTGGGGCTATAGCCGTGAGGCACCACACCCAGCCTTTCCCTCTTTTTACACAAAGGATGTATCAACATACCATGAAAACTGCTTTTGTCATTCCGTAATATATTTTACAGTTATTCCATACTGACTCTCAAAGAGCTTCCACTCTTTGAGAATAAATAGCTATATATTATATCATTGCATAGATGTGCCATATTTAACTAGGCCTCTCTATTGGGACATTTAGTTTTTTCCTAATATTTTGCTGCACGAAAAATAATACCATAAGGGCTAAGCTAATTATTCATTCATAGATATTGTGGAAGAATATAGAATACAATTTCTATAAGTGGACCTGCTGGGTTGTAGCATATGCACATGTAGAATTTTGATAGACCCTGGGAAACTTCCACCTCCCCACAAACGCCATGTGAATTTTATACTCCCACCAGCAATGTGAAGGCTATTTCTACAGTTCCGAATTCTGCACACAGGTGTCCCAGGAGCACCACAGTTAATGTACAGGGGTGCATCAGGATATTTTAAAATTTTGAGCGAAACAGCAACATTTGTCAGACACTGCATGACAGATATTGCTACAAGCTAGAATTACGTGCTCAAGGTAGTTCACATTTTCAATACTGGATCTCAATGTATTCCTTCTTTTTGAGGCAGGGTCTCACTCTGTCACACAGGCTGCTGGAGTGCAGTAGCATGATCTCGGCTCACTGAAACCTCTACCTCCCAGGCTCAAGTGATCCTCCCACCTCAGCCTCCTGAATAGCTGGGACCACAGAGATGCACCACCACACCCAGTTAATTTTTTGTATTTTGGTAGAGATGGGGATTCACCATGTTGCCCAGGCTGGTCTCGAACTCTTGAGCTCAAGCTATCTGCCCACCTTGGCCTCCCAGTGTTGGAATTACAGGTGTCAGCCACTGTGCCTGGTTATTATTCCTTTTTAAAAAATTTTTTAAATCACCAAAATGTCATGAATATATTCCTTTTTTTTCGAGATGGACTCTTGCTCTGTCACCCAGACTGGAGTGCAGTGGCGAAATCTCAGCTTACTGCAACCTCCACCTCCCGGGTTCAAGCGATTCTCCTGCCTCAGCCTCTTGAGTAGCTGGGACTACAGTCGCGTGCCACCATGCCTGGCTAATTTTTTGTATTTTTAGTAGAGACAAGGTTTCACCGTGTTAGCCAGGATGGTCTCGATCTCCTGACCTCGCGATCTGCCTGCCTTGGCCTCCCAAAGTGCTGGGATTACAGGCGTGAGCCACCATGCCCAGCCAAATATACTCCTTTTAATGACATAAATCTTTGCAAAGCTAGGTTTTGATGGTTCCTGTGGTAAAGTACCACACAAAAATTAGTGAACAGGAAATGAGGAGGGCAAGTGTCCAGTCTAATTCCCAGGTTTAAGTAGTTGTACACATCCCATTAATAACTGTACTTAAGAATGAAATAAAAATATCTTCTTTCAACTTAAGTGTATTATTTATTCAAATGGCTAATAAGCTTAATGAATACTCATTAAATTGTTTAAAATTAACTAGTTAATAAGTGAAACTTTTAGGGATTTCTTTTGGCTCAGAAGCACTGTGAAAAAATTACTCAAACACTAAAGGTGTCAATTCAAACTTTCTGATCTTTGCTAATTTGATAGGGGAAAAATGGCAACTTAGTGTAGATTTATCTGGCATTTCTCTTATGTGAAGTTAGTTGTTTCTTATGATTAAGAAGCATTTGAATTTTACTTTTTATACATTATCTATATCTTTGTCCAGTTTTTTATTGGGTTAATGGCTTTCTTCTTGATTTCTGGGAGCTTTTTATATATTAGGGTAATTGGCCATTTCTGACTGTTTCAGGTATTTCCCCCAGTTTGTTGTTTTCTTTTTACTTTAACATGGGCTTTGCCCTATAGATCTTTAAAAATTTAGCTGAATTTATTGTTTTCTAGACTTCTGGGTTTTGTCATACTTAGAAAGGCTTTCCCTATTACAGGATTATAAATTTAAAAGCCTTCCATGGTTTCTCTCTCTCTTTTTTTTTTTTTTTTTGAGACGGAGTCTCAGTCCAGTCCAGGCTGGAGTGCAGTGGCGCAATCTCAGCTCACTGAAACCTCCACCTCTTGGGTTCAAGCGATTCTTGTGTCTCAGCCTGAGTAGCCAGGATTACAGGCACGTACCACCACGCCTGGCTAATTTTTGTATTTTTAGTAGAGAGGGGGTTTCGCCATGTTGGCCAGGCTGGTCTCGAACTCCTGACCTCAAGTGATCTGCCTGCCTTGGCCTCCCAAAGTGCTGGAATTACAGGCGTGAGCCACTGTGCCTTCCCATGGTTTCTTATACTTATTTTAACAATGTTATTTTTGCTTTAACCATTTCAAATATCAAATTTCTGGTAGATCTGAGATACTTTCAAGTTTATAGGACAACTGGCATCTCAAACTTGAAGTATCCAAAATGGGGCTCTCTTGTCATCTCCAACCTTGGTCCTCACCTGCTTTTCCTCTATTCCAACAGTTACTCAAAATAAAAATTTAAGACTTGTCTTTGGCTTCTCTTTTTCTTCATCAATGCCTTCACACTCCTTACCCTGAACATCCAATCTAGCAGCAATTTGTGTTTTTTCTGGGAAGGAGGGGAGTCCAAAATATATATTGAATTAATCTATTTCTTGCTTTCTCTACAGCCACCAATTACCCTAGTTATGGGCCCATCATCTCACCTGGACTATCATGGTAGGTGCCTAAATATTTTGCTTATACTCCAGATTTATTTATCTATTTAGAGATGGAGCCTTGCTCTGTCGCCCAAGCTGGAGTGCAGTGGCTCAATCTTGGCTCACTGCAACCTCCATCCCCTGGGTTCAAGTGATTCTCCTGCCTCAGCCTCCAAGTAGCTGGGATTACAGGTGCCTACCCCCATACCCAGCTAATTTTTGTATTTTTAGTGGAGACGGGGTTTCGTCATGTTGGCCAGGCTGGTCTTGAACTCCCGAGCTCAAGCGATCCACCTGCCTCGGCCTCCCAAAGTTGCTGGGATTACGGGCATGAGCCACCGTGCCTGGCCGTACTTTGAGTTCCTTACATCCTCCATACAGCATCCAGAATGATCTTTTAAAATGTAAATCATATCCTGACAGACTCAGCTTAAAACTTCCGATGGTTTCCCGTTAGCCTCAAAATAAATCCAAAGTCCTTACTGTGGCCCAAAAGGCCCTACATGTGGCCCCTGCCTACTTCTCCAACTTCATTTTCTGTTACTATAGTCCTTGTTCTAGCCACACTGGCTTCCTTCTGTTCCTAGAACAGGTCCAGGCTTAATTTTGCCTTGGAGACACTGTATTTGCCGTTTCCTCTATACTACATCTTCATAAGGCTGGCTTCTTTCTCGTACTTCATGGCTAAAACTTAATCACTATCTCAAAAAGATGCTCCTTCCAGCCTACCTAAAATCGTCTGTCAATCCCAGTCATATTCCTGCCTAGTTTACTGTTTTATTTTCTACATATAACTTGTCACTATTTGATATTATCTGCTTATAATTTAGTGTCTGTCTTCCCACTCTGCTAGAAAAAATAGGTCTACAAGGGAATGAAAATTGTACTGTGTCCCTGGAAAGGTTTTAAAGTATAACATTTAGAATGAGCTAACAGATTCCATCTACAGAAATCTGGGCAAGAAAACAAAAAAAAGAAAAAAAAGAAATCTGGGCAAACAGATTGTCACAAAGTAAAACATGAGCCCTACAAGCTTAGAATAATACCTGCCCCCAAATAAATGTCTACTAAATGCTTAATAAGATTTAATAAGTGAATAAAACTTTGTATACTCTACTCAGATTATAAATGTTGGTCTGGAAGCCACTGCCTTTCAAATTAGTAAGACACAAAGTCTGGGTTTCAAAAGGCAATGGGCCAAGGATGGAAGAAATACTTTGAGAAAAGTGTTTTCTTTCATTGAGAGAAGGGGAAAATTATTCCTTTTTAAAAACAACTATAGAAGTACACTGTTTCTTTTCTCTCCCTTTTGCTCATCTCTCTTTCAATCTTTGTTTCCATCCATGGAAAGAGGCAAGACAAGCAGTAACAGGGGACTGTTTTTATAAATCAATATTGCTGTTTTTATAAATCAAGTGAACTGCTAACAAGAATTCTCAGAGCTAGAGAAGTACTCCAGTTTTGGACCTGACCTCTAAACGAGTACCAGCAGGTGGCTAATTATGTCTTCCTTGCCAGAAGCAAGAGCCTTTTATTCTCAAGTTGGTCTGAACCTTAAAGAGAACTGTAGTGTGCCCCTGGAAAGGTTTTACAGTATAAATGTTCAGAATGAGCTAACAGATTCTATCTACAGAAATCTAGACAAAACAGAATGCAACAAATTATAGCAGGAACCATACGAACTATAACAAGAAATTTACATTTCTTTAACCCTTATATCTGAATAATTATTTGATTAATTAACCTAGTTTATATTCATGCCCAACTCCCTTCCCCTCTCCCCTACAATCTTAAAAAAAGCACTGTATATTTGGGAAAAAAGCCTGAGGTGAAAAGTAAGTCCATATAATTTAGATACCCATACTCAGAAGAAGCATAGCCATTTGGACCATGAAGTTATAATTCTCTGTTGATAACTTGGCCTAATTACAGCAGTGCCTAATAGGAAACAAGCAGCCTCTTGGTAACTGACCTAGCAATCTTAAACCCAGAGGTGGGAATACAGTCACATTCATTTTCTCTCTCATATTTTCTTTTTTCTTTTGAGACAGTCTTGCTCTGTTGCCCAGGCTGGAGTGCAGTGGCATGATCTCAGCTTACTGCAACTGCCTCTTGGGTTCAAGCGATTCTCCTGCCTCAGCCACTCTAGTAGCTGGGATTACAGGCATCTGCTACCATGCTCAGCTAATGTTTTTGTATTTTTAATAGAGACAGGGTTTCACCATGTTGATCAGGCTGGTCTCGAAGTCCTGACATCAAGTGATCCACTCGCCTTCACCTCCCAAAGTGCTGGGATTACAGGCGTGAGCTACCGTGTCTGGCTTCTCTTATATTTTCTTAAAAAAAAAAAAGCGGGGGGGTGGAATTCTTGGCCCTTTAAAAAATAGTGACACATTAATATCACTCATGAATAATCAAACGTTTTTCAGTGATTTTTAAATGTTAAAATGCTACATTCTTTTTATTTTCCCCTTTAAAAGGCTTTTTTTTTTGAGACAGTCCGCTCTTGTCACCCAGGCTGGAGTGCAATGGCACAATCTAGGCTCACTGCAACCTCCACCTCCTGGGTTCAAGCGATTCTCTTGTCTCAGCCTCCTGAGTAGCTGGGATTACAGGTGGCCACCACCATGCCTGGCTAATTTTTGTATTTTTAGTAGAGACGGGGTTTCTCCATGTTGGTCAGGCTGGTCTTGAACTCCTGACCTCAAGATCTGCCCACCTCGGCCTCCCAAAATGCTGGGATTATAGGCATGAGCCACCGCGCCCAGCCAAAAGGCCTTTTTTTTTTAAAGTTTGAAGAAAAAGAATCTAAAAAGGAATTTGTATAGTCAATATACATTAAACATTTGTTTAGTAACACATGTCATTTGTTAAAAAAAATAAAAATAAAAAACCAAACCCCAAAACGGAAACATCCTGTGTCTCAACAAAAACTATATGGAATCAACACCACCGAGGTCTATGGAAAAAAAAAGAAAAACCTGTTCCCTTTGCTCTGCTGGAAGCTGGAAGGTGCTAGGCCCTTGTGTAGTCGTGCATAGAATTCTAGCTGCTTTCCTCTATTGAGCGCAGAGTATACTATGTCTCTATGTGAATATGGACAGTTAGCATTTACCAACATCTCCTTGTCTACTGTGTCTTTTTTTTTTTGAGATGGAGTCTCGCTCTTTCGCCCAGGTTGGAGTGCAGTGGCGTGATCTCGGCTCACTGCAAGCTCCGCCTCCTGGGTTCATGCCATTCTCCTGCCTCAGCCTCCCAAGTAGCTGGAACTACAGGTGCCTGCCACCACGCCCGGCTAATTTTTTTTTGTATTTTTAGTAGAGATGGGGTTTCACCGTGTTAGCCAGAATGGTCTCGATCTCCTGACCTCGTGATCCGCCCGCCTCGGCCTCCCAAAGTGCTGGGATTACAGGCGTGAGCCACCACGCCCGGCATCCTTGTCTACTGTCTCTTATTTAAAAAAAGAAAATAAATTTTACAAAATGGGGTTATAGGTCAGCAAAGGGTAGGTTTGAAACGTTTTGATAGTTTAAAGTGAGCATTTTGACAACGTTGCTTTTCCTTTGGCATGTTTAATTGTGATTTTTAAGGGGCATCCTTGCAGTTTAAAATGACACCTTTAAAATAAATTCTCTCTCTCTTTTTTTTTGAGACAGGGTCTCCCTCTGTTGCCCAGGCTGGAGTGCAGTGGTGCAATCTCGGCTCACTGCAACCTCTGCCTCCCAGATTCAAGCGATTCTCCCACCTCAGCCCCTTGAATAGCTGGGATTACAGGTATGCACCACCACAGCCCAGCAAATTTTTCTATTTTTAGTAGAGATGGAATTTCACCATATTGGTCAGGCTGGTCTCAAACTCCTGACCTCAGGTGACCCGCCCACGTCAGCCTCCCAAAGTGCTGGGAGTACAGGCCTTGGGAATACAGGCGTGAGCCACTGCACCCAGCCAATACATTTTTTTTTTTTTTTTTTTTTGAGACGGAGTTTCACTCTTGTTGCCCAGGCTGGAGTGCAATGGCGCTATCTCGGTTCACAGCAACCTCTGCCTCCTGGGTTCAAGTGATTCTCCTGCCTCAGCCTTCCAAGTAGCTGGGATTACAGGTATGTGCCACCAAGCCTGGCTAATTTTGTATTTTTAGTAGAGATAGGGTTTCTCCATGTTGGTCAGGCTGGTCTCAAACTCCCGACCTCAGGTGATCCGCCTGCCTCATCCTTCCAAAGTGCTGGGATTACAGGTGTGAGCTACCACACCCAGCATAAATTCTCTCTTAATGATGACTTGAAGGCTGCTACTCCATGGGAGAATCAGTAGAACCTGTAGGATCTTATTTGGAATTGACATTCTCTATTGTAATTTTGTTTATTTTAAATTTGTTTTTTGTTTCACTGGAAAGATGATGTTCAATTTTAAAAGTTGAAAGTGTACAAGTTGCTTTGTTACAGTAAAACTAAATATGTACACACAAACACACACAGACAGAAATAAAACAAAGTATTATGAGAACAGCCTGTAATCCCAACACCCAGTGATAACTACAGTTTACATTTTAGTGTCTATAAGAGTTAATATAATATCTATAAGGTTAACACTTACAGATTCCCGAAGGTACCCCTGCCCAGCGACATCATATAAACTGAGTCCTATTCTTGTTTGATGAAGCCAAACTGACAATAAACAAGAAAATGAAAGTAATTCTTAAGATCTATCCTTCAGATATGAAAAAGGAGATAAAGAGCCAGATTTGAGACAAGCTAATCTAGTAACTCTAAAAACATTTCTTCTCACCACAAAATTGCTTGAAACAAAAAACCATAGAATGGAAGAGTTCAACAATTCTACCATGACTAAAGCTATAATAAAATTGACACCTTGAAGATACTGTTCTTTACCAATTAAACTTGGTGTTCCACCAAACAGGGACAGCTAGTATAATATTATGCCTTCAGTGAAGCTGCTTTTATTTCTGAGGTTAATTACAGCAACCAATTATTAAAGATTGTATACAATAGGCTTTCACAGATTATTATGGCACTTGTAGGAATCATAAGTCCAAGCTGTTTAATTGATGCTCCTTGAAACTGATATTACAGCTTTGGGTTTGAAACTATCAGTCAACTCAACTTGTAATATACTGGTAAAATAAAATTATCAGTAAATTAAAATTATTTCAAATTACCATACATTAAAACTCTTGGTTCAGCTCTTAATATTTCTAGTCTACTATTATCTTTAAGACACATGAGGGTTTAAAAAATTTTTGTTTTTTTATGCTAACCCAAGTTTATGTAACACATCTTGGTCAAAAGATAAGAAATTCTACTATTCAAACTTAGAGTGATTTCACATAGAAGAAATACTTATAAAAGCACAGACCAAAAACCTACTTGATTCCCAGATAAGGAGTTCAAGCACAGTAAAAATGAATCACCTTTTCTCATGACATAATTAAAGAACTGCATGATGGAAATTCTTCCATATGAATCTGTATGAAGGAGTTTAGCAAAGACTTTTGCTGTGAAAAATTGCCTAAGAAAAGAAAATAAAGATTTAAATGATCTGCCAACATAAAAGAAAATGACTTCTACATAAATTAGCAAACAATGGCATAAATTCATACAATTAAAAATGAAAGAACAATAGAGACTCCTTATAATTCAAAAACTTAAAATATTAAGTCAAACTTTTTTTTTTTTTTAAAAGAAATGGAGATTTGGCCAGGCGCAGTGGCTCTTGCCTGTAATCCCAGCACTTTGGGAGGCTGAGGCAGGCACATCATGAGTCAAGAGATCGAGACCATTTTGGCCAACATGGTGAAACCCCGTCTCTAGTAAAAATACAAAAAGTATTTGTATTGGGTATTTATATTGTATTATATTGTATTTATATTGGCCCAGCCAATATTTGAGGCATTTAAAATGCTTAACATATTCTTTTGTTAATACAATAATACTTGGGAGGCTGAGGCAGGAGAATCACTTGAACCCAGGAGGCGGAGGTTATAGTGAGCTGAGATTGCGCCACTCCCCTGCAGCCTAGCGACAGAGCAAGACTCCATCTCAAAAAAAAAGATAAATATATATATATAAACAGAGATTTGCTCTGTTGCCCTGACTGATCTCGAACTCCTGGCCTCAAGTGATCCACCTGCCTTGGCCTCCCAAAGCACTGGAATTACAAACGTGAGGCACCATGCCTAGCCTAAGTCATAAATGTTTGCATTCTTTTTTTTTTTAATTAAAAGTTTTTTTTATTTTGCAGAGATGGGCACGTGAGCCACAGTGCCTGGCCTTGCATTCTTTTTTGTTTGCTTTCGTCTGTCTTAAGGCTGAAAGTGTCATAAACTATATTATTTCTTTTTTTTTTTTGAGATGGAGTCTTGCTCTTTTGCCAAGCTGGAGTGCAGTGGCACGATCTCGGCTCACTGCAACCTCCGCCTCCAGGGTTCAAGCGATTCTCCTGCCTCAGCCTCCTGAGTAGCTGGGATTACAGGCACACGCCACCACGCCCAGCTAATTTTTGTATTTTTAGTAGAGACGGGGTTTCACCATGTTGGTCAGGATGGTCTTGTTCTCTTGACCTCGTGATCCGCTCACCTCAGCCTCCCAAAGTGCTGGGATTACAGGCATGAGCCACCACACCTGGCTATATTATTTATTTTAATAACTTCATACCAATGTGATTTTTTGACTGTAAATAATTTTATTAAATTTAATTAGTAACTTAAATGGACTCAAATGTCATTCCATTTACTTCATTTAATATTTGAGGATTTGTTTATTTTTTTTAAAGGTAAGGTCTTGCTCTATCGCCCAGGCTGGAGTGCAGTGGCTTAATCACAGCTCATCCTCCCGGGCTCAAGCAATTCTCCCACCTCAGCCTCCGGAGTAGCTACAGGTGTACGCCCCCACACCCAGATAATTTTTTTAGTAGAGACAAGATCTCCCTAAGTTGCCCAGGCTGGCCTCAAACACCCCAGCTCAAGCAATCCTCTCACCTCAGCCTCCAAAACTGCTGGGATTACAGGTGTGAGCCACTGTGCCCAGCCAATATTTGAGGCATTTAAAATGCTTAACATAACACATTCTTTTGTTAATTATATTATTCTTACTTGCACTTTGCTCCAGCCTTTTCACCAACCTTCAAAAAGTTTTCGTAATTGATCATCGCTTCCTCTCCAATCATAGGTGGTGTCTGGTGTTTGTCCAGCAAAAACCATAAGTTCTTAAGAGAATTGTGGAAGTGAAGATGTTGTAAGTTAAAAACAACAAGATTTTAATATGTAGTTAAATGTGTGCTTTCCACTAAAATGAGAGTTTGTTGGCAGAGTCAATATTAAGATGAATCTCATGCCCTATTATCCTTTTGATTACTAACAATAAAAATAACATTTATTGAGTGCCTACTAAGCTTTTGATATACACTGCCTCTTTAATCCACATCTCTATGATATAGTTAGCTATCCCTACTTTAGAGATGATAATCGAAGCACAGAGATGTTAAGTCCATTGCCTAAAGTCATATAGCAGGGCTGGGATTTGAACCTCTGTAGTCTGACCCTACAGCAGTGGTTCTCAACCTTGGCTGCACATTAGAATCACCTAGGGCCTTAAACAAAAATAACAAACAACACTATGTTTGGGGTACATGACCCATGCAAACTCAGCGGCTGCTTCTGGTGGGAACTGCTGCTTCAGAGCCTATGTAGTACCACTCTGTAGTACGGACTCCATTAGGCACCAAGAAATCCTGCATGATTTAAGTAGCACAAATGAGAAATGGTTAACATCTAAAGCAACTTTTTGCTTTGTTCTTACCTGTAATTCTTCATTATCTAACAGTTCTCTGCTTTTTCTTTGTAGAAAGACAGCTCTTGATTCCTCTCTTAATTTCTGTAGTAAGACTTCATCTTCAGCAGGCAGCTGAAAATACAAGGTAAATTTCTACATGTAAATTTTAGACTACTGGATCCTATAAAATGTATGTGGCCTCATAAAATAACTGTATGCCACCGCCTCGAATTATTTCTTGTATCTCACCTTAATTGTGCTTAACATTTGTTTAACAAAAACTGATCCACAGAGAATCGGTGATCAGAAAGGCTGGATCTCTGCCCTGAAAAAGCCATTCTAAAAGCTAGTCTAGACCAAGTTTCATTTTATTTTCTTAAAGCACTGTGTTTCTATTGTCACCTTAGAATGACACAGAATTGGCTGGGCATGCTGGCTTCCTTAGAATGATATAGAATTGGCTGGGGGCAGTGGCTCACACCCGTAATCCCAGCACTTTGGGTGGCCGAGGCAGGCGGATCATGAAGTCAAGAGATCGACCATCCTGGCCAACACTGTGCAACCCCGTCTCTACTAAAAATACAAAAATTAGCTGGGCATGGTGGCATGTGCCTGTAGTCCCAGCTACTCAGGAGGCTGAGGCAGGAGAATTGCTTAAACCCAGGAGGCGGAGGTTGCAGTGAGCTGAGATCACGCCACTACACTCCAGCCTGGCAACAGAGCGAGACTCCATCTACCAAAAAAAAAAAAAAAAAAAAAAGAATGATATAGAAGAATTAAATGAGGATTAACTGGAGATTGACAATTTCAAAACCACCTTTGCAAAATTATAACAGTGACAAAATGATGACAGTGAAAGAGATCTGACCTAACCAACTCCATCTTGTTTTTAACCTCCAATCTGCCCTTGGTCATTCCTGGGCATGGGCCAAGATATTAATAAATTTGGGAGAAATTTAGTTTATGATTTAAATGATAATAGCTCATCCCAAAACTAAACTGCCTTTGTAAAACTAATGAAAGGACACCAGGTCAGGAGGATGCGAAGGACCAGAATTCTGCTAAGATGCAGGTCAGTTAAATGATTAGCAGTTATTATTCCAGAGGGCACAAAAATTTGCAACATCCTCAATTACTCCTGTAAATAACATCACTATTGTAGTACACAGGACTGGCCTTTTGAGATGTCTTTTCAGGCTTTTGCACTTCTGACTACCCAATGGCCCCTCTCAGACCAGCCACTCCTCTGTGGCCCCAACCCAGAAGCAGACTCAGCACGCAAGGACCAGGACTGTTTTTCTATATCCCTGTGATTCCATCCCCAACCAATCAGCAGTACCCATTCCCTAGCCCCTGCCTACCAAACTATCCTTGAAAAACCCTAGCCTCCAACTTTTCAAGAAGGCTGATTTGAGTAATAATAAAACTCCTGTCTCCCATTTAGCTGTCTCCATGTATATGAAATTATTTCTCTCTTGCAATTCCCATCTTGATAAATTGGCTCTATCTGGGTAGCAGGCAAGAAGAACCTGTTGGGTGGTTCTTACCTGTAATTCTTCCTGTCCAGCAAAAACCATTTATTCTTCTTGTCCAGTTTTAGGAAAGCATGCCTGTTGAGATTGGATCACCTTTCTTCTTGGAGACAGTCAAGGCAGTGCCTATTATGTTGGCCTCCCAGGCAAGAGGGTTTGCCAACTGGGGTGATTTCCATGAGCAGAGCTTTAGAATGATTCATTCCAACCTGACTTAGAACAATTTGCTTTATTTCTTCTTTTTTAAATTAATAATAGAGGCAGGGTCTTGCTATGTTGCCCAGGTTGGTCTTGAAGTCCTGGACTCAAGCAGTCCTCCCACCTTGGCCTCCCAAAGTGCTAGGATTACAGGCATGAGCCACCACACCCAGCCAGAATAATTTACTTTAAAGAGTTCTTCTTCCTTTTCTACATCTTAGCCCCATTAAATTACCTCGGTAAACCTTACGTCAAAACTTGGGGTTATGGTTTTCATCTTTCATTTCCAGGAACTAAGATGCCATCCCTCCCATCAGAAGGAACAGAGTTAAAGGAGTATAAACCAAAAATAAAATTCTAAGGCCCCCCAACCATCTGAATGGACTTCCTCCTCAGTCAGCGCCCTTAAAATTTAACCTGAGAGACTGTTTCAGGGCATGATGGGAAGTGGGGGTCAAACATGCCTCGTTATACCTCTCTGGCATTAACATCAACACAGACTTTAAGTCTAATAAGAAACATTTTGCAACCTATTCTCTCTGAAGCCTGCTAGCTAAAAGCTTCATCTGCATGATAAAACCTTGGTCGCTACAGCCTCTTATCTTAACCCAGACATTCCTTTCTGTTTGATCCCAGGTCTTTAGACAAACTCAGCCAAGTGTCAACCAGAAAACATTTGAATTTACCTGTAGCCTGGAAGCCCCACTTCAAATTGTCCCACCTTTCTGGATCAAACCAATGTATTTCTCAAATGTATTTGATTGATGTCTCATGCCTCCCTAAAATGTATGAAACCAAGCTGCACCCAAACCACCTTTGGTACATGTTCTCAGGATCTCTTGAAGGCTGTGTCACAGGCCATGGCCACTCATATTTGGCTCAGAATAAATCTCTTCAAATATTTTACAGAGTTCAACTCTTCGTCAACAGAAGAAACATTAGGAGATGGGGATGGGGCTGGAGTTGGGGGTGACTGACATTGTGTTCTAGTGGCTAGTTAACCAGCTAATCAGCCAAGGAGAGAAGTGGTGACTCAAGATAATAGGTGTTTTCTCTGAAGCAGTGGGACCATGGAGAGGAAGAAGAAAGAAGGGAAAGGACTTTTTTACAAATCCATAGCTGCAGACAGGAGACCATCTAAGATCTAGAGGTGGCCAAAGAGAGAAGTGACACGAAGAAAGGAAAAAAAGGAGATTCCCTCAGGAACCAGAAAAAGAAGGCAAAGGTTTGGTCCCGGAAGTACAAGAAAGTTCAGTCCTGGGCTCAGGAACGGGGTCACACCATTCCTATCCAAGAGCTGTTAGGAATGAGACAGAGTAGGAATGGGGGCTTGGGTCAGCTCACTCCCACTATGGCACTCTTTTCATGCATTCCCACTGATCACAAAACCCACACCACTACCTCACTGACACCATAATGTCCAAACCATGCCTTTTACTCAAAAGAATTCCAGTAACTAGGAGATAACCAAAGTTGTGAAGTGAGTGTCCTATCTGGGGAAGGAATGCTGAACAACTGATTTACAGCCTTGTTGCCTCTAGCCAGACCAGGTGGCCCGCTGCTCAAGATAACCATAGCAACCAGACAATGCTGACCTGCATACCCTACCTGATCTGCTTTGCCCAGCCCAGCCTGCATACCCCACCCTAATATCAATTCCTGATTTTTTTTTAAAAAGCCCTACCAGCTCTTTTCAGAGTCAGGTGCTCTCTCTCCCTTTTGCATTGAGAACCCAAGAACCTATGTTCGATAACAGTAACATATTATTTAAGAATCCAGGTTAAATGAGATAAAGAATACAAAGGGCTCTGCAGTGCTTAGACACTCAATAAATGTCAATTCCCTTCTCTCTCCCCTCGGCTATCAAAAATATTCAGTTATTTAGCTGCCTCTGTTTAAGGAGAGTGTGAAATGCAAAAAGCAGTAAAGGTATGTATGATGTAATCCCATTTAAAAAAATACACAGATACCCACAGAAATATGTAGAAAGATTCATATAAAATGTTCTGTTTACATTGTTGGGTGATGTTGTCATGGGAAGAGATCAACTTGTTTAGCCATATTTTTTCCTTTTCTACAATAAATATAGGCTAGGATTACAGGCATATGATTCTTAAAAGGTTGAGAAGTATATAGTATTATAGGAAGGTTTCCAATAAAAAATGTTCGGTTGAAAAAAATTTGCACTTGAAGAAATATTTCAGTATCTGGATAACTCACTTATATAAATACCTTAATCTGTAAGAACACCAGCTAAATCATTGTTTACTATACTTGCAAATAACGTTGTAATTAATAGAGTTAGAAGGTAATAGGTTCAAGGAACATCCAGCTAAGATTCCAGTTAACTTGTATAATACTAAATAGGTATTTTTCAGTAGATTTCAGTTTCAGGTATAAATAGCTTTTTATTTTTATTTTTTTTAAATAGACAAAATAGACCTTAAGAAAAAAAAATAGACCTCTAAAAAAAAAGATGGGATGGGCCAGCATGGTGGCTCACGCCTGTAATCCCAGCACTTTGGGAGGCCGAGGCAGGTAGATCACCTGAGATCAGGAGTACGAGACCAGCCTGGCCAACATGGTGAAACCCGGTCTCTACTAAAAATACAAAAACTAGCTGGGCGTGGTGGCGCACACCTATAATCCCAGCTACTTAGGAGGGCTGAGGCAGGAGAATCACTTGAACCTGGGAGGCAGAGGTCGCAGTGAGCTGAGATCGTGCCATTGCACTCCGGCCTGGGCAACAGAGTGAGACTCCATCTCAAAAAAAAAACAAAAAGATGGGGTGTGGGGTGGTCTCACTATGTTGCCCAGGCTGGTCTCAAACTGCTGAGCTTAAGAGATTCTCCCTTCCTCACCCTCTCAGAGTAGCTGGGACTACAGGCGAATTGCCCTACCATTGCCAGGTTGTAAACGGCTTTTTTTTTTTTCTTTTTCTTTTTTTTTTTTTGAGATAGGCTCTTGCTCTGCCACCCAGGCTGGAATGCAGTGGCATGATCACAGCTCACTGCAGCCTCAAGCTCCTGAGCTCAAGCGATCCTTCCACCTCAGCCTCCTGAGTAGCGGGGACTACAGGTGCGCACCACCATGCCCGGCTAAGTTTTTTTTGGAGAGACACGATCTCACCAAGTTGCCCAGACTGGTTCTCAAACTCCTGGCCTCAAGTGATCCTCCTGATTTGATGGCCTCCCAAAGTGACAGGATTATAGGTGTGAGTCACCACACCTGGCCAACATTTTTTTTTTGAGACAGGGTCTTTGCTCTATCACCCAGGCTGGAGTGCAGTGACCCTACCATGAATAGCTTTTCTTAAGGTCTATTTTGTCTATACGTCCCTTCATAGCCATTTTCAGAGTTTTGGCACAAGGAAAAAATAATCAAGTGAAATTCCTTTTTTGTTTGTTTGTTTGAGACAGAGCCTTGCTCTGTCACCCAGGCTGGAGTGCAGTGGCGCGATCTGGGCTCACTACAACCTCCACCTCCTGGGTTCAAGTGATTCTCCTGCCTCAGCCTCCTGAGTAGCTAGGATTACCGGCGCGCGCCACCACGCCTGGCTAATTTTTGTATTTTGAGTAGAGACAGGGTTTCACCATGTTGGTCAGGCTGGTCTCGAACTCCTGACCTCATGATCCACCACCCACCTTGGCCTCCCAAAGTGTTGGGATTACAGGCATGAGCCACCATGCCTGGCCTCAAGTGAAATTCTTTAGGTTTTCCATAATCTATTTTTCGGTTTAGCCTTGAGCAAAATTTTAAAACTTTATAACAAAGTGTATACCTGATAACATAATCCAATAGAATACTTACTACTAATATCTATAATAAAAATCAGAAAGAAAAAGCCCACAGTTTAACAACTTTGTGTTTACATACCCACTTAAATCTAAACTTGGGATTTTATTGGGCTCAAAATGTTTTATAATAGTGATAAGATCAATTACAATAAAATAATATATAAAATTTAAAATATAATTCTCTATTTTTAAAACATAAAATTCTGGTCCTATTTTTAAAACTACTTTTTTTTCTGGGGGTGGGGAGGACAGGGTCTAACTCTGTTACCCAGGCTGGAGTGCAGTGACACAATCACGGCTCACTGCTGCCTCGATCTCCTGGGCTCAAGTAATCCTCCTGCTTCAGCCTCCTGAGAAGCTAGGACTACAGGCATGCATCACCATGTCCAGCTATTTTTTAAAAAATTTCTTTTAGAGATGGGATCTTGCTATGTTGCCCTGGCTGGTCTCAAATTCCTGGACTCAAGTGATCCTCCCGCCTCAGCCTCCCAAAGTGTTGGGATTACAGGTATGAGCCACCCTGCCTTGCCAAAAATTATATTTCATTTTTAAACTCTGCAGGACATTTGATTAGACACTACTTACCCTATAATAAAACCGGGGAATGGTCTTATAGAATTCATTTGTGTTTTTTCTACCTCCTTTCCATTCGGAGTAATATTTTGTAAATAAATCCATTTCTTCATCTTTTAATTCTTGTTCACTTTTTTTTTCTGGTAACAAAACAGATTAAGGGGAGCACTTTTAAAATCAAGCAGTACTTTTACTCAGGTCATCCTATATATTATATTAATAGTTTAATTAAAATAGTTGCAGTGCCAAAAAGGCCTTCACAATTGTGCTTAGACACTGAGCATATTAACTTTTCTGAAATACCAAGAATCACTACCCTCTACTGAAGCAGCCTCCTCTACATCTTCAACCATTTCTCATGCTCCCTCTACTTCTGTTTATCGCTAAAGCTAGTCTCTTCCTCAAATTACCTCTCCTACAGAACTCTGTAGAGTGCTCCTAATTCATTCAATGAAAAGAATTTACTGAGCACCTACTATGTACAGAGAACGCTGTAGTAGACACGGAATGAGGGGTGAGCAAGACAGCCCCAGCCCCTGACCTCATGGAGTTTCAGCCTCATAATCACTGTTTCTCTACCTAATGTAGAGAAAACAAACAAAAAAACTCATCCTCTGTCTGAAGCTCAAAACTCAGGGCTCTATTACCCTGCAACTCGCCTGCTATTGGCACGTGGCTGTCTCATTCAGCCAATTCCTCCCCACTTATTTGTGGACTATGGTGACTGGTACACAGTGTTCTTCACAAGGTCCTGCAATCATTTAGGATGAATAAACATTTATGTGGGTGACCATGGGTCCTGCAACTCCAAAGACTTTCACCTCTAGTTCATTCTGCCATTTGGTTCTATGACAAGATCACAGATTTTACTTGATCCCTTTCTGAAATCTTAAGCTCAAATATACTCTCAGATCATCCTTTCTGGTAATTCAAAACCTCACTGCCATACCATTTCCACTTCAGCCTCACTGAGCTCTTGAATTCTGTGATCTATTTTCTCAAAAGTTATTTTACTCTTTCTGGTCTCATTTCCTTCCCAACAAGCCTGTAATTGTTTCCTTGAATTCCTTTTATGACTGCATTTCTGCTGCATCTGTTAATTTTTTTTTTTTTGGAGATGGAGCTTCACTCTTGTTGCCCAGGCTGGGGCGCAATGGTACGATCTCGGGTCACGGCAACCTCCGCCTCCCAGGTTCAAGGGATTCTCCTGCCTCAGCCTCCTGAGTGGCTGGGATTACGGGCATGTGCCACCACGCCTGGCTAATTTTGTATTTTTAGTAGAGATGGGGCTTCTCCATGTTGGTCAGGCTGGTCTTGAACTCCTGACCTCAGGTGATCTGCCCACCTCGGCCTCCCAAAGTGCTGGGATTACAGGCATGAGCCACCATGCCTGGCCTATTATGTTAATTTTTAACCTTAGACCAAACCTATAAGTTAATTTCTTTACTATGGCTCAGTGCTGTTGTAGAAAACTGCAAAATTTTTCAAGCAAAGTCAAGACTGACAACTGACCACTGAAGTTAACAATATAGCAGTCACTGATGATTCTTGACAAGCAGGAATTCGAGACGAGTACAGATTTAACCAACAACTGTTTTAACAAATATTGCTATAAGGGGAACAGAAAAATGAGGAATGGCTAGAGGTGGAAATTAAGTCAAGAAAGTTTAAGATGGGAGAAATACCAGCATGTTTATATGCTGATGGGAATGATTAAAGAAAAACTGATGATACAGGAGAAGGGACAACTGCAAGAGTACATCCTTCAGCAGGCAAAAATGGAATCTACTACAAAGGATAGGATCTAGTACACTGATGAAGGAACCAGACTTACGCAGGTGCTGTACAACCTATATAATTTACTTATTATTTTATTATTTCTCTCCACACTAAAGTGTAAGTTCTACAAAGACAGAGATTTTTTTGTGTTCTGCTATAAGCTACAACGGTACTTGGCACAAAACAGGCATGCAATAAATATCTGCTAAAAGAATGCAGTGGGTTTAAGAGTTAAGGGGTCAAGAAAGCACACAAAGTACAAGTACAGGTACCTTCCTTTTTTTTTTTTTTTTTTCCGAGACTGAGTCTCACTGTCACCCAGGCTGGAGGGCAGTGGCGCGATCTTGGCTCACTGCAAACTTCACCTCCTGGGTTGAAGTGATTCTCCTGCCTCAGCCTCCTGAGTAGCTGGGATTACAGACACTTGCCACAATGCCCGGCTAAATTTTGTATTTTTAGTAGAGAGAGCGTTTCACCACGTTGGCCAGGCTGGTCTGTCTCCTGACCTCAGGTGATCCACCCACTTCAGCCTCCCAAAGTGCTGGGATTACAGGCATGAGCCACTGCGCCCAGCCAAGTACAGGTAACTTCTTTGAGAAGTTTTCCTATGAAGAGTGCAGAGAAATGCAACAGAAGCTGGAGAGGGATGTGGGATCAAATGACTTTTTTTTTTTTTTTTGAGATGTAGTCTCGTTCTATCGCCCAGGCTGGAGAGCAGTGTCGTAATCTCAGCTCACCGCAACTTCTGCCTCCTGGGTTCAAGCGATTCTCCCGCTTCAGCCTCCCAAGTAGCTGGGATTACAGGTGTGCACCACTGCGCCCAGCTACTTTTTGTATTTTTAGTAGAGACGGACTTTCACCATGTTGGCCAGGCTGGTCTTGAACTCCTGACCTCAAGTGATCTGCCTACCTCGGCCTCCCGAAGTGTTGGGATTACAGGTGTAAGCCACAGTGCCCAGCCCAAATGAATTTTTTTTAAGACAGGGTCTGGCTCTTGTCACCCAGGCTGCAGTATAGTGTCATGATCATAGCTCACTGCAGCCCCAAACTCCTAGACTGAAACAACCCTCCCTGCTTCAGCCTCTCGAGTAGCTAGGACTACAGTGGTGCACAACCACCCGGGCTAATTTTTTACTTTCTATTTTTGTAGAAACGGTGTTTCACTATGTTGCCCAGGCTGGTCTCAAACTCCTGGCCTCAAGCGATCTTCCCATCTCGGCCTCCCAAAGTGCTGGGGTTACATGAATGAGCCACCGAGCCTCCCAACACCACTACCCCCGACCACCCACCTTTTAAAAAGATGGGTGATATTAACAGCACGTTTGTGCTGGTGTAAATGATCCAGCAGAAGGAAAATCTGATGATGTAGGAAAGAAAGGAGGAGGCTGGAAGGAAGTCAGTGAATACAGGGAAAAGAATGCAATCTAGTGGTGGACTGGAGGGACTCTTAAATAGGAGCATGGACAGTTCATCTTTTTTTTTTTTTTTTTTTGAGACGGAGTCTCGCTCTGTCGCCCAGGCTGGAGTGCAGTGGCACAATCTCCGGCTCACTACAACCTCCGCCTCCCGGGTTCACGCCATTCTCCTGCCTCAGCCTCCTGAGTAGCTGGGACTACAGGCGCCCGCCACCGCACCCGTCTAATTTTTTGTATTTTTAGTAGAGACGGGGTTTCACTGCGGTCTCAGTCTCCTGACCTCGTGATCCGCCCGCCTCGGCCTCCCAAAGTGCTGGGATTACAGGCTTGAGCCACCGCGCCCGGCATCAGTTCATCATTTTAACAGTGAAGCCAGAGTGTATGGGCAACTAACTGTGGGGTTGTGGGGCTGAAAGAAATGTTAAGGGGGACAGGTGATGTTCTCCTCTGACTGCTTCTCCTTTTTTTTTGAGACTGAGTGTCGCTCGGTCGCCCAGGCCGGAGTGCAGTGGCACAATCTCGGGCTCACTGCAAGCTCCGCCTCTCGGGTTGAAGGTATTCTCCTGCCTCAACCTCTGGAGTAGCTGGGACTATAGGCGCCCGCCACCACTACCGGGTAATTTTTTTGTATTTTTAGTAGAGACGGGGTTTCACCGTGTTAGCCAGGATGGTCTCGATCTGCTGACCTCGTGATCCGCCCGCCTCGGCCTCCCAAAGTGCTGGGATTACAGGACTGAGCGACCGCGCCCGGCCGACTGCTTCTCCTTTCTTAATGAGATATATATTAAAATACAAGTTCATCAGCTTAAAGTAAGAAGCGGGTAGGACAGACTGCAGGTGTAGGAGATGAGAAGAATAGTGTAAAAGAGTGTTGCCTGGGTGCGGCGGCTCACGTCTGTAATAGCAACACTTTGGGAGGTGGAGGTAGGAAGACTGCCTGAGGCCAGGAATTCGAGACCAGCCCAGGCAACATAGCAAGACCTCATCTCCACTAAAAATAAAAAATTAGCCGGGTGTGGTGGCGTGTGCCTGTACTTCTAGCTGCTCAAGAGGCTGGGGTGGGAAGATCCCTTGAGCCCAGGAAATCGAGGTTGCAGCAATACTTCACTGCGCCGCTGCACTCCAGCCTGGGCAACACAGGGAGATCCTGTATCGGAAAAAAAAAAGTGTATTTAGGAAAACACAGATTGGCAGTTTGGGAGATGAAAATTGAATGTAGGAGAATGAACGTCCAGGAAAACACGGTAGACATGACCAAAACACCTTCTTTAGATTAGTGGACTTGTATTAAAAGTGAGATAACTCGGCGGGGCGCGGTGACTCACGTCTGTAATTCCAGCACTTTGGGAGGCCGAGGTGGGCGAATCACAAGGTCAGGAGTTTGAGACCAGCCTGGCCAATATGGCGAAACCCCGTCTCTACTAGAAATACAAAAATTAACCGGCCGTGGTTGCGCGCGCTTATAGTTCCAGCTACTCCAGAGGCTGAGGCAGAAGAACCGCTTGAACCCGGGAGGCAGAGGTTGCAGTGAGCGGAGATGCTGCCACTGCACTCCAGCCAGCCTGGGCGACAGAGCAAGAGACTCCGTCTCAAAAAAAAAAGTGAGACAACTCACCAAGGTTCTGTTTTTCTCCAGCCACTTTCAACAGCCCTTAGTGCGGGTGTGGAATAGGAAAGGTAGATTTAACGAGGTTAGTTAATAAGCAATGTGAAGGAGAAAAATAAAAGGAAAAATGGATTATGAAATATAAAATGGATTACGAGGGAAGCAAAAAGCGTGACAGTAAAAAGGCAGGAGGACAATTATAGGTCCTGGTGGGGTTCAGGCGTTGTTGGAGCCGGGGTTCCAAGTTATTCTTCACAAGTTTAGATTAAGACCATGGAAGTCAGTGACTAAAGCTAAGTTTTTCGTTCCTCTAGATTCTGCCCCAGGAAAGTTTGGGTCAAACCTATCGGGATCCTTAAACCACATTCCACTCCGCCTCCTTTGTCGGGAGGTTTCACAGAAGCGGAAAAGGCGGCTCCCCCTTGCTCCTCCTCCCCACCTCCCCCCTACCTCTAGGAGTTTAGGGCCGGGCCATCCCAACGGGCTGCCCCTCCCAAAACTCACTGTTTGGACAGGTGTTGGGCGTCGCTAGGCGCCGACGAAGAACTTCTTTCCAGTCCATGGCCGACTTCCGCGCAGCAGCTTCTGCATTTGCTGTTTCCTACCTGCTCCACCCCTACCAGCTCAGGCGTCAGCACCGCCAGGCCCCGTAAAGGTTAGGAAGGCCGTCCAACCACCATCTTGATCGAGGGCGGAAGTCTTGGCTAAAGAGGCAAAAACAATTACTGTCACTGCCGCGGAGAATACCGCTACCACGCTGACTGGGGGAAAAAACTATGAAAGAGATGGAAAATGGTTCTCCTTCAGAGGCGACCCAAGCTCACCAAGCCGGATTTTAAAGGCCACGATAAGCCCGCGTTTTCCTTTATCGTGTGCCTTTGGCGCGTGCGCACCACGTGACCCAGGAGTTCATTAGTTCCGGCTTGAGGGAAGCGCCTTCTTTCACAATTTCTTTTCATTGTTCATTGCGGATATCTGGAAGCCTTCCAGGTCCCCTGAATGTAGTAGACACTTCAGCAGCCGTCTCCTACCCCTTTTGCCACTAAATGCTTCAAAACTGCCTTTTTTCCTCGCCGCCGGGCCAGGCGGAACGCCTAAGTCCGGGTCAGTCTCGTCCGTCGGTCGGGGCTGGCGCGGTGCATCGTGGGCACTGTAGTTTCCGCCGCGTTTATGGCCGCGTTAAGTCTGAGTGCCGCTTTGAGTTGTTGAATGAAGTGAACTTCATTTGTCAGCGTTCGGTACGCAGTCTAGGCAGCGCCCTTCCTGTACCTCTCTTCCTTTCCTGAGTCGTTGGCGCAGCTGACTCGCCACCTCCTCCCTCCTCGTCCCCCCACCGGAGGAGTTTTGCGGTCTGTAGAGAGCTATGCAGGGTGAGGGCCCCTAGACTTCGGCTTTCGCCGCTGTTGGTGGTAGGCTGGAGTTGGGGGTCCCTGGATACGGTTTTGGCTTTACACCCCCTTTCCAGCAAGCTTCCCGTGGGAATCTGTTCCTTTTCAGGACAGCTGTGATCCACGTGAGTAAAACTGGGCGTTCCGTCTTGTGCTTTTTCCTCAGGTTCATGAACTGGAATGTAAGAGGCACCAGAGGATTCCTGCTCTGTCCCCTGGTTTGCGGCTTGCGACGTTGGACATCCCCGGATTGTTGTTTAATAGAGAAAACTCACCTGCCTTCTTGCTTTTAAGTAGCCCCAAAAGCAGAACCTTGATTTGTCTGTAAGGAAGAAACACAAACCTTTTAAAAAGTTCCACTTCGACTCTGCACCGCCGACCCCCAATCTCTTTAATTTTGCCATAGAAGAGGGGTTTTTTCAACATCTCTC
The DNA here is from genome assembly GCF_000001405.40 of Homo sapiens. Taxonomy (NCBI): domain Eukaryota; kingdom Metazoa; phylum Chordata; class Mammalia; order Primates; family Hominidae; genus Homo; species Homo sapiens. The sequence continues at coordinate 35,123,217 of NC_000014.9, forward strand.
TCACTATCTGGTGCTGATCTCACTGCATAATGACTTTCTATTTGTTTGGTATTCGAAGCTTTCCGAAGCTTTGGAAGAGCCCATACCTTGGGCTAGGCCCAGGGCACTCTTATGTCTCGCTGTTTCTGGCAGACCGCTGTGGCATCAGGAACCAGCAGAGGTTGTTTTCTCTTAAAACAATGTCTCCACAGAATACCAAAGCAACGAATCTGATTGCCAAGGCCAGATATCTCAGGAAAGATGAGGGCAGTAATAAGCAAGTTTATTCTGTTCCTCATTTTTTTTTAGCTGGAGCAGCTAAGGAGAGATCACAGATGAATTCTCAAACTGAAGATCATGCCTTGGCACCTGTGAGGAACACTATTCAACTCCCAACACAACCTTTGAATTCAGAGGAGTGGGATAAACTTAAGGAAGATTTAAAAGAAAACACCGGAAAGACCAGTTTCGAAAGTTGGATCATTTCACAGATGGCTGGCTGTCATAGCTCTATAGATGTGGCTAAATCTCTGCTGGCATGGGTAGCAGCCAAAAATAATGGTATTGTAAGTTACGATTTACTGGTCAAGTATTTGTATCTCTGTGTCTTTCATATGCAGACATCTGAAGTTATTGATGTCTTTGAAATTATGAAAGCCAGATATAAGACTTTAGAACCTAGAGGTTACAGTCTTCTCATCCGGGGATTGATCCATTCAGACAGATGGAGAGAAGCATTGTTGCTGTTAGAGGACATCAAAAAAGTTATAACTCCTTCAAAAAAGAACTATAATGACTGTATCCAGGGAGCTCTCCTTCATCAAGATGTAAACACAGCTTGGAATTTATATCAGGAATTGCTAGGTCATGATATTGTTCCTATGTTGGAAACTTTAAAAGCTTTCTTTGATTTTGGAAAAGACATAAAGGATGATAACTATTCAAATAAACTACTAGATATTCTTTCATATCTAAGAAATAATCAGCTGTATCCAGGGGAGTCATTTGCACACAGTATAAAAACATGGTTTGAGAGGTAATTTTGGTTTTTTTATATGTATGTTTTTATTCTTTAATTTTTTTTTTTTTTGAGACAGGGTCTTGCTCTGTTGCCCAGACTGGAGTGCAGTGGTGTGTTCATAGCTCACTGTAACCTCAAACTCCTGGCCTCAAGTGATCCTCTCGCTTCAGTCTCCTCAGTAGCTAAAACCACAGGCATGTGCCACCATACCTGGCTAATTATTTTTAATTTAATAACTTTAAACCTCAAAGTAGCCATTCTTTTTTGTTGTTAGTTGCTGAGAATCACTCTTCTGATTATACTTTTTTCCATCTCTTAGTAAGATTTATTTTCTCTTTACGACAAAATTTTCTCTCTTTAAAAAAAGTAACAACATACATAATTTGTGCTAATCTTTACCCATCACATAAAACTGAAATTATATAGCAGTTTTAATTTTTACATTTTTTTCCTTTTGGAAGGATCATTAATTTTGTTTTCTTAGGCATCTAGTATGATGTGAGTACTTAATACTACTTATGGCCACTGTTCATAGCAAGAAAAGAATATAGCATTTGACTAGAACTGTCTCTGGCCATATTAGTATTTTCAGAAGTTCCTCTGAAATCTAGCGACTGAGATAATATGCTTATATTTATTCTGTCTACTCTCTCCCTTTTTTTTTTTTTTGAGACGGAGTTTTGCTCTTGTTGCCAGGCTAGAGTGCAATGGCATGATCTCGGCTCATTGTAACCTTTGCCTCCCGGGTTTTCTCCTGCCTCACACTCCCGAGTAGCTGGGATTACAGGCATGCGCCACCATGCCCTGCTAATTTTCTATTTTCTTTTTAGTAGAGACGGGGTTTCTCTATGTTGGTCAGGCTGCTCTCGAACTACCTCAGGTGATCCGCCTGCCTCGGCCTCCCAAAGTGCTGGGATTACAGGCGTGAACCACCGCGTCCGGCCTATTCTGTCTACTATCTATAGTTCATCAACTTGGATGATTAGAGTGGACAGGGGGATATTGATCAAGCCTTATACGTAAGCATTACAATGGAAAATCTTAACCCTTCCAGTTTGTTTTGGACCTTTCTATCATTTGGCTGCTGTCTCTCTAAAGCTCTCTCCTTTGGTTTGCTTTTGCTTTATTCATGTTACTGGGTACATACCTGTTTATTGCTTTAGTCTTTTTTAAAATTTTTGAAAATTTTTACTTATTTTTTAAAATTAATATTCTTTTTTTAAGAGGTGGGGTCTTGCTGTGTTGACCAGGCTGGACTCAAACTCTTGGCCTCAAGCGATCAGGTGTGAGCCACCATGCTTAGTCATTATTTCTTCATTAATTTGCTTCCTAAAAATTTGTTCCTTCCCTCTGTTTTTCTCTTGCCTTTTTTTCCCCTATATCATGTTTACGGAGCTTTGAAGCAGTAATTATGCTTAATTATCTTAAACTTACTGAAGATCAAGGGAGGAGGAGCCCATTTGTGAAAATCTTTGAATACCAAGGAGTTTGGATTTTATTCTGTTATCAAGAATGCTGGATTTGGCTGGGTGCTGTGGCTCACGCCTGTAATCTGAGCACTTTTAGAGACTGAGGTGGGAGGATAGCTTGAGGCCAGGAGTTGGAGACCAGCCTGGGCATGGTGAAACCCTGTCTCTACAAATAATACAAAAATTAGCTTGGCATGGCGGTGTGTGCCGGTAGTCCTAGCTACTTGGGAGGCTGAAGCAAGAGGATCACTTGAATCTAGGGAGTCAATCAAGGCTGCAGGGAGCTGTGATGGCGCCATGCACTCCAACCTGGGCGACAGAGCAAGACCTTGTCTCAAAAGAAAAAAATAATGCTGGAATGGAGTTTTACAAAGGCAGTTGCCAAGTGAGAAGAGTAGATAGGAGAGGGATTAAGATTGAAAACAGGGAGATCTGCGTGAATACAATTTTAGGTTTAGGTGAGAGATGATGAGAATTAAGAACTGAGGAAGGAGAGAAGGCAGTAGAATCATAAGAACTGATGGTAATATGTGGAAGGGGAAGGAGGAAAGGATACATTGATTGAACAAATACATCAATACATAGTTTTTGAATGCTTCCAAATAGGCTAGGCATTGCGAGTGTTTTATAAAATCTATTATGACATTCTCAATTTAATTGGGAATACAGTACCACACAGTGAAATAACAGTGGTGTGTAAGAGGTAAATTACTCTCGGCAGGAGCAATTTCTGGCAGCTTTATGGAGAAGGTAAGAGTTGAGTTTGGTTTAGAGGTTATGCTACTAAGGTCAGCCGCTTTTGGTAGACTTGAAGATGAGAGTTATTTGTTGGGAGGAGAACCACAGGGAAGAAGGAGATCCAGAGCAGAGTACCAGCAGCTTCTTAACCCCATCCAGGATAGCAGCCACTTTTTAAATTAAACCATTCTACAGAAGTATCTTGAACTTTTCGGACTTCTTGCTTATAAGAGTTTCCAAATACCATGAATATCTTTCATTTCAGTAGGAATCTAACCTTCTCATGATTTGGTTTTGCAATCTTTTCATAGTGTTCCTGGAAAACAATGGAAAGGACAATTCACCACAGTCCGAAAAAGGTGAAGACCAATGTTTATTTTTAACTTGTTTGATTTTGGTTTAGTAGGTTTTGTTGCTATTAATTGAAAAATATTTAAGAACACCTTAAGGGTAGGATAATTACAAGTTTGTAATTAGAGTATCTGAGGAAAAAAACATACTTTGCATACAGAGACTTAGCAGTGCCCAAAATGTTTTTCCTGTGAGTACTGTGAACCTATATGAAGTCTTAGAGATGTTTTTTCCCTAGAGGTTCCAGACCCAGTTGTGTTTTAGGATTTATTTATTTATTTAATTCACCAATATGATATTCCAGAGGATAGGAATTACTTTAAAAATGTCATCTGAGCTGGGCGCGGTGGCTCACGCCTGTAATCCCAGCACTTTGGGAGGCCGAGGCAGGCAGATCACGAGGTCAGGAGATTCGAGACCATCCTGGCCAACATGTTGAAACCAAGTCTCCACTAAAAATACAAGACCCTGTCTCAAAAAAAAAAAAGTCATCCAAACGGCCAATCTACTTTTTTGGGTTTTCTGGCACACTAATTTGTGATATTATCAGGTTTACAAAAAATTAGATGTATGTGATTATCACAAAGGTTTTAATGTTCTTTTTTATTACCTTTTAATTTCCTCATTGTTCATTTCACAAATTTTTTTCCCCAGAACATTATTCGACATATTTAAATATTATTATTTAACAATTATAATTACAGTGGCCAGTGTTCGGGCTGTGGAAAAACCATAGAGTCTATTCAGCTGAGTCCAGAAGAATATGAATGTCTTAAGGGAAAAATCATGAGGGATGTGATAGATGGAGGTGACCAGTACAGAAAGACAACACCTCAGGTGAGTCTAACAAGTTTTATTTCTTCTTGGATTGCTTGTCTAGAGCAGGGGTTAGCAATTTTTGTAAAATGCCAGATACTAAATATTTTAGGCTTTGTAGGTCATCGGTCCCTGTTGCAACTTTTCAACTCTGCTGTTGTAGTTAAGACATCCATAGATAATACATAAATGAATAGACATGGCTGTGTTCCAGTAAACTTTATTCATGAAAACAAGCAGTAGGCTGGATTTGGCCTGCTGACTACAATTGCCAACCTTTCGGAGAGATTGCTTTAGAATTTCGTAGAATAATTGGGTTAGACCATCATCTGTTGAAGTCAATCCTATTATACTGGGGCATAATAAGTGCACTTAAACTAAAAAGATGCTTATTCTTTCTGTAAGTGCTTCCAGAAAACTATGTTCAAGTAGACTGCCATGAAAACATTGTAGTTTCTCACAACTTTTCTAGTCAAGAGAGTTTAGAGTAACTTAAGATTATTTACAGATTTTCTTAGTATCACGTTAACTGATTTGTGTATATTGAACCATCCTTACGTCTCAGGGATAAATCTCACTTGGTGATGATGAATGATCTTTTTAATGTATTGTTGAATTTGGTATGCTAGTATTTTGTTGAGGATTTTTGCATCAATATTCATCAGAGATATTGGCCTGTAGTTTTTTGTTTTTTTTTTGTTGTTTTTTGGGTTTTTTTTTTGCTGTGTCTTTGTCTGGTTTTGGTATCAAGGTAACACTAGCCTCATGGAATGAGTTTGGAAGTCTTCCCTCCTCTATTTTTTGGAATAGTTTGAATAGGATTGCTATTATTCTTTAAATGTTTGGTAGAATTGAGCAGTGAAGCCGTCAGGTCCTGGGCTTTTCTTTGCTGGGAGACTTTTTATTATGGCTTCGATCTCGTTACTTGTTATTGGTCTCTTCATGTTTTTTATTTCTTCATGGTTCAGTCTTAATATATTGAATCTGTCTAGGAATTTGGCCATTTCCTGTAGGTTTTCCAATTTATTGGCATATGGTTGCTCATAGTAGCCACTAATGATCCTTTGAATTTCTGCAGTATTTGTTGTAATGTCTTCTTTTTCATCTCTGATTTTATTTGGGTCTTCTCTCCTTTTTTCTTAGTCTGGCTAAAGGTTTATCAATTTTGTTTAACTTTTCAAAAAACCAACTTTTTGTTTCATGATCTTTTGTATGGTTTTCTTAATTCCAATTTCATTTATTTCTACTCTGATCTTTATTATTTAGTCTCTCCATTTTGGGTTTGGTTTACTCTTGCTTTTCTAGTTCTTTAAGACGCATATTTGGCCGGGCGCGATGGCTCATGCCTGTAATCCCAGCACTTTGGGAGACCAAGGCTGGTGGATCACCTGAGGTCAGGAGTTCGAGACCGGCCTGGCTAACATAGTGAAACCCCGTTTCTACTAAAAATACAAAAAAAAAAAAAAAATTAGCTGGGCATGGCGGCGCACGCTGGTAATCCCAGCTACTCGTGAGGTTGAGGCAGGAGAATCGCTTGAACCCAGGAGGCGGAGGTTGAAGTGAGCCGAGATCACGCCATTGCACTCCAGCTTGGGCAACAAGAGTGAAACTCCATCTCAAAAAAAAAAGATGCATATTTAGGTTGTTTATTTTAAGTTTTTCTTCTGTTTTGATATAGGCACTTATAGCTGCTTTTGTTATATCCCACCGTGCCTAGATACATTTAATGTTATTATTGATAAGTAAGGACTTAGTCCTGCCATTTTGTTTTCTGGTTGTTTTGTGGTCTTATTTTTTCCTTCCTTTCTTCCCTTTAGTGAAGATGATTTTCTCTGGTGATATAATTTAGTTTCTTGCTTTTTATTTTTTGTGTATCTGTTGTATTTTTCTTTTTTTTTTTTTGAGATGGAGTATTGCTCTGTCGCCCAGGCTAGAGTGCCGTGGTGCGATCTTGGCTCGCTGCATCCTCCACCTCCTGGGTTCAGGAGATTCTCCTGCCTCAGCCTCTTGAGTAACTGGAATTACAGGCGCACACCACCATGCCCAGCAAATTTTTTTTTTTGTATTTTTAGTACAGACAGGGTTTCACCATGTTGGTCAGGCTGGCCTCGAACTCCTGACCTCATGATCTGCCTTCCTCAGCCTCCCAAAGTGCTGGGATTATAGGCGTAAGCCACCGTGCCCAGCCTTGTATGTTTTTTGATTGGAGGTTACCATGAGGCTCACTAATACTTAACTATAGCCTATTATTTTAAGCTGATAATAATTTAACACTGTATAAACAAACAAGCAAAAAGAAAACTAATAAAAACTCTACACCTTTACTTTGTCTCCCTGCTTTTTAACTTTTTATTGTTTCTATTTATATCTTACTGTACTATCAATGTCTTGAAAAGTTATAGTCGTTATTATTTTTGATTGGTTCATTGTTTAGACTTTCTTTTTTTTTTTTTTTTTTGAGACGGAGTCTCGCTCTGTTGCCTAGGCTGGGGTGCAGTGGCACAATCTCAGCTCACTGCAGCCTCTGCCCCCCAGGTTCAAGTGATTCTTCTGCCTCAGCCTCCCGAGTAGCTGGGACTACAGGTGCCCGCCACCATGCCCGGCTAATTTTTTTGTATTTTTTAGTTGAGACGGGGCTTCACCATGTTAACCAGGATGGTCTTGATCTCCTGACCTCATGATTTGCCCGCCTCGGCCTCCCAAACTGCTGGGATTACAGGCGTAAGGCACTGCCTCACTAAACTCATTGTTTAGTCTTTCTAAAGATAAGAGTAGTTTTAGTTTACACACCATAGTTACAGTGTTATAATATACTATGTCTTTTTGTGTACTTATTATTAACAGTGAGTTATGTACCCTCAGATGATTTCTTATTGCTCATTAATGTCCTTTTCTTTTTTTTTTTCATTGAGATGGAGTCTCACTCTGTCGCCCAGGTTGGAATGGAGTGGCACGATCTCAGCTCACTCCAACCTCCGCCCCCACTGGGTTCAAGTGATTCTTGAGTCTTACCCTCCCAAGTAGCTAGGATTACAGGTACCCTCCACCAGACCCGGCTAATTTTTGTATTTTTAGTAGAGACAGGGTTTCACCATGTTGGCCAGGCTGGTTTCGAACTCCCAACCTTACTTTATCCAGCTGCGTCGGCCTCCCAAAATGCTGGGATTACAGGTGTGAGCTACTGCACCCGGCCTATGTCCTTTTCTTTCTGCCATTTTTTTTTTTTAAATATAGAGACAGGGTCTTACTATGCTGCCCAGGCTGGTCTCAAACTCTTGGGCTCAAGTGATCTTCCCACCTTGGCCTCCCAAAGTGCTGGAATTATAGGCGTGAGTCACCAGAGTAACGGTCCTTTTCTTCTTCTTCTTTTTTTTTGAGGCAGTCACTCTGTCGCCCAGGCTGGAGTGCAATGGCGCGATCTCAGCTTACTGCAACCTCCGCCTCCTGGGTTCAAGTGATTCTCCTGCCTCAGCCTCTGAATAGCTAGGATTATAGGCGTGCACCACCAGACCTGGCTAGTTTTTGTATTTTTAATAGAGACGGGGTTTCACCATGTTGACCAGGCTGGTCTTGAACTCCTGACCTCAGGTGATCCACCCACCTCGGCCTCCCAAAGTGCTGGAATTACAGGCATGAGCCACCACAGCTGGCCATCCTTTTCTTTCTGATTGAAGTACTCCTTAGCATTTATTGTAGGATAGGTCTGGTGTTGATGTAATCTCTCAGCTTTTGTTTGTCTGGGAAAGTCTTTATTTCTCCTTCATGTCTGAAGGATATTTTCACTGCATATACTATTCTGGGGTAAAAGTGTTTTTCCTTCAGCACTTTAAATATGTCATGCCATTCTTTCCTGGCCTGTAAGGTTTCCACTGAAAAGTCTGCTGCCAGATGTATTTTAGCTCCATTGTATGTTATTTGTTTTTTTCTCTAGTTGCTTTTTGGTTTTTTTTTTTTTTGAGACAGAGTCTTGCTCTGTCACCCAGGCTGGAGTGCAGTGGTGCTATTTCGGCTCACTGCAACCTCCACCTCCTGGGTTCAAGCGATTCTCCTTCTTCAGCCTTCCGAGTAGCTGGGATTACAGGCATCTGCCACCATACCCAGCTAATTTTTATATTTTTAGTAGAGACAGGGTTTCACTATGTTAGCCAGGCTGATCTCGAACTCCTGACCTCAGGTGATTCGCCTGCCTCAGCCTCCCAAAGTGCTGGGATTATAGATAGGTGTGAGCCACCACACCTAGCCAATCCTTTCTTTTTTTCTTTTTTTGAGAAGAAATCTCACTCTTGTCCCCTAGGCTGGAGTGCAGTGGTGCTATTTTGGCTCACTGCAACCTCCGCCTCCCAGGTTCAAGTGATTCTCCTGCCTCAGCCTCCCAAGTAGCTGGGATTACAGGCACCTGCCACCACGCCTGGCTAATTTTTGTATTTTTAGTAGCGACGGGTTTCACCATGTTGGCCAGGCTGGTCTCGAACTCCTGACCTGAGGTGATCCGTCCGCCTCGGCCTCCGAAAGTGCTGGAATTACAGGCATGAGCCACTGCGCCCAGCCCCAATCCTTTCTTTATCCGTTGAAGGTTGGATTATTCAACTGGGTGTGGTGGCTCACACTTGTAATCCCAGCACTTTGGGAGGCTGAGGTGGGTGGATCAGCTGGGGTCAGGAGTTCGAGACCAGCCTGGCCAACGTGGTGAAACCCCGTCTCTACAAAATATATAAAAATTAGCCAGGCGTGGTGGCGGGCCTCTGTAATTCCAGTTACGTAGGAGGCTGAGGCAGGAGAATCGTTTGAACCTGGGAGCCGGAGGTTGCGGTGAGCCAAGGTCACACTACTGCACTCCAGCCTGGGCAACAAGAGCAAATCTCCATCTCAAAAAAATAAAAAACAAGAAAAAAAAGAAAGTTGGATTATTCGTCCAGGCATTGTGGCTCACGCCTGTAATCCCAGCACTTTGGGAGGCCGAGGTGGGTGTGAATCACCTGAGTTTAGGAGTTTAAGACCAGCCTGGCCAACATGGTGAAACCCTGTCTCTACTAAAAATAAAAAAAAATTAGCTGGAAATGGTGGTGCGTGCCTGTAATCCTACCTACTCGGGAGGCTGAAGCAGGGGAATCATTTGAACCCGTGAAGCGGAGGTTGTAGTGAGCCAAGATTGCGCCACAGTACTCCAGCCTGGGCGACAGAGTGAGACTCCATCAAAAAAAAAAAAAAAAGGGAAGAAGGAAAGGAAAGGAAAGCAAAGCAAAGGAAAGGGAAGGAAGAAGGAAGAAGGAAGGAAAGTAAGTTTGATCATTCAATGCTTTGAGTTAGTGTTTTTTTGTTTTGTTTTGTTTTGTTTTGTTTTGTTTTTTTGAGACGGAGTGTTGTTCTGTTGCCCAGGCTGGAGTGCAATGGCATGATCTTGGCTCACTGCAACCTCTGCCTCCCAGGTTCAAGCGATTATCCTGCCTCAGCCTCTTGAGTAGCTGGGATTACAGGTTCACGTCACCACGCCCAGCTAATTTTTGTATTTTTAGTAGAGATGGGGTTTCACCATGTTGGCCAGGCTGGTCTCGAACTCCTGACCTCATGATCTGCCCACTTGGCCTCCCAAAGTGATGGGATTACGGGCGTGAGCTACCATGCCCAGCCCTAACTGTGTATTTTCAAATAGCCTGTCTTCAATCTCACTAATTCTTCTGTGTGATCCCTTCTGCTGTTAAAGGACTCTGATGCATTCTTCAGCATGCCAGTTACATTTTTCAGCTTCAGAATTTCTGCTTGATTCTTTTTAATTTTTTTTCAATCTCTTTGTTAAATTTATCTGGTAGAATTCTGAATTCCTTCTTGGGTTATCTTGAATTTCTTTGAGTTTACTCAGTAGAGCTATTTTGAATTCTCTGTCTGAAAGGTCACACATCTGTTTCTCCAGTATTGTTCCCTGCTGCCTTATTTAGTTCATTTTGTGATGTCCTGTTTTCCTGGATGGTCTTGATACCATGTCTGGGCATTGAAGAGTTAGGTATTTATTGTAGTCTTTGCAGTCTGGGCTTGTTTGTACCTTTCCTTCCTGAGAAGGCTTTCCAGATACTTAAAAGGACTTGGGTGTTGTGATCTAAGTTGTATGTGCTTTAGGGGGCAGCCAAAGCCCAGTAATGCTGTGGTAAGAGGTACTGCCTTCATGGCCTTGAACAAGATCAGGGAGAATTCTCTGGATTACTAGGCAGAAGCTCTTGTTCTCTTCCCTTACTTTTTCCTAAACAAACAGTCTCTCCCTCTCATTCTGAGCCACCTGGAGCTGAGGACGTAGTCACACAAATACCCTTGTGGCCACCACCACTAGAACTGTGCTGGGCCAGACCTGAAGCCAGCAGAGCACTGGATCTTGCCCAAAGCCTGCTTAACTACTCCCTGGCTACTGTCTGTGTTCACTCAAGGCCCTGGGGCACTACAATCAGCAGTTGGTAAAGCCAGCCAGGCCTGTGTTCTTCCCTTCAGGGCGACAAGTTCCCCCAGGCCTCAGCAGGTCCAGAAGTGCCATTTGGGAGCCAGGGAGTAGAGTCAAAAATCTTAGAAGTCTACCTGGTGTTCTGTTGTATTGTGGCTGAGCTGGCATTCAAATGATAAGACACAGTTCTTCCCACTCTTCCCTCCCGTTTCCAAAAGCAGAGGAGCCCCACCGTGTGGCCACCGCCACCACCAGCCCACAGGGAGTTCTGCCAGGCTCCCACTGATGTTCTCATAAGGCCGAAAGGCTCTTCAGTCAGCTTGTGGTGCATGCTGCCTGGCCTGGGACTCACCCTTAGTGCTCTACCCACCTCTGGCTGAGGTGGTACCTGAAGCTAGCAATATCAGAGTCTCACTCAAGGCCCATGATGTACTACCTGGATATTGCTGCTGCTTATTCAGGGCCCAAGGGCTCTTCAGTTAGCAGGTGATGAATCCTTCCATGATTGGGTTCTTCCCTTCAAGGCAGTGAGTTCCCTTCTGGCTCAGAGTGTGTCTAGAAATGTCCAGGAGCTAGGGCCTAGAAAAGGGGGTGTCTCATGACTCTGACCGGTACCCCATCCTGCTGTAGCTGAGCTGGTGTCCAAGATGCAAGACAAAGTCCTCCCCACTCTTCCATCTCTTCTCAAGTAGAAGGAGTGGGTCTGTTTAGGAGACTGTGAGATGTGCGGCCTGGGCTTAGGGGAGGTATGGCACCAGTACTCCCCTAGCTATCGTCTCAGTAGGTCACATGCCCCTACCAGTCCACTGGCTCTGAGCCCAGTTCACCACTAGGACTCACCTAAGAGTTGCAATCCTTGTGGCTTAGACTGCCTTTCAAATTTATTTACGGGCCTGGAGCACTTTGGCCCATGGTGGTGAGGCTTGTGGGAACTCCAGTTTCAACCACTGGGATGGGCAATTTCCCTCTGGCTAGAGCTAGTTTAAATGCCCCTTCTGTGGGTGGGTATCAGCTGAGTTTGTTCTATTTTTGCTTTCTGCTATAACAGGGCAGCACTGAGTTCAATGCAGTGTCTCACAATTGCTGCACTCTCCCTCTCCCAAACACTCAGAGTCTTTCTCTGCACCACATTGCTGCTGCAGGGGGATGGGAGAGGAATGGCAGTGGTGATTCAAGACTGTTTTTCCTACCTCTTCAGTGCCTCTTTCAGTGATACAAAGTTAAAACCAGGTACTGTGAGTCCTCACCTGATTTTTGGTTCTTTTGAAGGTGCTTTTTTTACATGTGTAGATAGTTGTTAAATTGGTGTCCTTGCAAGTGGACGATCAGTGGAGCCTTTTATTCTGCCTTCTTGCTCCACCCCTTCTCCTCTGTCTATGGTACTTTTGTCCTGCAGAGTTGAGTAGATATAAAGGAGAACATGTGGCCTACAGAGCCTGAAATATTTACCATTTGGCCCTTAACAGAAAAAAATTGCTGATCCCTGGTATCAATGAATATCATAAACCTCTGGAGAAGTAATGAGTGTGAAGGAGCAGTGGCATCCAGGAGAGGGCCTCTCCTTTCTCATTGGTTGGTCCTATAGCATACTATAGGATAATGAGCAGCTATTATTAAGAAACATTGTCATAGGTTCTGGGGAGCCATTAACGTGTTTTAAGCAGGCCGGGCATAGTGGCTTATGCCTGTAATCCCAGCACTTTGGGTGGCCGAGGCGGGCAGATCATGAAGTCAGGAGTTTGAGACCAGCCTGGGCAATATGGGAAAACCCCGTCTCTACTAAAAATACAAAAATTAGCTGGTCGTGGTGGCGTGCACCTGTAGTCCCAGCTACTAAGGAGGCTGAGGCAGAAGAATCGCTGGAACCTGGGAGGCGGAGGTTGCAGTGAGCTGAGATCATGCCACTGCACTCCAGCCTGGGCGTCAGAGCAAGACTCTGTCTCAAAAAAAAAAAAAAAAAGTGTTTTAAGCAAAAGTATGATATGTATATTTTAGAGAGACCTCTCTGGCAGCTGGTTGGAAAAAGGAGTTGAAAAGGATAAGATTGAGGCACTGGAGTTGAGTCAGACGGCTGCTGAGTGGTCCAGGTGTGGGATGATGAGGGAAATGAAAGCCAGAATAAGGGTAGAGAAGGACCAGCTCAGCTTTGAGAACATTTTAGGAGATAAAAATTTCACCATTTGGTTTGGCTGCAGTGATGGGAGAAGACAGGATGATGTTCAGGTTTTCGGCTTGGGTGATGGGGTGAACAAACTCTCACTCCCTAATTCCTTTTCTTTTGTCACCCTGGAAAGATGCCATCTACCAAGAACAGGTATGAGGAGAAGATAATTGAATATCCGACAACGGGTTTTTTTGTTTTTTTGGTTTTTTTTTTGAAACAGAGTTTCGCTGTTGTTGCCCAGGCTGGAGTGCAATGGCGCAATCTCTGCTTACCGCAACCTCCGCCTCTCGGGTTTAAGCAATTCTCCTGTCTCAGCCGCCTGAGTAGCTGGGATTACAGGCATGCACCACCACACCCGGCTAATTTTGTATTTTTAGTAGAGACGGGGGTTTCTCCATATTGGTGAGGCTGGTCTCGAACTCCCAGCCTCAGGTGATCCACCCACCTCGGCCTCCCAAAGTGCTGGGATTACAGGTGTGAGCCACCGCACCTGGCCCATATTGGGTTTTAATGTCAGCAGAAGATCCAGGACTTGGGTTCCAGCTTACAGGGGAGAGTTAATGCTGGAGGTTTGGGGACCATCACATAATAGTAATAGGTTAAATGCGAAGAGTGCCTGAGCTCATCCAGGAAAACAGTGAGAACAGTAGTGGGCTCAATTCACAACTTGGTGGGGGTGGGATGGGGAACACCAGCATAGGAAGGAAGGTCAGAGAAGAAGTTTCATATATTAGATAGAACAGTCAGAACAAGGCAGAAAGAATCTATTCAGTACAGTGTCACAAATATCAAAACAGAGTGCAATACACTAGAGATTTGTTAAGGTGTGGACTGAAGGGATACATTGGATTTGGCAACTAAGAAATCATTGATGACCTTGGGAAGAACAGTTTCAGTAGTTTAATGGGGGCCAAATTCAGCCAGGTTATAGCAGCTGAGTGAATACCCATTGAGTGTAAACTCTAATTTTAAGAAGTTTACATGAAAATTAGAAAGATGATATAGTGGTGGCTAGAGGATGGTGGAGTCAAGGGAGGGTTTAGAGAGATAGGCTTGTGCCTGTTTGGAGGATGAAGAAAAGGTATCAATAGAGATAAAAAATATTGAGTATACAGGATATGTAGGAGAGAAAAAGGAATATTGCTGAGTAAAAGTAGCAGGGGTTGCCAAAAAGAGCACAAATGTGGAGGTTGGAAATGAAGGAAATATCATTTGAGGCTGTAGAAAAGAAAGTGAAGATGGGTGTGGATGATAAATTGGTAGAAAGAGGGAACATTGAGAGAAATGATACCTGCTGTGTTAAGTGGTATACAAGATGAGAGAGATGAGAGTCAAGTAGAGTACTAGAGAGAGTGGGGAAGGTTTGGAATGGTTCTTGAGGGGATGTCAAGATGCTAACTCAAGGCAGAAGGATTATGGCAGAGGGTGGGTGCTGAGGTTTGAATCTGTGAATCTGTAGACATTACTCTGTGTGATTGTGTGATTTAATATATTTCCAACAGAGCTTGGCTCACCAAGAGCAGAGGTAGTAAAGACAAAGGGTAGCGTTGGTCCAGAGTTTGGGTTTTGTTGGTTAGATGTGGCACATGATAGAGAGCAAGAGAAGGCGATTCTGACAAAGTAGTTAACATGGTCTGCATGGGGTCCAGGCCAGATAGGAAAGGGAGGAAGGCCAAAGAGCACTATATGAGAGGATTCCAGGGACTGGTTGTCTCTTCGTGCATGTACATGTGTGTGTTGGTTTTGTTTTGGTTGGTTGGTTGTTTTTTTTCCTCACCATTTGTATTAATTTGCTAAAGCTGCTATTGCAAATACCACAAACCAGGTGGCTTTAACAGCAGAAATTCATTTTCTCACCATTCTGGATTCTAGAAGTCCAAGATCAAGGTGTTGTCAGCTTTGGTTTCTCTTGATCCCTCTCTCTTTGGCTTGCCGATGGCTACCTTCTTGTGGTATCTTCACATGGCCTTCCTCTGGTGTATTCCTGGTATCATCTTTGTATGTACAAATTTCCTCTTATAAGGACACCCATCAGATTTGATTAGGGCCCATCCTTATGACCTTATTTTACCTTAATTACCTCTTTAAAGGCCTATCTCCAAATACAGTCACATTCTGAAATACTATGGGCTGAGACTTCAACATATGAATTTGGTGAGTGGACACAAGTCAGTCCGTAATACCGTTCATTGTAAATATGCGTTAATAAAACTATATTATATTCAGCATTTTAAATTATTTTGTGTTAGGAACATTAGAAACATCTAGTTGACAAATAGCTGGATCTGCCTTCAATGTTGCTTTCTAAAGCTTGCTTATAATTTGAGAATATGAGGTATAAACCAAGGAATAATTATTAAAGGAATAAATTATTAAATAATTATTAAATTATTAAATCTACTTAAAAAAATTTTGCCAACTGACCTCCATAAACACCTAAAATGAGCATTATAAAAGTTATTTTAGGCTTATATGTTTTCCCCAAATAGTACTGTTGTTCAAAACAAAGTAAATTAGATGACACCCTCTAATGTAGCGGCTTTCAACTGTGGCTGCTGGTTAGAATACTTGGGAAGTGTTTAAAACTGCTACCTGGACCTCAGCCACTAAAGATATTGATTTTTTTTTTTTAGACGGAGTCTCCCTCTGTCGCTCAGGCTGGAGTACAGTGGTGCCATCTGGGCTCACTGCACCCTCTGTCTCCTGGGTTCACATGAGTCTCCTGCCTCAGCCTCCCGAGTGGCTGGGACTACAGGTGCATACCACCATGCCTGGCTAATTTTTGTATTTTTTGTAGAGACGGGGTTTTACCATGTTGGCTAGGCTGGTGTCGAACTCCTGACCAAAAGTGATCCACCCACCTCAGCCTCCCGAAGTGCTGGGATTACAGGCATGAGCCGCCATGCCCGGCCAAAGATACTGATTTTTCATACAAGTCCTTTTGGTTTTGTTGTTAAAATTAGAGATAGGGTCTCACTGTGTTGCTCAGGCTGGTCTTGAGCTCCTGGGCTCAAGTGATTCTCCTGCCTTGGCCTCCTAAGGTTCTGGGATTACAGGTGTGAGCCACCGTGCCCAGGAATATTTTGATTTTTCAACTATAGTTTTATTGCAGTATATTTGACATACAGTAAACAGCAGATATTTAAAGTGTACAACTTTATGAGTTTTGTCATATGTATATACCTGTGGAACTGTCACTGCAATCAAGATAATGAACATATGGATCACCCCCAAAAGTTTCCTCATGCCATTTTGTAATGACTCCCTTGCCCTGCCATCCCCAGGCAACCACTATGGAATCATACAATATATACTTTTTTTTTTGGTCTGATTTGTTTTATTCAGCATAATCATTTTGAGATTTCATCCTTGTTTTGTGTCTCAATCATTCTTTCATTTTTATAATTGAGTAGTATTCCATTGTGTGACTATTTTACAATTTGTACATTTGTTGATGGACATTTAGGTTATTTCCAGTTTGGTGCTGTTATAAATAAAGCTGATTAGAACAGTCTTGAACAAGTCTTTGTGCTTTTGTTATTGTTTCCTAGGGCTGCCCTAACAAATTACCACAAACTGGGTAGCTTCAAATGACAGATATTTACTCTCTCACAATTCTGGAGGCTAGAAATCTGAAATCAAGATGTTGGCAAGGTCATGCTCCTTTTGAAGGATCCAGGGAAGAATCCTTCCTTCTCTTTCCTACCTTCAGAAGCCAGATCCTGGCAATTGATGGTGTTCCTTGGCTTTTAGCTGCATCACTCCATTCTCTGCGTCTGTCTTCATGTGGCCTTTGTGTGTGTGTATCTCTGTGTGCCATCTCTTCCTCTTATAAGGCTACAAGTTATGGGATTTAGAGCCCACCCTAATCTAGCATGACCTTGTCTTATTTCATTTACAAAGACCCTCTTTCTACATTCACATTCTGTGTTTCCTGCTAGACATAAATTTTGAGGTTACACTATTCAACCTACTACAGCTTTTTTTTTCTCTTGGGTAACTCTCTTAGGACTGGAATGGTTTGGTCTTATGGTAGATGTCTTATGGTAGATATGTGTGTGTGTGTGTCGCTTTTTCAGAAACTGCCCAACTGTTTTCCAGAGTGGTTGTACCATTTTACATTTCCACCAGCAGAGTATGAGGGCTATAGTAGCCCCACATCCTGGCTGATGCTTAGTATGGTTAAGGTTAGTCTCTTTACTGTTCTAATAGGTATGAAGTGGTATCTCATTGTGATTTTAATTTAGATTTTCCTAATGACTAATGTTGTTGAGCATCTTTTTATATGCTTAATTGCCATCCATATATCTTTGGTATAATATTTATTTGTTCAGATTTTTTGCCTATTTTAAAAATTGGATTGTTTCATTATTGAGTTGTAAGAACTGTTTCTATATTCTAGATACAAGTCCTAAGTCCAATATATTTTACAAATATTTTCTGTCAGTCTGTGGTTGACTTTCATTTCATAACATGGAGATTCTGATTTAATTGCTTTGGCTTGGTGGGGTCCAGGTATTAGGATTTTCAAAAGCTTCCAGGTGATTTTAAAGTGCAGCTAGAATCAAGGACAATTGCTTCTAATGTGAGATTTTGAGGAAACTTAAAGTATGGCAGCTTCTTTTCTGTTGAATAGTTTTGGGAGAAAAATCTCAGTTATTATATAAGGTAATTTTTTAGCTTTTCTGTTTTAAACATTTGTTTACTGTAATTAGACAACATAGCCAGCAGATGGCAATAATGTAACATATAAAAATTATTCTAGGTATGACCAAGTCCATCAGGTTAAAGGATTTGTTGAACTTTTTAAAATATTAAACTGAAAGATATCTGTCATTTCTGTGTAAGTCAGATTAGTGATAGTAGGTAGAGAAAAGAGTGGTATATGTGAATTTTAAGTGAACAAAGCAGAATTCCAAATAATTTGCATCTACTGATTTAACTACTGACACTAATTGAGTGGGCATCAGTGAAGGTCAAAAAGTGAATTTGGAGCTATGCGCATAGTGTTACTTTAATGTTAATTAGGTTTTTTTCTTATTTTCCTTCCTTCTTTTTCTTTTTTTTTTTGTTTTTGTTTGTTTGTTTTGTTTTGTTTTTTGAGACAAGTTCTTACTATTCACCCAGGCTGGAATACAGTGGCATGATCATAACTCACTGCAGCCTTGAACTCCTGGGCTGAAGTAATCCTCCTGCCTCATCCTCCTGGGTAGCTAGGATTCAGGTGTGTACCATCACATCTGGCTAATTTTTTTATTTTAATTTTTTCTGTAGAGACGGGGTCTCACTATGTTGCCTAGGCTGGTCTTGAACTCCTGGCTTCTAGTGGTCCTCCCACCTTGGCCTCCCAAAGTGCTGAGATTTCAGGTGTGAGCTACTATGCCTAGACATGGTTCTTGATAATAACATTAAATTACAGTCAGATTTTTTATATTCAACTACAAAGATAATAATTCTTTAATATTTTCATTAGAGAAAATTTCAAACATAATCAAAAAGAGACTAACATAATGGACCCCCATCCTCCATGATTATTAACTCATGACCACTTTTTTTTTGACAGGGTCTTGCTCTGTCACCTAAGCTGGAGTGCAGTGGCACAATCACGGCTCACTGCAGCTGAGACCTCCTGGGCTCAAGTGATCCTCCCACCTCAGCCTCATGAGTAGCTGGGACTACAGGCATGTGGCACAACACCTGGGCAATTTTTTTTTTTTAAGACGGAGTGTTGCTGTTGTTGCCCAGGCTGGAGTGCAATGGCACGATTTCGGCTCACTGCAACCTCTGCCTCCTGGGTTCAAACGATTCTCCTGCCTCAGCCTCCTGAGTAGCTGGGATTACAGGTGCCTG
This sequence comes from Homo sapiens, assembly GCF_000001405.40. Taxonomy (NCBI): domain Eukaryota; kingdom Metazoa; phylum Chordata; class Mammalia; order Primates; family Hominidae; genus Homo; species Homo sapiens. Next base: position 35,142,029 of record NC_000014.9, read on the forward strand.
CAACCACGCCCAGCTAATTTTTGTATTTTTAGTGGAGACAGGGTTTCACCATGTTGGCCAGGCTGGTCTTGAACTCCTGACCTCAGCTGATCCATCCGCCTCGGCCTCCTAAAGTGCTGGGATTACAGGCGTGAGCCACCGCGCCCAGCCTTAATTTATTATCTTATGTAGAGATGGAGTCTCATTATGTTGCCAAGGCTGGTGTTGAACTCCTGGGCTCAAGCATTCCTCCCACCTCAGCCTCCCAAAGTGCTGGGATAATAAGTGTGAGCCACCACACCTGGAAGCTCATCCTGTAAATTATAAATTCATTGCTTTTTTTTTTTTTTTTTTCCAAGAGATGACGCCTTGCTCTTTTGCCCAAGCTGGGGTGCAATGGTGTGATCATAGCTCACTGCAGCAATGAACTCCTGGGCTGGAGCAATCCTCCCACCTCAACTTCCCAAGTAGCTAGGACTTACAGGTGCATGCCACCCTGCCCTGCTAATTTTTAAATTAAAAAAAAAAAAATTTTAGATAGGGTAGAGATGGCATTGGGCTTGGTGGCTCACACCTGTAATCCTAGCACTTTGGGAGGCCGAGGTGGGTGGATTGCCTGAGCTCAGAAGTTTGAGACTAGCCTGGACAACATGGCAAAACCCGTTCTCTAATAAAAATACAAAAAATTAGCTGGGCATAGTGGCTCATGCCTGTAGTCCTAGCTACTCGGGAGGCTGAGGCAGGAGAATTGCTTGAACCCAGGAAGCTGAGGTTGCAGTGAGCTGAGATCGCGCCACTGCATTCCAGCAGCCTAGGTGACAGAGTGAGACTCTTGTCTCAAAAAAAAAAAAATTGTAAAGATGGGATCTCACTATGTGGTCCAGGCTGGTCTTGATGCCCTGAGCTCAAGTGATCCTCTTGCCTTGGCTTCCCGAAGTGCTGGGATTACAGGCATAAGCCACCATGCTTGGCCTAAATTCTCTCTTAAACAGCTTTCTTTGTTTTCTTGTTGTAAAAAGTACTTCTTTGTAAAGCTATATTTTTCGTGTACTTTAAGAAATACTTTAGAATTGCAGTTCTTAACCTTTTGGTCTCGGGACCCTTTTACATATTTAAACATTATTGAACATTCTAGAGAGCTTTTGTTTTTTGTTTTGTTTTAAGCGAGACAGTCTCTCTCTGTTGCTCAGGCTGGAGTGCAGTGGCGCAATCGCTGCTCACTGCAACCTCTGCCTCCCAGGTCCCAGGTTCAAGCGATTCTCCTGCCTCAGCCTCCCCCGAGTAGCTGGGATTACAGGCATATGCCACCACACCCGGCTAATTTTTGTATTTTTAGTAGAGACGGGGTTTCACCATGTTGGCCAGGATGGTCTCGAACTCCTGACCTCAAGTGATCCAGCCGCCTCGGCTTCCCAAAGTGCTGGGATTATAGGCATGAGCCACTGTGCCCAGCCAGATATATATTAATTTATTGAAAATAATATAAAAACTATTATAAAACATAACATTTTTATAGAAAATAATTCTGTTGTCCAGAATAAAACCAATATTAGTGAGAAGAGTACATTGTATTACATTTTTGCAGGTCTTTTAAATAATATGGCTTAATAAAAGACAGATAGTTTTTGTTTGTTTGTTTGTTTGTTTGTTTGTTTTTGAGACAGAGTTTTGCTCTTGTTGCCTAGGCTGGAGTGCAATGGCGCGATCTCGGCTCACCGCAACCTCCGCCTCCGAGGTTCAAGCGATTCTCCTGCCTCAGCCTTCCCAAGTAGCTGGGATTACAGGCATGCGCCACCAAGCCTGGCTAATTTTGTATTTTTAGTAGAGATGGGGTTTCTCCATGTTGGTCAGGCTGGTCTCAAACTCCCGACCTCAGGTGATCCGCCCACCGCAGCCTCCCAAAGTGCTGGGATTACAGGCGTGAGTCACCGCGCCCGGCCAAAGACAGGTAGTTTTTTAAATAAGTGGCAAAAAAAAAACCCTTATATTTAGAATTAGCTATTCGGACTCAGTTTAGGTTATCCCAGTTTTACTGGCAACATCCAAAACATCATAGTTAGGAGCCAGTCAAACATAGGCTGCCTTCTCTCCATCAGTCCTGATTAGGGTGTTGATCGTGGTCATGTCAGTGTCACAGACCTTCATATAGCCTGTTTGATCTGGTGCTTGTTGGCTTTGATAACCACAGTGAACACAGATGTGGTATTGTCTTCTTCATGGTCAGCTCAGTGGTCAAGGGGAACTTGATGGCATAATAGTCCAGCTTGTATATCCTGCAGGTTCTCTACTGAGGATGTTTGGGCTACCTTCAAAGCCAAAGTGTGTTGGGCTACTGGAACATAGGTGACCTGCAGATATTTTTTTGTGTGTGTGACTGGATGCCTTTCAACACTGCCTTGCTGGCCTTAAAAGCCTTAGCTTTGGATTTGGCTTTGGGAGGAGCAGGGATTTCCTTCTTTGCTTTCAGCATCATCATTTTGGTGAAAAGGGTTGACACCTGGATTTTTATATCTATTTCTATATTCAGTCTGTTGTGGTATGGTATGGCGTTTTGGTAGAAGCATATGAAGAAAATGAAAGCTCATGGAAATAGGTAGTTGGAAAGCAAAGAGGATTTTGTTGGCTCTTGGAGATAATCATAATCGTTCTTTGATACTATGCCCAAACTCTACTGTACACTTGTGAGCAAATGAGAGTGAAAAAGGCATATAACGTCTTAGCATTATGAAAATAGTTTTAACTTTGCAGATCCCCTGAGAGGGTCTTGGGGATACCCAGCAGTCCTTGAACCACAGTTTTAGAAAGTACTCTGGTTTAGATATGATTTTCTTTTTCTTTCTATTGTAAAAGTTCAAGTAAAGTTTATTTCCCTCTATCTTATTACACAAGCATATTAACAAAGGAAGCTAAAACAAAGACAGCAGTCTCAGTACTCAGTATATTTTCTATTAGTTTCTTATGTTCTTTTTTAGTTCTTTTGTTTGTTTTAAGAGACCCTTGTCACCCAAACTAGAGTGCAGTGGCGTGATCATAGCTCATTGCAGCCTCAACCTCCCAGGCTCAAGTGATCCTCTCACCTTAGCCTCTTGAGTAGCTAAGACTACAGGCACACACCACCACGACCAGCTAATTTTTTAATTTTTTGTAGAGATGGGGGATCTCACTTTGTTGCCTGGGCTTGTCGTGAACTCCTGGGCTCAAGTAATCCTCCAACCTTGGCCTCCCAAAGGGCTGGGATTACAGGCGTGAGCTACTGCACCTGGTGCTTTTTTAGTTCTTATTGAGACTTCTTAATCATTTTCTTTTACTTTTCAAAATGGAAGTGGGTTTTATCCTGATTATAATATTTATTAATTATAAAAAATTTCATCAACACCTGTGAAAAGGGGAAAATTTTTTTTTTGGTCAAAATAGCTATAAAGAAAGATAAAAGGCCGGGCGCAGTGGCTCACGCCTGTAATCTCAGCACTTTGGGAGGCCGAGGCAGGCAGATCATAAGGTCAAGAGATCAAGACTATCCTGGCTAACATGGTGAAACCCCGTCTGTACTAAAAATACAAAAATTAGCTGGGCATGGTGGCATGCGTCTGTAGTCCCAGCTACTGAGGAGGCTGAGACAGGAGAATTGCTTGGACCTGGGAGGCGGAGGTTGCAGTGAGCTGAGATCGCGCCACTGCACTCCAGCCTGGCGACAGAGCGAGACTCCATCTCAAAAAAGAAAGAAAGAAGGAAGGAAGGAAGGAAGGAAGGAAACAGCCCACCATGATCCATTCATTTTGAACTTTAATTTTATTTGATTATTTATTTATTTATTTATTTATTTATTTTTTTATTTTTTGAGACAGAGTTTTGTTCTTGTTGCCCAGGCTAGAGTGCAATGGCACCGTCTCGGCTCACTGCAACCTCCGCCTCCCGGGTTCAAGCGATTCTCCTGCCTCAGCCTCCCAAGTAGCTGGGATTACAGGCGCCTGCCACCACACCCGGCTAATTTTTTTATATTTTTAGTAAAGAAGGGGTTTCACCATGTTGGCCAGGCTGGTCTCAAACTCCTGACCTCAGGTGATCCGCCCGCCTCGGCCTCCCAAAGTGCTGGGATTACAGGTGTGAGCCGCCGCACTCAGCCCCATTTTGAACTTTTAATGAAACTTTAATCATAATCACAGTCCCCATAATTCTGTGATTTAGAAGTTTTTAAATAAAGCTTTAATGATTTAGGATTCTCCTTTCTGGAAAAGAAAAAAAGGCAGGCAAATTGCCCGTGGTACATTTAATTGAGTTTTTAGGGTTAAGTTTAAAGCAAATCATTTGTCCTGCTTGATAGTATCTCTTCAGTTTATTGACAAAGAGGTGTTTCTCTAAATACAAATTTAAGACAGGACATATGACCCTAATGAAATGTCAGTATAAGAACTTATCTAATTTAGGTCTTTAGGGATTTTTTTTTCTTTATTTGGTTACAAACTGAAAGATGTGAACTGAGCTCTTTATCACAGTCTCCAGAACCTTCTCTTTTCTCTGGGTTTGAAGATCTTGTCATCTCTAAAATGAACTGTGGGTTTTTTTCCCCAGATTTAAATAAATGTTGTGTGGTAAATGGAAAACTTTGTGGGTTTAGTGATTTTTTAAAAATCTGAGAAAGAAATTTAATTATCTGCAAAATATAGTTTTAAACCATGTGTTTTAAAGTACAGGCATACCTTGAAGACATTGCAAGTTTGGTTCTAAGCTTTATCGTAAATATTGCAATAAAGTGAGTCACACAAATTTTTTGGTTACCCAGGTCGTATAAAAGTTATCTTTCCATGGCTGGATATGGTGGCTCACACTTGTAATCCCAGTGCTTTGGGGCCCAGGCAGGAACATTGCTTGAGGCCAGGAGTTCGACACCAGCCCGGGGAACATAGTGAGATCCCATCTCTACAAAAAAATTTTTTTTTTAGTTAGCTCGGCTTGGTGGTGTGTACCTGTAGTCCTAGCTACTTTGGAAGGCTGAGTTTGTAGGATCACTCAAGCCCAGGAGTTCAAGGTTACAATGAGTTGTGATTGTGCCACTGAACTCCAGCCTGGGAGACAGAGTGAGACTCTGCCTCTAAACAACAACAAAACTTATCTTTCCACTATGCTGTAGACTATTAAGTGTGCAATAGCATTATGTCTAAAAAAATATATATAGATACCTTAATTTAAAAATACCTTATTGCTAAAAAATATGCTGGTGGTCATCTGAGCCTTCAGCAAGTTGTAATCTTTTTGCTGATGGCAAGTCTTGCCTTGATGTTGGTGGCTGCTGACTGATCAAAGTGGTGGTGTTTGTTGAAGGCTGGGATAGCTATGACAATTTCTTTATTTTTTTGAGACAGGGTCTCACTCTGTCACCCAGGCTGGAGTGCACTGGCAAGATCATGGCTTACTGTAGCCTCCACTTCTCAGGCTCACATGATCCTCCCACCTCAGCCTCCTGAGTAGCTACAACTACAAGCTCACATGACCATGTCTAGCTAATTTTTTCTAATTTTTTGTCGAGCTGGGGTTTTGCCACATTGCCCAGGCTGGTCTTGAACTCCTGGGCTCAAACGATCCACCCACCTCAGCCTCCCAACATGCTGGGATTACAGGCATGAGCCACTGTGTGGCAATTTCTTAAAATAAGACAATAATGAAGTTTGCCACATAAATTGACTCTTCTTATCACAAAATATTTTTCTGCAGCATGCAGTGCTTTTTGAAAGCATTTTACCACATTAGAACTTTTTTCAAAATTGGAGTCAATCCTCTGAAATCCTGCTGCTGCCTTGTCAACTAAGTTTACGTAATATTCTAAATTCTTTGTTATCATTTTAACAATATTTACAACGTGTCTACTAGGAGTGAGTTTTATTTCAAGAAACCACTTTCTTTGCTAATCCATAAGAAGAAATTCCTAATCCAAGTTTTATTTTGTGATTGAAGCAATTCAGTCACATCTTCAGGCTCCACTTCTAATTCTAGTTCTCTTGCTATTTCCACCATATCTGCAGTTCCTTCTTCCACTGAAATTTTGAATCCCTCCGAGTCATCCATGAGGGTTGGTGTCAACTTCTTCCAAACCTGTTACTGTTGATATTTCAACCTCTTTCCATGAATCACAAATGTTCTTAGTGGCATGTAGATCGGTGAATCCTTTCCAGAAAGTTTTCCGTTGACTTTGCCCAAATCCTTCAGAGCAATCACTGTCTATGACAGCTATAGCCTTACAAAACATGTTTTTCAAATAATAAGACTAGAAAGTCGAATTTACTCTTTTATCCATGGGCTTTAGAATGGATGTTGTGTTGGTAGACATGAAAACAACTTTCATCTCCTTATACATCTCCATAAGAGCTCTTGGGTGACTAAGTGCATTGTCACTGAGCAATAATATTTTGAAGAGTCTTTTTTTTGGAGCAGTAGGTCTCCACAGTGGGCTTGAAATATTCAGTAAACCATGCTGTAGACAGATGTGCTGTTAGCCAGGCTTTGTTCCATTGATAGAGCATAGGCAGAGGAGATTCAGCATAATTGTTAAGGACTCTAAGATTTTTGGAATGGTAAACGGGCATTGACTTCAATAAAGTCACCAGCTGTATTAGCCCATAACAAGAGAGTCAGCCTGTCCCTTGAAGTTTTGAAGTCAAGCATTGACTTCTCTCTAGCTATGAAAATTCTAGATGGCATCTTCTTCCAATAGAAGGGGCTGTTTTGTCTCCACGGAAAATCTGTTGCTTAGTGTAGCCACCTTCATCAGTGATCTTAGATCTTCTGGATAGCTTGCTGCAGCTTCTACATGAGTACTTGCTGCTTCACCTTGCACTTTTTTTGTTTTTTGTGTTGGTTCCACCAGTCTGTGCCCATAACCTCCCAGCAGCCTACATGTTGCACTTTTTAATTTTTTTTTTTTTTTTTTTTTTTTTGAGACGGAGTCTCGCTCTGTGGCCCAGGTGGGAGTGCAGTGGCGCAATCTCGGCTCACTGCAAGCTCCGCCTCCCAGGTTCACGCCATTCTCCTGCCTCAGCCTCCCGAGTAGCTGGGACAACAGGCGCCCGCCACCACGCCCGGCTAATTTTTTTGTATTTTTAGTAGAGATGGGGTTTCACCGTGTTAGCCAGGATGGTCTCGATCTCCTGACCTCGTGATCCGCCCGCCTCGGCCTCCCAAAGTGCTGGGATTACAAGCGTGAGCCACCGCGCCCGGCCTAATTTTTTTTTTTAATACAGTGTCTCATTCTGTCATCCAGGCTGGAGTGTGGTGCTATGATCATAGTCCACTGGGGCCTCGAACTCCTGTGCTCAAGTAATCCTCCCATCTAGGCCTCCCAAGTAGCTAGGACTACAGGCATACCACCATACCTGGATCATTTTTAAATTTTTTGTAGAGATAGGATCTTGCTATGTTGCCCAGACTGGTCTCGAACGCCTGACCTCAAGTGATCCTCTTGCTTCAGCCTCCCAAAGTACTGTGATTACAGGTGTGAGCAACCATGACTGGCACCTTGCATTTTTATGTTATGGGGATTGCTTATTTTCTTAAACCTCTTGAGCCAAATTCTGCTGGCCTCCAACTTTTCTTCTACGGCTTCATCACCTCTGTCAGCCTTTGTGGAATTGAAGCATTCAGGTCTTGCTTTGGCTTAAGAGAATGTTGTGGCTGGTTTGATGTTTCATCCAGACCACCAAAACTTTCTTCATATCAGCAATAAGGCTATTTTGCTTTCTTATCATTTATTTGTTCACTGAAGTAGCACTTCTGATTTCTTTCGAGAACTTTGCATTTGCAAAGTTTGGTACCTAGCTTTTGGCCTATCTTAGCTTTTTTGTTTTGTTTTGTTTTGTTTTTTAAGGCGGGGAGACAGAGTCTCACTCTATCACCCAGGCTGGAGTGCAGCGGCATAATCTCAGTTCACTGCAACCTCTGCCTCCCAGGTTCAGTTGAGCAATCCTCATGCCTCAGCCTCCCGAGTAGCTGGGGATTACAGGCATGTGTCACCACACCGGCTAATTTTTAGTAGAGATGGGGTGTCGCCATGTTTCCCAGGCTGGTCTGGAACTTCTGGCCTCAAGTGATCCGCCTGCCTCGGCCTCCCAAAATGTTGGGATTACAGGCGTGAGCCACCATGCCCAGCCCTGTCTTAGCTTTTGACATGCCTTCCTCACTAAGCTCAGTGATTTCAAGCTTTTGATTTAAAGTGTAAGACCGGAGACTCTTCCTTTCACTTGAACACCTAGAGGCCATCGTAGAATTATTAATTGGCCTAATTTCAGTATTGTTGTGTCTCAGGTAATAGGGAGGCCTGAACAGAGGGAGAAAGATGGGGAAATGGCTGTTGGTGGAGCAATCAGAAGTCACACAACATTTATTGATTAAGTTTACTGTCTTACAGCAGCACGGTTTCTGGTGCCCTAAAACAATTACCATTCAGGTATGTCGGTGCAAGAATTCTGGCCAAAAATGTAAAGCTTCTAGAAAAATCAATGAATTCAGAATTTTAGGAAGGTTAAAAAGTTAAAAGGACAAGCAGGTCACTCCTAGCAGTGGCCTTCCCAATGTCAAATGTTTTCCTTATTTCTTCATTCTTTTTCTTTTATGTAACACTTGACTGAAATTCTACCAGCTGGGATCCAGGCTTTTTTATGAGATTTAGCTTGAAGCAGTGTACTTTCCTCCTAAAGCCTAGCTGAGTTTGGCTTTACAAGGAAATGAAAATTATGTGTGGCTATGGGTGTTTGGCTGCTGCTGTTTTAGAGTTGGGTTGGTGATTTTTCATAGAGAACGTTTTGAGGGGCTGATCTGAGGGGGGTGCTCAAATGGAAAGTTTTGTGTGGAGTAGTGTGCTAGAGACAGAGGGATAAAGTCACCTTTAGGAGGTTGAAACAAGGTGGGAGTGTGCAAAGGAGATACTTGACTTTTCTTGTGCTAAGGGCAAGAGAGTCTTATCTTTCTTACAGCGAGTGATCTTTTCTCTCTCAGATTCAGGTTGGCATTATTACTGTTATACTATAACCCATTGCATCATTTGGCTTGGAAACCAAGCCATTTTTAAATTAATTTTTATTTATGGGAAAAGTGTTGTGAGTTCTTTATAATCATCTACTAAGTGAATTTTTAGAAACAGTATTTGGAAGTGAGGTACGTCCCAGAGTGATACACTTTTAGTGTTATTTTTCTTAAAAGATTCTGCCTAGGATTTTTGATTTAGTTTTTCTATAGCTATTGCTTAAATGTATCGATTTTATTGCTTTTTCATTTGGTCTTCTTAGAGAATAGAATAATGTAAATAAGATACTAGATTAGAAACAGTAATACTGGTGCTGAAGACAGACAGCTTACTTCTGAAGGAAGAGAAAACTACCAGTGTGAAAGAGCAGCAGCTGAGATGTTGAGAATAAGGCCTCTGATCACCACTGAACCAAACTCCCGATCTTTATACACATGTATAGTCTTCCCTATCTCAGTAAATACAACTTTTTCCTTCTAGCTATTCAGGTCAAAAAGGTCAGAATCATCCTTGATTCCCCTCTTTCCTTCATATCCCCATTCTAATCTGCCAGCACTCCCTATTTTCCATCTCTGCTTTATTTTTCTCCATAGCACTTATCTGACATGCTACACACACACATACACACACACACACACACACACACACACACACACACACAGAGCTTTTACTATATATCTTTTCTCTGTATAGAGTGAAAGCACCACAAGGGTAGGGATTTTTAAATGCCTGTTTAGAACACTGTTGTATCCTCATAACTCAGAATAGTGCTTTACATAAAGATGCTCAATTTGTTGAATAAATGAATAATAGTTACCATTTACTGAATTCTTAGTGTCAGGCTAAGATCTTTGTGCTAGGATCTTTGTATCAGTTATCTCTAATTTTTTTTCTTCTTTTTTTTTTGTTAATCCATCTTTTTTTTTTTTTTTTTATTGATCATTCTTGGGTGTTTCTCGCAGAGGGGGATTTGGCAGGGTCATAGGACAATAGTGGAGGGAAGGTCAGCAGATAAACAAGTGAACAAAGGTCTCCGGTTTTCCTAGGCAGAGGACCCTGCGGCCCTCCGCAGTGTCTGTGTCCCTGGGTACTTGAGATTAGGGAGTGGTGATGACTCTCAACGAGCATGCTGCCTTCAAGCATCTGTTTAACAAAGCACATCTTGCACCGCCCTTAATCCATTCAACCCTGAGTGGACACAGCACATGTTTCAGAGAGCACAGGGTTGGGGATAAGGTCATAGATCAACAGCATCCCAAGGCAGAAGAATTTTTCTTAGTACAGAACAAAATGAAGTCTCCCATGTCTGCTTCTTTCTACACAGACACAGCAACAATCTGATTTCTCTATCTTTTCCCCACCTTTCCCCCTTTTCTATTCCACAAAACCGCCATCATCATCATGGCCCGTTCTCAATGAGCTGTTGGGTACACCTCCCAGACGGGATGGTGGCCGGGCAGAGGGGCTCCTCACTTCCCAGAAGGGGCGGCCAGGCAGAGGTGCCTCCCACCTCCCGGATGGGGCAGCGGCCGGGTGGAGGCGCCCCCCACCTCCCTCCCGGACGGGGCGGCTGGCCGGGCGGGGGCTGACCCCCCCACCTCCGCCTCCCTCCCAGACAGGGCGGCTGCCTGGCGGAGACGCTCCTCACTTCCCAGACGGGGCGGCTGCCGGGCGGAGGGGCTCCTCACTTCTCAGACGGGTCGGCCGGGCAGAGACGCTCCTCACCTCCCAGACGGGGTGGCGGCCGGGCAGAGGCGCTCCTCACATCCCAGACGGGGAGGCGGAGCAGAGGCGCTCCCCACATCTCAGACGGTGGGCGGCCGGACAGAGACTATCCTCATTTCCTAGACGGGATGGCGGCTGGGAAGAGGCGCTCCTCACTTCCCAGACTGGGCAGCCGGGCAGAGGGGCTCCTCGCATCCCAGACGATGGGCGGCCAGGCAGAGACGCTCCTCACTTCCCAGACGGGGTGGCGGCCGGGCAGAGGCTGTAATCTCGGCACTTTGGGAGGCCAAGGCAGGCGGCTGGGAGGTGGAGGTTGTAGCTAGCCGAGATCACGCCACTGCACTCCAGCCTGGGCAACATTGAGCACTGAGTGAGCGAGACTCCGTCTCAATCCCGGCACCTCGGGAGGCCGAGGCTGGCGGATCACTCGCGGTTAGGAGTTGGAGACCAGCCCGGCCAACACAGCGAAACCCCGTCTCCACCAAAAAAATACAAAAACCAGTCAGGCGTGGCGGTGCGCGCCTGCAATTGTAGGCACTTGGGAGGCTAAGGCAGGAGAATCAGGCAGGGAGGTTGCAGTGAGCCGAGATGGCAGCAGTACAGTCCAGCTTCAGCTCCGCATCAGAGGGAGACGGTGGAAAGAGAGGGAGAGGGAGACCGTGGGGAGAGAGGGATCTCTAATTTTTGTGACAATCCTACAAGGAAGGCAGCCTCCCCTTTTTTGCTAAACCTCAGAGAGGTTAAGTGACTTGCCAAGCAAGGTTTGTAAGTAACAGAATTAAGATTTGAATGCACATCTGTCTGATTCCCAAATATGAGTTCTATTCATTAAGCTTCCCTGTGTTCATAATGAAAGGGTCACTGAGAAGTTTAATAAGATAGTGTTCAGTGTTCTTCATTTGATGAAGGAAACTGTATACTATATTTCTGACAACAGTTTCCATCTTGGATTATCTTGACTTTAAAAGATTAAAACGAAATAAAATTGGTTGTTTAAAGGAACATGCCTCAGTTATCTGGAACATTTTGGTATATGTAGAGTGCATTATTCCCCCAAACTGCAAAGTAGAAGGGAGTATTATTTGTGTTCTTAGAGAAATTTAAGAGGTCCTCACTCAAGTACTAATTCTGTTTCTTAACTAATTTTAACTTGCTTTTTAAAAAGCAAATGTTTATATAAGGGTTATTATAAGCTAGTCACTGTTATGAGTACTTTATAAATATTAACTAACTTAACATATATCTTTATAATAACCTTGGAAAAGTTACTTCAGCACTTTCGTTCTTTTTCCTGGTCTTTAAACAGAGACAGTTGGACCAGATGATCTCCAAAGCCCACTCCAGCTCTGCAATGTTAAGGCTTTCTAACTAACACATAACACATAGTTATGTGTTAAGAAAAGTTAGATAAGGTCAGCTTTTCCTAGTGGGAACAGAGATGAGAGTGGAGCCCCAAAGACAGTGCACAGTAGAACAGGAAGTTGTGATTTAGGTGAATTAAAAGTGCAGAGTCTGTATGTAGCACAGTGTCAGTTTGGGAGGGAAGGAAGGCAGCATCAAATCGTTGTTGAGGTTTTGATGATGTGAAGCTCTTTAGTCTACCTTTCTCCTTTCCTTAATATCTAAAGGGAGAAATTCCAAGTTGTTATGTCTTGAGCAGAGCACATGACACCTCCTTATTAACCAGCACTACTTTTTAGCTATAGGTTGAAATTTGGCTCGTGGTTCTTCAAGATTTTAAGAAATAGTAAATAGGAGAGTTAAGGATTTGGTATGTGAAAATATCAAACCTGAATCTAGATGCATGAATCTGATCAAGCATCTAGAGCTCACTACTAATTTACTGGAAATACAGGGGGCAGAGGAATATGTTAAATTACACCTCAAGGGTACAATTACCAAATACCATCTGTGGGAAACTGCAAGACAACCCAGTTTCTTCCAATAAATGAATTGCCAAAAAAAAAAAAAAGAGATGGAGCAATGATCTATAGATAAAAGCAATTTGAGATAAAGCAACCATTTGCAGTGTATGGATCATATTGGGCCCTTAGTTCCTGATTTGAACAATCAGAGGAATCTGAACACCAGTTATTGGAGTTATTAAGACATTTTTGTTGATTTTTATTTAGGGTTAATAATGCTAGTGAGTTAAAACTCTTTTTTTTTTGAGGCAGGGTCTCAATCTGTTACCCAGGCTGGAGTGCAGTGGCACAATCACAGCTCACCACAGCCTCAACCTCCCGGGCTCAGGTGATCATCCCACCTCAGCCTCCTGAGTAGCTAGGACTACAGGTGCCTGCCACCACATCAGCTAAGTTTTGTACTTTTTGTAGAGAGGGGGTTTCACCATGTTGCCCAGGCTGGTCTCGAACTCGTGGGCTCAAGTGATTTCCCATTTTGGCCTCCCAAAGTGCTGGGATTACAGGCGTGAGCCACCATGCCTGACCCAAACTCTTTAGATTCAGAGCTAAACACTGAAATATTTATGGATTAAATGATGTGATGTCTGAGATATGCTTCAAAAATAACTGGGAAATAGGGGATGGAATAGATGGAGTTATATATGAAACAAGATTGGTCATGAGATGATAAAGCTAGTTTATGGGTTCATGGGGATTTATTATACTATTCTGTCTACTTTTATATATGTTTAAGATTTTCATCTTGAAAATCTTTTTTTATAAGCTAACAAAGGGCCAGCTGTGGTGGCTCACAACTGTAATCCCAGCACTTCGGGAAGCTGAGGTGGGAGGATTGCTTGAGCCCAGGAGTTTAAGACAAGCCTGGGCAACATAGCGAGACCTGGTGTCTATTTAAAAAAAAAAAAAAAAAAAAAAGCTGACAAATACACATATGCTTTCAGGATAGAAGTTATGAAAAGGGAGATTATAAAACAGTGCTTTCTTAGTGATTTTCATGCAGAAGCAACATCTTCCTAATCTTCCTATAGTAAAGATTTCCTCAAGTAAACATATTATATATTCATTATAATATAAATAGTATATATTCATTAGAAAGGATATAAACAGTTCAGAAATACCACTATAGAGAATGAAAGTCCCCTTCTTAAAGCAAATTATACTTTTTAAATGCTGAAAATTGTCATGTCATTTGCACGTTTCTTTTTCCATTTTTGAAACGCACAAGATAAAATTTCTTAATAGAGTAGAACAACTAATTTAGATTCAGAGTCAATTCTATAAAGGTTTCCTACTGTACTGCATTGTTTTTGCTTTGCAAAGAGGTTATTAACATTTTTTTTCTGGGTTAGGGGAGGAGTTTGAAAAAATCCTGTACAAGTTAATCCATTGTGTGGTAAAAGCTATAGCTGAAGAGGCAATGTGGAATACTCCAGTGTGCACAACCCCTGCTTTTATCATAGGTGGCAACTGCAGATTAATTCTGGTGTGGTTAGGCATTTCACAAAGGGAAATATGAACCTGAGAGCCTATGTCCCCAACAGTGCTAACTGGGAGATGTGGAGTGTGGGGATTTCCACTCTTTGTTAATAAGATCTCCGGCACATTTCCTCTTTGCTTTTGCATTTTCCTTGGTTATGAAGCAGCTGCAGAGAAGTAAAATGTGATTTCCTGTGTTTAAAAGAGTGCTGGCTTTTCTTTCAGAGACTTAAAATTGGAAGGGTGGAATGCATATGGATTGAGCTACCTACAGGGCTAATTTAAACATAGGTGTTTTATTTTTGTTTTTGTTTTTGTTTTTGTAATGAGTTCACTGCATTTGTGCCAGGAATATTTTTGTTCAGATGTTTTGAATTAGCAGATAACTCAGGTTGTCTCAAAAGCAGGCTTCTCTCTAGGCTGATCACTGCTTTAACAGTGTGATTCTTTGCAAGCTGACTGAAAAACCACTAATGGCAAAAGTGCATTCTGTCATATCAATAAAAATACTGTAGTTCCTTTGCAGATTCATGCAGTATAAATGCTTATCTTGATTATTTAACCTGTAAAATTCTCCAAAATGAGAAAAATAGGCAGAGGGTGTTTTTCAAGAAAATATGATAAGGCCATATCAAGGTACAGTGTCCCCAGATACAATGTCAGTGGGAAATGAAAAGAACTTATTCGCAGAGTAGATGCTTAGGAATCATTAGACTTAGGTGAAAGTTCCTATCATAAATTAATACCTTTTTTTGTAGTCGTTGTCAATATTTCTTGCCCTAATAATGGTAGTTCATTTTTTTCTTTTTTCTTTTCTTTTTTTTTTTTTTGAGACGGAATCTTGCTCTGTCGCCCAGGCGGGAGTGCAGTGGCTCCATCTCGGCTCACTGCAAGCTCCGTCTCCTGGGTTCACGCCATTCTCCTGCCTCAGCCTACCAAATAGCTGGGACTACAGGCGCCCGCCACCACGCCCAGCTAATTTTTTTTATTTTTAGTAGAGATGGGGTTTCACTATGTTAGCCAGGATAGTCTCAATCTCCTGACCTCGTGATCCTCCCGCCTCGGCCTCTCAAAGTGCTGGGATTACAGGCGTGAGCCACCGCGCCCGGACGTTCATTTTTTTCAAAATATACTTAGGAGCCTATCCTAAACATGGGCCAGACCTGTGGATATTTTTGGATGTGGTTTCTTCCCAAGTCATTCACCATTGTGTTGATGGTACAAGGCTTCTCCACTTACAATCAGAGAAACGTCAGATGACTATTAGTAAACAAGAACTGATTATTAAGTACCAGATTAGCAGAGCTGGATGATCAGATCCAAACCACAGCATTCATTGTTCCTGTAAACTATGTGATCAGTGAAGCTAAACTTGTGTTTAAAACCCAGGCACCCGCTGCCACACCCAGCTAATTTTTGTATTTTTAGTAGAGAGAGGGTTTCAGCATGTTGGCCAGGCTGGTCTCGAACTCCTGACCTCAAGTGATCTGCCTGCCTTGGCCTCCCAAAGTGCTGGGATTACAGTGTGAGCCACGGTGCCTGGCCTGTTACTTTCTATTAATAAGTACACAACACCCTAAACAATTCAAGGCATCTTAATCTCCATTAAGAACAACAACAAAATAATTTTTGTCATGCTGTTAAATCTATCACTATGGATAAAACTGGTGCAAATTGGTCAAATGGATCCAACAAACACTGATGTCCAAGTTGGGATATTCGTAACTATTAATAATACGTAACTATTGATCAATAGTTTAAAAGATCTCTTTATTCTTTTTCTTTTTGAAGGTTCTCAAAGAGTTTTGTTCTGAAATATGTTGTTGAGCTTCCCAGTTTGCATCCTCATCCTCAAACTGATGTTGTTTCTTCTCTAATTCTTTGTGTTATGCTTCTTTTTCATTTGCTCATGGCACTGCCATTGGAGCTCAACTTCAGAGTCCTTCAGTTTTTGAACTTTTTTTTTTTACCTTCATTTCAAACACCTGCTCCATTTCCAGCTCCGTCTTCTTCATTTTAGCTACATGCTCCCTTCTTTCTTCTTCCATTTGTGCCAGAAGGCTCTTAGTAAGCCCTTATTTGTTATCAACTCCATTATAAGTCACAACTGCCAGTTTTCTCCTTTCATAGTGGGCATTTAGTAACATCTTTCAAATCGTGCATATGTGTTATCAACATATTTCTTAGAATTGTAAAAACAATGTTCACCATTTTCAACTTTACCAACACCCCAAGGATACTGCCTTCCCCTAACCCTTTTGCCATTAAGTTCAATGATATAGTATTACTACCTACCTAAGCAAGAGGTAAATGGTCCTTCTTCTTTTTAACAAGCTTGTTGTCTTCTTCACCTGTTTCTGGAAATTTATATATTTTAAGTTCTTAGATTTCTTTCATTATCTGTTTTAAAGTTATTATCTGGTTTAATTCCATGTCCTGAAGGAGCAGTGAAGTATAAACCCGGCACCCTGTTATCAGGCATCTGAAATCTGTTCACTTGTGATTCTGCATTTAGGTAGTCCACAGATTTACTATCAATGTAGTTGATGACGAGCTGCCAGCAATTACTATTATCTACTGCATCTCCAAATCCTATTTGGTATCAACTATTGTGAGCAGCAACTTAACACTACCTTCCTTGATTAAAACTTTGGATTGTTCCTCCTGTACAGTCTTTTTAGTAATAATTCTATGAGAAAGACTTGGATATTCTGGAGAATGCAAATCTATGAGGAATCATGAGTTGATTAATGTTGTCTTTCCTGGATTTCCCACCACCGTAAGTGTGAATTCAAACGTTCTCTTCACTGATTCTCTGGATACTTGATTTGGGAGATTGGCAAATCCCACACATTTCCATCATTCCAGTCGTCCAGATTCCAACAGAAGAAATCCACAGAAGAACCACGGTGCTGCTGTTGACGCTCCTCTCCTAATCAGCAGTGGATCTCGCACTCCAGGTCATTCTTTTCAAAACACTGATGTAATCCTATTACTCCCCTGCCTCAAAACCTTCAGCAGTTTCCCATTCCTGCCCTGCAAGTAATTCCTCCAGTTTGGTCGCAGCCTACTTTTCAGGCCTCATTGCTTGCCACTCTCCTCTACAGACACGTGCGTCAGCCAGTGCCAGCTAATTAGTGGCTCTAGACTGCTTTGTGTTTTCTTCCTCTTCTTTTTCCCCTCATCTAAAATATACTTCTACCTCCAAATCCTGTTTTTCCTTCGTGACTATCTCAGTCCCTTTTCTGTCACACAACCTTTTTTGACCCCTGTAGTCTGCATTTATCTTTTCTTCCTTTGAACTTGTAGCATTTATTAACCCTGGCACACATCTGGCTATTGATCCTATACTATGTGTTCTTTTTTTAGTGTTGTTTAGTTTTTCATATCAGTATCTATTGTTATTTCAACCAGATTAGAAACTCTGAGGGACAGGACACCCTTTTTCCTATTTTCCACAATGCTTGGCATCCAGTAGGTGTGTAATAAATACAGTTATTTATACATTAAATAATCCAGTGCTTACATTTATTATGTCATAGCTACCATTTCAGTTAATCTTTACAATAACTTTGAGGGAATGAGTATTTTCTCTCCTTGACAAATGAGGAAACTGAGGCTCAGAAAAGTTCGGTAACTTGCTGAAACCACACAGGTTAAGTGATGAAGTCAGGATTCAGACCCACATCTTTGGACTCAGTAACACTTGCTGTTTAACCATACTGGTAATTCTGCCTCCTTATGAGACTGGTGTATGTTTTCTGAGGATGGGAAATTACCTAACACTTAGCTTACTATTATTTGCTTGATAATGGCAGAAGAAAAGGTGTGCAAACCTGGATTCGTAGTGATTCCTAGCAGGAATAATGAAACAGATTCAAACTGTGCCAAAGTTCACAGGAAAATAGAATTTCCCTTAATCTCGTTGATTACTGGTGGAATGACTCATCTTCCAGTTGTACGTTGCTCTTGAGTTACTCAGATATTTGTATAAGTTAGACAGCGGAGGGAAAACCACTGATGAGATGTACAAGACACGTCATTTGAGCTGATGAATGTTCCTGGGATATCCCCAAGATTTCTACCTGAGTATTCCTGCCTGTCCTATTTACTGTTGGACTCTTTCACCTTTTGGTTTTCTTTCAGAGTAAAATCACTTCCCATTTCCTTTCTGCTTTCCACTTGGATAACTTTCACAGGCTACTCTGTTACTACTGCAGTGCACAAAGATTTACTGTCTACATATTTAACATTAGTCAGATTTACTGTTGAATTTATGCACTAGAAATTTCAGGAATTTAAATTTTTCCTTTTTCATTCTCTTCTCTGCTTCCGATTTTTTTCACTAAAAGAGGACAAAAATTGCCCAAACTATTTTCTTTTTTTAAAAAATTAGCAATAGAATTGAGTATAGATGGTAGTAAATTCTGCTTCATTTCTGTGGGAACATTGAAAACTTGATGGCTTCTGCAAGTGACTGATAAATTGTTTCTGCTTTATAAAGAAAGGAAACAGCTCATTCAACTCAATGAAGTCATTAGTAAACTGGGAATTAGAAATAAAGATTCTGTATTTTTTTGTTGTCATTAATTTGGTCTTTCTGTC
The DNA here is from genome assembly GCF_000001405.40 of Homo sapiens. Lineage (NCBI taxonomy): Eukaryota > Metazoa > Chordata > Mammalia > Primates > Hominidae > Homo > Homo sapiens. Next base: position 35,160,749 of record NC_000014.9, read on the forward strand.
TGCATCTGTTTTCTCACAAGTTTGTTTTGAGGATAGATCAGAAGACATATGCACATTGTAAAGCATAAAGTAATCCTTAAGGATGCACTACAGGCAATCCTCAGCCAAAAAACATGATTTATGAACCATGCATACATGCATACTACAAAGGGATCGATCTTACCTCAGTCTAGTGCCCTTTGAAGGCGACAAGCTAAATGGTCTTTTTGGCCCCTGAATCAGAATACCTGGAAACAACTGAAATGTAGACATATTTTTCTTATACATGTGGAAGCAGTTAGGTTATGGGTCCTTTCAGGGATTCATCTACTCTACTGCCATGTGAAGACCGGAGCCCATTTCTCAGTCAGGAACAGGAAGCAGGCAAAGTTACTTTCCTGGTATCCAGTGTTAAAACCCAAAGAGTTATAAATGTTGACAAACTATTGGTAAAACTTGTGGTATTATTATTTACCTAAAGCACATACAGGGGCTTTTATAGTATAGACTTTTTACAGTCAAATCATTTAATTTTCTTGAGTCCTTACAATAGCCCTTCGAAGTATGTGTTAATAACCCCACTTTATTCCTGAGGAACGTAAGGCCCAGAGAAGTGAAGCGATTTGATCGGTGAAGGGGCTTAAATTTTCTACACATTTCCTTCCAAGGACGAAGGGAAGTTAGACACTGTGTTGGCACTTTAGAGCAGATTCTGGGTTAGGTGTGAAGCAGAGGGGATTTCCAGGGTGTGTAAGCATGGACAAACTCCTTGAATGAAAGCAGAATTTTTTCTTTTTTTAAAGTAGTTAACAGCATTTTGGGGTTTGCAGGACTCAGGCTGTGTTACTGCCTTTTTTATTTTTTGGCCTGATTTGTTTCTTTCTAATTTGGGAGCAAGATTTTATAATTAAAAATATATTGCCTTTTGCCCTTTCTTTGAGCTATTCTCCATAAATCTGTAAGAATATGATATGAAAAGGAAGAAGAGTGGGATTAAAAATAATATAGCTGATTCTGTCTAGAAATTTAATTTCTAAACTATCTTTACCTGAGTTAGATCTATTTCTCCAAAGATCAGTCAAGATTTAAGAAATAACTTTAAACTTGTAAGTAAATTCTTTTCTATCTGGAATTTACAGGATAATGTATTAATACTTGGAAATGATACCTAACTGCTAGGGAGCATGCATCTTTAGCTCATGATTCTAGATGATTGAGAATTTTTTAGGGAAACTTTTTCAGTCCTTCATCTAGTTGATAGTGGGCTATCATTTTATATTTCTAGATTGAAAAATAGGTTATCTTCTTTCTCCTTCCTCTCTCTCCTCTTCCCCTTCTCTTTTTTCTTCTTTCTAGCTGTATGGAATGACCATAATTTAATTATTCATTGAGTCTCCTATTAACGAGTATTTAACTTGTTTCAAATCTTTCACTATTACAAAAGTGTCACAGTGAATCATCTTACACATTTGTAATTTCTCACATATTCCAAGATAGATATAAGATAGATTCCCACAAATTGAATTGCTAGCACAATGGAGACATATTAATTTTGATTGGCCTTCATGGAAATTTTAACAGTATATACTGTGATCAGCAAAATATGAGAATTCTTTCTCCGCACCTTGAAGATTCAGTGTGTTATCAAACATTTTGATCTTTGCCTATATGAAGTAAAAAAATAAAATTGCAGTATAGGATTAATTTACAATTTTCTTGGAGTGTGGTGGAGCATATTTTCATAGGTTTAAGAGGCACTTATATTTATTTTCTGCAAACTGCTCCTGTCTTGTCTGTTTTTTGAGTTATTGACTGTTTTCATATTAATTTTAGGAGCTCTTTATTTGAAAAATCATCTGTGATTTAAATTACAATTTTTGAGGCTTATTTTTTTTCTCTATGTATACTTTAAAATATTCGAATTTGTCAGACTTTCCTTTTATGGCTCCTGGGTTTCATATTTAGAAAGATTTTTTCTGTTGCAAGGTTATTGAAAAGCCAACAAACACAAAAAACTTCCTTTTGCTCCCTTCACTTTTGTTGTTTTTCTCTAAATTTTTCATCCATTTGGAATTTTTTTCTGATGTGAGGTATAGTTCCAACTTAATTTCCTCCCCAGCTAATTAGCCAATTGTGTCAACATCATTTAACAACCCATATTTTACCCCACTAGGGATAAAGCGGGATGTTACTTTTAGCATATACCAAATTCTTCATATAAATATTTAGGTCTCTTTTTGGACTTTCTGTTCTGATTCACTAATCTGCATTCCTAACAGTATGACACTATTTTGATTATTGTAGTTTTATGATATATCTAATATCTATTAGAGCTAATTTTTATAACTTGGGTTCTGGCACTTTCTTTAATAAACTTACCAGAGGTAAATATTATAGGCCTCTGATAAAATGTATTAATAATGCTCCCTGGGGCAAAATCATGTTTTATATATGTGACAGAGTCCTATTACCCGTGGCTTTTAAGCGTTTTTTAACACAACACAGATACAATATACATTTTATGTAATAATACATTTATAAATGAAAAAAAATGTATACATAAAAAAATTATGTACTCTTGCTGTATTTGTTGCACTCTATTTTAGTTCTGTTTATTTCTCCCTGAAATGCTGGTTGCAACTGTATTAAATTGATCTCATGACCTAGTAAGGTGTTGTGACCTGCAGTTAAAAAAACACCTTATTATTTGATGTTGTAATCATAGCCATTCTAACTGGTTTGAGATGGCATCTTATTGTGCTTTTAATCTGCATTTCTCTGATGATTAGTGATATTGAGCATTTTTTCATATGTTTATTAGCCACTTGTATGCCTTCTTTTGAGAAGTGTCTGTTCATGTCTTTTGCCTGTTTTTTAATGGGGTTATTTGTTTTTTGCTTGTTGAATTAAGTTCCTTGTAGATTCTGGATATTAGACCATTGTTGGATGCAGTTTGTAAATATTTTCTCCTATTCCGTAAGTTGTCTGTTTACTTTAATAGTTTCTTTTGCTATACAGAGGCTCTTTAGTTTAATTAGTTAATTAATTAGGTCCCACTTGTCAATTTTTGTTTTTGTTGCAATTGCTCTTGGGGACTTAACCAAAAATTCTTTGCCAAGGCTGATGTCAAGAAGGGTATTTCCTAGGTTTTCTTCTAGGATTTTTATAGTTTGAGGGTATACATTTAAATCTTTAATCCATCTTGAGTTAATTTTGATATGTGGTGAAAGGTAAGGGTCCAGTTTCATTTTGCTACATATAACTAGCCAGTTATCTGAGCACCATTTATTGAATAGGAATTCCTTTCCCCATTGCTTGTTTTTGTTGGCCTTGTCGAAAATCAGTTGTATGTGAGTGTGCAGCTTTATTTCTGAGTTTTCCATTCTGTTCCATTGGTCTCTATATCTGTTTTTGTACCAGTATGAGGCTGCAGAGAAAAGGGAATGCTTATACACTGTTGATGGGATGTAAATTAGTTCAGCCACTGTGGAAAGCAGCTTGGAGATTTCTCAAATAACTTAAAACAGAGCAACCATTTAACTCAGGAATCCACTGCTGGGTGTATACCCAAAGGGAAATGGATCATTATACCAAAAAGACACATCCACTCATATGTGCATTGCTGCGCTACTCACAATAGCAAAGACGTGGAATCAACCTAGTGCCAATCAGTGGTGGACTGGATAAAGAAAATGTGGTACTATACACCATGGAATGCTATGCAACCATAAAAAAGAACAAAGTCATGTCCTTCACAGCAACATGGATGGAGCCGGACGCCATAATCCTAAGCAAATTAATTCAGTAAGAGAAAAGCAGATACTGCAAGTTCTTACTTATAAATGGGAGCTAAACATTGAGCATACATGGACATAAACATGGGAACAACAGACACTGCAGACTGCTAGAGGGGGTGGGGTATGGGTTGAAAAGCTACCTACTGGGTACTGTGTTCACTACCTGGGTACAGTATACCCATGTAACGAACCTCTACATGGATCTGCTGTATCTGAAATAAAAGTTGAAATACTGAAATAAATAAAAATAAGGAAAAAAGAAAAATCCTTCATTAGACATATCCAGGTGAAATTCCATTAGTCCTTATTAGTCTCTTTTGGGGAGGGAGTAGGGGAGTGGGAGTGATGTATCTCCTTAAATAAAATAGGGAGACCACATCAAAGAAAGTAGGATTTCCCAGCCAAAAAAAACTCATGAAGGACGTTTGCAAAGTTTCTCTCCCATTGTTTGCAGGTACCTTGCAGGGAAGGGCAGCAGTCTTGATTGGCACGCCTTGCTTAAGAATACAGGCCACACTATTAAAATGTACCGTATAGGAAGAAGGAAATAACTATTATAGTGCATGTGCCAAGAGGTTTAGGCCCCGTGTGTAAACTACTCCATGATCCTTAAACATAGTTGTTTTGATGTCTTCTGGCTTTTGGGATTTCTAGCTTGAATTTCTTAGTTTTGAGATGGGGTCTTACTACGTTGCCCAGGCTGACCTGGAACTCCTGGGCTCTGGCAATCTTCCTGCCTCAGCCTCCTGAGTAGCTGGGGTCCAGCTTGATTTCTGTTGCTCTGAGGGATAGTACAAGAGAATGAACTTCTGGGTTTTGAACCCCAAGTTCACCATTTACTAGTTAGGTGATCTGCTTAACTTTTCTATGCTTTATTCTCCTAATCTGTTAAGTGGGAAAAATGATAATATCTACCTCATACCATTGTTACAGCAATAAGAAAGTATATGTAAAGCACTTAGAATTTTTGTTTCTTAATAGCATTGTGATCTACATGGCACATGGAAAGCACTATGTAAGTTTATGATATTATTTATTTGACTTGGAAGTGTGTAGGATTTTTTTCTTTAATCTCACAATTAAACATTTTGTGAGGAGACGATTAGGTGATTTTTTTCATTTTTCCCAGAGTCTCATGTCATGTGCCCTTTAAAATGTAAGGTTTTTTTTTTGGAGACAGAGTCTTGCTCTGTTGCCCAGGCTGGAGTGCAGTGGCATGATCTTGGTTCACTGCAACCTTCGCCTCCTGGGTTTAAGCAATTCTCCTGCCTCAGCCTCCTGAATAGTTGGGATTACAGGCACCTGCCACTACGCCCAGCTAATTTTTGTATTTTTTGTAGAGACAAGGTTTCACCATGTTGGCCAGGCTGGTCTTGAACTCCTGGCCTCAATGGATCTACCCACCTCAGCCTCCCAAAGTGCTGGGATTACAGGCATGAGCCAGTGTACCTGGCCAAAAAGTAGGTATTTTTTAATCTCGGGGAAGTTATATTTTTTTTAAAAAAAAGATTCTTCTTCTTTTTGTTTTGATTTATTCCTTGAGAACACCCTTCTGAGGCTTAAAAGTTGGATCTCTGTTCTCTGTCCCTTATATCCATAATGTTCTTTTTCTTAACATTCTTTTTCTTCTTTTCTTCTGCACTGAAGTAGAATTTCTCAAAATTTGTGCTGCATTTCATGAAATACATGTTCTAGTATATTAGTTCTAATCTTTACTGCTTTCAAAGCATATTTAAATTCTGCTGTTGCATTTTTTTTCATTTCTATTTTATTTTTGGATCTCTTTGCATCTCTTGCTATTCTCTCCTTAAAGCTTATTGCTCTTTCTTCATAGATGCAACCGAATTTGTCCTCTTCTTTGAGGGATCCAGGCAGAGGTCTTCTAAATTGTATTTGAGTTTCAGAACATGCTTTTATCTGAATCTTTTTTTTTTTTTTTTTTTTGAGATGGAGTCTCGCTCTGTCGCCAGGCTGGAGTGCAGTGGTGTAATCTAGGCTCACTGCAACCTCTGCCTCCTGGATTCAAGCGATTCTCCTGCCTCAGCCTCCCAAGTAGCTGGGACTACAGGCGCGTGCCACCACGCCCAGCTAATTTTTTTGGTATTTTTAGTAGAGACAGGGTTTCACCATGTTGAGCAGGATGGTCTTGATCTCTTGACCTTGTGATCTGCCCTCCTCGGCCTCCCAAAGTGCTGGGATTACAGGTGTGAGCCACTGTGCCTGGCCTATCTGAATCTTTAAGGCAAAGCTCCTAACGTATCTTTCATTGGCCTGTGATAGACTTTTTCACCCTATTGAATTATCCTTGAGAGAAGAGATCCATTAATGCTCAGCATATGCCATTAGGTAGATGGGCAGAGTGTACTTACCCCTTCATTGTCCCTTCGGATGCTGGCAGTTTCCACCTTTTGGATCTAGACTCATCAGGATATTACTCCAGTTTATCTGGTAAGCTGCATGAAGATGGGGCATTTTTCCTCTCTGGCTTCTCAAGTCAGATGCCATTTATAATTCTTCTCTGAACAGCTTATGAAAGATTATTCCTTGGTGTCATGTGCTTGTCTTATCTTACTTTCAGTCCCGTTACCTGCTTATACCACTTCTCTTTAGATGATAAAGTGTTCAAAGATGCTGTATTTGCCTAACTCTCCTGCCTTGAAGGTTAATTATTTTATTAGGATAGAAGAAAACAGCTAACGGACCACCTGGATTGAGTGGTAAAGTAAACTTGCTTGAGAGATGTTTGACATGCGGTAAGGAGACCATCACTGTTTTTTCTGTTTATTGCAGCCTTTTTTCTTAAAATTGAGTTAAAGTATTTTTTCTGCTTTACTTTGAGTCACCTCTACTCTTTTTTGTCTCCAAAGCTGGAGAAATGCGATAAGATAGTTTGTCTCAATAAATTACCATTGATTACTATTGGTCATTTGGTTAGGAGAACTCTCCCAAACATCTCTTCTCTTTAGTTTACAGTACTGTTGCCAGTTTAAAATTTCTCTAGCCTCCATGTTAGTTGTTAGCTTACAATGATACTTTTTAGCCACGTGGCTTCATTTTCCCCTAGCTACATTAAGGCAGTCATGTTAATGTTCTTATTTAGGATCTATTTGGCTTCCATGGTTTAAAGAATGCACAGGAAGTAATTAGATACAGAGATGGATTTTTTATTTTTGTTCGCATGTTAAGAGCACTGCTTCCAACCAAAAGAGCTGGTATTCCCCTGTTTTTCCACATCTGCTATGACTAAAGCCAGTTGCTTTAATACCGAATTCACAAAGACCTTTCTCACTTAATGTCCTACTCTAGCAAATAAGAAGAAATAAGTGGAAAACAATAATGCATACTCAAAACTTTGCATAAAAAGTAGTGATCGTCACATGTTAACTATATCCATGTGCTGCAGACACCAGATAATATTTTCTAAGGATTAGAAGAAAAGGAGTATTAAAGCAACTGGCTTTAACACATTTTTCCCCCATTCATTCATTAGTTAATAGACACTTGAATTGTTTTCGGTTTTTGGCAATTAGGAATAAAGCCACTGTTAACATTCACATATAAGTCTTTGTGTGGGTGTGTATTTTCTTACTTCTTCTGTGAATACTCATAAATGGGACTGCTCAGTTATATGATAAATATATGTTTAACTTTGTAAGAAACTGCTGAATTATTTTCCAAAGTGGTTGTACCATCCCGCATTCCCATCAGCAATGTTTGGAAATTCCAGTTGCTCCACATACTTGTTATGGGTCAGTCTTTTTAATTTCGGCCATTCTAGTGGGTGTATAATGATTTCTTGCTATGGTTTTAAATTTGCGTTTTCCTAAAGACTAATGATGTTGAGTATTTTATAATAGTTATTGGACCAAAGGGAGTTCTTCATCTTTGTAACATTGATATAATAAGATTATTTAATTGCTAGTTGATACTCAGGTTTTGTCACTTGTCCCAATAATGTCCATAACAAGCTTTTCCTTCCTCTAGATCCAAACTATGACCACACATTGGGTTTAGTTGTCATGTTTCTTTGGTTTCTTTTAATCTCAGTTTTCTTTGTCTTTCTTAGACCTCAACTTAAAAAAAAATAATAAAAAAGCATAGGCCTATTATTTTGTAACATGTCTGTCAATTTGGGTTTATCTGATATTTCCTTATGATAAGATTCAGGTTGGTATTTTTGGCAAGAATGTTACAGAAATTATCTTATAACCTTTTCAAGGGCATTGTATCAAGGACCCCCGTATGTGACTATTAGTGATGACTTTGTATGTTGCCCAAGAAATTTATGCCTATTCTAATGTTGCTAATAATTTTCCTGTTTTCTTCTAGAATTTTCATAGTTTCGGCTTTTAAGTTTATGAACTATTTAGAAATATTTTGTGTGTGTGATGTGAAATAGGGATTGAGGTTCATTCATTTTTTTTTCAACTTTTTGCCTTATTAGCTTTTCCTATTTCTTTGATTTCTGCTTATTATTATTCTACTTTCTTTGAAATTTAATTTGCTCTTCTTTTTCTACCTTTTTAAGTTGAAAACTTAGGTCAATGTTTTATGACCTTTCTTTCTTTTTTTTTTATATAAGTATTTAAAGCTATGTATTTCCTGCTAAGTACTAGTATACTGCATCCCATGAATTTTGATATGTAATTTTTATTATCACTTAGTTCAAAATATTTCCTAATTCCCTTTGTAATTTTTTTGACCCTTGGGTTATTGAGAACTGTATTTAGGAATACTTGGGGCTTTTATAGATATTTTACTGCTAGTGGTTTTTTGTTTAAGTGTGTGTCTGTGTGTATATGTGTGTGTATGTGTGTATCAGCAACTATAAAGATCTCAGTATTTTGAAATGTATTGAAACTTATTTTATGGTTAGTCTATTCTCACACTGCTATAAAGAACTGCCTGAGCGTGGGTAAATTTACAAAGAAAAGAGGTTTAATTGACTCAAGGTTCTGCATGGCTGGGGAGGCCTTAGGAAACTTACAATGATGGCAGAAGGGGAAGCAGGCATGTCTTACACGGCAGCAGGCAAGAGAGTATGTGAGAGCACAGGAAAAACTACCGTTTATAAAACCTTCAGATCTGGTGAGAATTCACTCACTATCACGAGAACAGCATGGAAGAAACCACCCCCATAATCTAAACACTTTTTACCAGGTCTTCCCTTCAACACCTGGGGATTACAATTCAAGGTGAGATTTGGGTGGGGACACAAAGCCAAACCATATCAATGGCCTACTTGTGGTCTGTCTTAGTAGATGTTCCATGTGCACTTGAAAAGGAATACGTAGTCTGCTATTGTTGGGCATAGTGTCCTACAGATATAGATTTGTCTTCGAAGTCCTCACTGATTTTTATCTACTTGTTCAATCAATTATGCAGAGAAGAGTGTTGAAATCTCCATCTGTAATTGTAGAGTTACCTGTTCCTCCTTTGTTCTGTCAGCTTTTCCTTTATCCACATCTTGAAGCTCTATTGTTATTTATGATATGACTTTGATGTATTGATCCTGTCATCATTATGAAATGTCCCTTCTTTTTGTAGTATTCCTTTTCTTCAAGTCTATTTTGTCTAACATTAGTGTCACCATTCCAAGTTTCTTAAGCTTATTGATGCATGATACATATTTTTCCCTACTTTTCACTTTCCCCTTATTCTGTATTAAAGATAAGTACATCTATTATAGATAGCATTTTTTATAAGGTTGGATTTAAGCATTTTATTTTGCTATTTGTCTTCTATTTATCCCATCTGCTTTTTGTTCTTCTGTTTCTCCTTTGATGTCTCCTTTTGGGTTAATTGAATTTCTTTTAATTTGTCATATAATTCATCTATTGGCTTTTATCTATACCTTTTTGCTTTTTTTTAAACTTTTAAAAAATTTTATCAACTCTGGCCTACAGATCTACATTATTTTTTAAATGTATGATTTGGGCTTTACAATCTGAATCCTTAACTTAATTCAGTTTACTTACAGTTTATATTGAACGATTTCACATGAAATATAAGAACATTATAGCAATAGAATTCCATTTACCACTTCCTGGTCTTTGTGCTATTGTTTTATTGTAGCTTAAAACATATATTACATGTGTTTTAAGCCCCATAATATAGTGCTATGATAATTTTTGCTTTAAGTAGTCACATGTCTTTTAAAGAAATTGAAAGAATAAAAAGTATATTCTTTTTTATAAATATCCACATCTTTACCATTTTATTTTTGGTGTTTTTTCATTTCTTCCAAGTCTAGGTTTTCATCTGATATTATTTCCCTTCAGCCTGAAGAAATTGCTTTAGCATTTCTTTCTTTCTTTTCTTTTTCTTTTTTCTTTTTTTTTTGTGACGGAGTTTCACTCTTGTTGCCCAGGCTGGAGTGTAATGGCGCAATCTCGGCTCACCGCAACCTCTGCCTCCCCGGTTCAAGCAATTCTTCTGCCTCAGACTCCCGAGTAGCTGGGATTACAGGCGTGTGCCACCACACCCAGCTAATTTTGTATTTTTAGTAGAGATGGGGTTTCTCCATGTTGGTCAGGCTGGTCTTGAACTCCCGACCTCAGGTGATCCACCCACCTCGGCCTCCCAAAGTGCTGGGATTACAAGCATGAGCCACTGCACCTAGCCTTCTTTCTTTTTTGTAGAGACAGTATCTTGCTGTGTTGCCCAGGCTGGTCTTGAATTCCTGACCTCAAGTGATCCTCCTACCTGGGCCTCTCAAAATGCTGGGATTACAGGCATGAGCCATGGCACTGGCCAGCTTTAGCATTCCTTATGTTGCAGGCTTGCTGGTGATGAATTATCTGTTTTCATTTACCTGAATATATCTTTATTTCACCTTAATTGTTTTTGGCAATTTTTGAAGGATATTTTTACTAGATATAGAATTGTGGATTGAAAGCAGTTTTTTGTTGTTGTTATTTTATTTGTTGTCTGTTATCCTTTTAAAGATGTTCTCTGGCCCCATTGTGTCTGATGAGAATTAAACTGTCATTTGTATCATTATTCCTTTTTATGTTATGTATCCTTTTTTTCTGACTGCTTTTAAGATTTTTCTATTTTTGATTTTCATCAGTTTTACTATGATGTGCCTAGTTATAGTTTTACTTATGGTTTTCTTTGTGTTTATTCTGCTTTGAGTTTGCTCTGCTTCTTGGGTAAGTTATGTATTTCATCAAATTTGGGGATGTTTTGGCTATTCAAATACTTTTTATTACTCTATCCTTTCTATCCTCTCCTTCTAGACTGTAATTACACATGTTAATCTGTTTGATATTGTACCACAGGTTACTGAGACCCAATTCATCTTTTTGCTTTCATTAAATTGTATAATTTTTTGTTGCTCTGTCTTTCATGTTCACTGACTCTTTCTTCTGCCATCTCCAATCTGCTGTTAAATCCACCCTAGGAATATTTTATTTCACATTTGTGCTTTTTGGTTCTGTAATGTTCATTTTGTTAATTTTTCTAGTTTACAGTCTCTGTGGAGATTTTCTTTCTTTGCATTAATTATGACTATATTTACTTCTAATTTTTTTTTTTTTTGAGATGGAGTTTCACTCTGTTGCCCAAGCTGGAGTACAGTGGTATAATCTTGGCTCACTGCAACCTTCGCCTCCCAGGTTCAAGTGATTCTCCTGCCTCAGCCTCCCAAGTAGCTGGGATTACAGGTGCCCACCACCACATCCGGCTAATTTTTGTATTTTTAGTAGAGACGGGGTTTCACTTTATTGGCCAGGCTGGTGTCGAACTCCTGACCTCAGGTGAGGCACCTGCCTCAGGCTCCCAAAGTACTGGGATTACAGGCAGAATTCTTGATTATATTTGCAATAGTTACTTTATAGCTCTTGTCTGCTAACTCAGGCATCTACACTTTGGATTGGTTTCTTTCTTTCCTTCCTTCCTTCCTTCCTTCCTTCCTTCCTTCCTTCCTTCTTTCTTTCTTTCCCCTCTTTCCTTTCTTTCCCTTCCTCTCTCCCTCTCTCCCTCTCTCCCTCTCTCCCTCTCTCTCCTGTCCTCTCCTCTCCTCTTTCTTTCTTTCTTTCTTTTCTGAGAGTCTCGTTCTGTCACCAGGCTGGAGTGCAGTTGCATGATCTCAGCTCACTGCAACCTTCGCCTCCCGGGTTCAAGCGATTCTTCTGCCTCAGCCTCCTGAGTAGCTGAGACTACAGGTATGCACTACCATGCCCAGCTAATTTTTATTTTTAAGCTAATTTTTTTATTTTTAGTAGAGACAAGCTGTCACCATGTTGGCCAGGATGGTCTTGATCTCTTGACCTCGTGATCCACCTGCCTTGGCGTCCCAAAGTGCTGGGATTACAGGTGTGAGCCACTGCGCCCAGCCAGTTTCATTTTTTTTTTTTGGAGATAGAGTTTCTCTCTGTTGCCCAGGCTGGAGTGCAGTGGCGTGATCTTGGCTCACTGCAACCTTCACTTCCCAAGATCAAGCAATTCTCTTGCCTTAGCCTCCTGAGTAGCTGGGATTATAGGCATGCACCACCATGCCTGGATAATTTTTATATTTTTAGTAGAGATGAGGTTTCACCATGTTGGCCGGGCTGGTCTTGAACTCCTGACATCAAGTGATCCACCCACCTGAGCCTCCCAAATTGCTGGGATTACAGGCTTGAGCCACTGTGCCCAGCCCAGATTAGTTTATTTTGAATCCCTTTTTTCTTGACTGTGGATCACATTTCTGTATTTCTTTTCATGTTTATTAATTTTCAATTGTGTATCAGACATTGTGAATGACACATTGCAGAGGCTTTAGAGATTATCTATGTTTGTCTAGAAATTATTGATTTTTTGCTAATTTAGCAGGCTGTTAAACTTCTTTAGACTTAGACTCCAAACTGTCTCCCTTGCAGTGGGTAGCAGCTGAGATCTCTGCTTAGGTCTTTCAAGTCTTTCACCTGTTGCTTTTTTGCTGGGCTTCTTGGAATCTTCTCCAAGCATGTGCAGATCATGTTTTACCCAAGGATTTGAGGAGATTTATGTGCAAATTTTGTGGTTTTATCCTTTCTAGGATTCCCTGTCATTTTCCAGCCTCTGGTTGCCCCAAACTCTGTCTTCTGTTTCCTCAAACCAGTAAGTTCTGCAGCTTTCTGCTTGATTTCCAGCTGTTCCTGCTGGCCATACTGTCTGGAGATTGCCCTCTGACCAAGACAAATTTTACCTGGTATAATTCCCTTCTTTTCTTTCCTTTATTTTCCCAAATATAGTGGCTTTAAAAAAACGCAATCATTTATTACTATTATTATTGTTGTTCTCTCTCGTGGTTCTAGGGGTTGATGAGACTCAATTGATGCTTCTTGCTTGGGTCTCCTATTGTAATCAAATAGGGGCTGGGGGTCATCTTGAAATCCCCCTCAGTCTCATCGGTGTGGTGATTGATGCTAGCTGGCTGTTGGCTGGGACTCCGTTGGACTGTCAGATGGAACACTTACATATAACGTCTACTTGGGCATTCTCAGGATGGCTGGTTTCCAAGAGCAAGCATCCTGAGAGTGACAGCCAGATGAAAGCTGTATTATCTTTTATTTCCTAGCCTCAGAAATCACATAATGTCACTTCTGCCACATCCCACTCATTGAGGCAGTCACAAAGGAGAGCCCATATTCAAAGCATAGGGTATTAGACATCACCTTTTGAGAGGGGAGTGTCAACTAATTTTCAGACAGATTTTAAAACTACCAAACCTTCAAATGTCATGTCCCCTCCAGTTTCTGCCTGCTTTTGCTCATTCTTTGGTACTTTGAAATAGTTGGGTATTTATCTAGAATTTATATTATTATCTAGTAGTCCAGTACAAACTATTCCATCATTACCAGAGGTAGAACTCCCTCCCCTATTTTTTTCTCCATAGCATTCTCACATTTAATATTATTTACTTATTGACTTCGTTTATTTTCTGCATCCTCCCACTAAGCTCCATTAAGTTGGGGTTTTTTTGTTCTGTTTTGTTTTGTTTGTCCCTTTGGTAAACTGCTAGGCATGTAGTAGGTGCTCAGCAAATATTTGTTGAATTAATGATTGGCTGAATCTTTACCTCTCCAAAACAGCCATAGGTAAATAAAAGCCTCTTAATGACAAAAGAGGACCTATACGTTTTACAGCCTTGTTCTTTCAGCACGGTTGTACTGGTAGAGTGGCATACCTAAGGTTCACTCCTCCTTGGCCTACAGAACAGGACTTAGAGATTTTGACAGTTCATTCTTCTTTTTTTTTTCTTTTTTTTTTTTTTATTATACTTTAAGTTCTAGGGTACATGTGCACAATGTGCAGGTTTGTATACATGTGCCATGTTGGTGTGCTGCACCCGTTAACTCGTCATTTACGTTACGTATATCTCCTAGTGCTATCCCTCCCCCCTCCCCCCACCCCACGACAAGCCCTGATGTGTGATGTTCCCCTTCCTATGTCCAAGTGTTCTCATTGTTCAATTCGCACTTATGAATAAGAACACGCGGTGTTTGGTTTTCTGTCCTTGCAATAGTTTGCTCAGAATGATGGTTTCCAGCTTCATCCATGTCCTTACAAAGGACATGAACTCATCCTTTTTTATGGCTGCATAGGATTCCATGGTGTATATGTGCCACATTTTCTTAACCCAGTCTATCATTGATGGACATTTGGGTTGGTTCCAAGTCTTTGCTATTGTGAACAGTGCCGCAATAAACATACATGTGCATGTGTCTTTATAGCAGCATGATTTATAATCCTTTGGGTATATAACCAGTAATGGGATGGCTGGGTCAAATGGTATTTCTAGTTCTAGATCCCTGAGGAATCGCCACACTGTCTTCCACAATGGTTGAACTAGTTTACAGTCCCACCAACAGTGTAAAAGTGTTCTTACTTCTCCACATCCTCTCCAGCACCTGTTGTTTCCTGACTTTTTAATGATCGCCATTCTAACTGGTGTGAGATGGTATCTCATTGTGGTTTTGATTTGCATTTCTCTGATGGCCAGTGATGATGAGCATTTTTTCATGTGTCTGTTGGCTGAATAAATGTCTTCTTTTGAGAAGTGTCTGTTCATGTCCTTTGCCCACTTTTTGATGGGGTTGTTTTTTTTCTTGTAAATTTGTTAGAGTTCTTTGTAGATTCTGGATATTAGCCCTTTGTCAGATGAGTAGATAGCAAAAATTTTCTCCCATTCTGTAGGTTGCCTGTTCACTCTGATGGTAGGTTCTTTTGCTGTGCAGAAGCTCTTGAGTTTAATTAGATCCCATTTGTCAATTTTGGCTTTTGTTGCCATTGCTTTTAGTGTTTTAGACATGAAGTCCTTGCCCATGCCTATGTCCTGAATGGTATTGCCTAGGTTTTCTTCTAGAGTTTTTATGGTTTTAGGTCTAACATTTAAGTCTTTAATCCAACTTGAATTAATTTTTGTATAAGGTGTAAGGAAGGGATCCAGTTTCAGCTTTCTACATATGGCTAGCCAGTTTTCCCAGCACCATTTATTAAATAGGGAATCCTTTCCCCATTGCTTGTTTTTGTCAGGTTTGTCAAAGATCAGATAGTTGTAGATAAGCGGCATTATTTCTGAGGGCTCTGTTCTGTTCCATTGGTCTATATCTCTGTTTTGGTACCAGTACCATGCTGTTTTGGTTACTATAACCTTGTAGTATAGTTTGCAGTCATGTAGCTTGATGCCTCCAGCTTTGTTCTTTTGGCTTAGGATTGTCTTGGCAATGCAGGCTCTTTTTTGGTTCCATATGAACTTTAAAGTAGTTTTTTCCAATTCTGTGAAGAAAGTCATTGGTAGCTTGATGGGGATGGCATTGAATCTATAAATTACCTTGGGCAGTATGGCCATTTTCACAATACTGATTCTTCCTATCCATGAGCATGGAATGTTCTTCCATTTGTTTGTGTCCTTTTTTATTTCGTTGAGCAGTGGTTTGTAGTTCTCCTGGAAGAGGTCCTTCACATCCCTTGTAAGTTGGATTCCTAGGTATTTTATTCTCTTAGTAGCAATTTTGAATGGGAGTTCACTCATGATTTGGCTCTCTGTTTGTCTGTTATTGGTGTGTAAGAATGCTTGTGATTTTTGTACATTGATTTTGTATCCTGAGACTTTGCTGAAGCTGCTTATCAGCTTAAGGAGATTTTGGGCTGAGACAATGGGGTTTTCTAAATATACGATCATGTCATCTGCAAACAGGGACAATTTGACTTCTTCTTTTCCTAATTGAATACCCTTTATTTCTTTCTCCTGCCTGATTGTCCTGGCCAGAACTTCCAACACTATGTTGAATAGAAGTGGTGAGAGAGGGCATCCCTGTCTTGTGCCGGTTTTCAAAGGGAATGCTTCCAGTTTTTGCCCATTCAGTATGACATTGGCTGTGGGTTTGTCATAAATAGCTCTTATTATTTTGAGATACGTCCCATCAATACCTAATTTATTGAGAGTTTTTAGCGTGAAGGGCTGTTGAATTTTGTCAAAGGCCTTTTCTGCATCTATTGAGATAATAGTGTGGTTTTTGTCTTTGGTTCTGTTTATATGCTGGATTACATTTATTGATTTGCGTATGTTGAACCAGCCTTGCATCCCAGGGATGAAGCCCACTTGATCGTGGTGGATAAGCTTTTTGATGTGCTGCTGGATTCAGTTTGCCAGTATTTTATTGAGGATTTTTCCATCGATGTTCATCTGGGATATTGGTCTAAAATTTCTCTTTTTTTGTTGTGTCTCTGCCAGACTTTGGTATCAGGATGATGTTGGCCTCATAAAATGAGTTAGGGAGGATTCCCTCTTTTTCTATTGATTGGAATAGTTTCAGAAGGAATGGTACCAGCTCCTCCTTGTACCTCTGGTAGAATTTGGCTGTGAATCCGTCTGGTCCTGGACTTTTTTTGGTTTGTAGGCTATTAATTATTGCCTCAATTTCAGATCCTGTTATTGGTCTATTCAGAGATTCAACTTCTTCCTGGTTTAGTCTTGGGAGGGTGTATGTGTCCAGGAATTTATCCATTTCTTCTAGATTTTCTAGTTTATTTGCGTAGAGGTGTTTATAGTATTCTCTGATGGTAGTTTGTATTTCTGTGGGATCGGTGGTGATATCCCCTTTATCATTTTTTATTGTGTCTATTTGAGTCTTCTCTCTTTTCTTCTTTATTAGTCTTTCTAGCAGTCTATCAATTTTGTTGATCTTTTCAAAAAACCAGCTCCTAGATTCATTGATTTTTTTGAAGGGTTTTTTGTGTCTCTGTCTCTTTCAGTTCTGCTCTGATCTTAGTTATTTCTTGCCTTCTGCTAGCTTTTGAATGTGTTTGCTCTTGCTTCTCTAGTTCTTTTAATTGTGATGTTAGGGTGTCGATTTTAGATCTTTCCTGCTTTCTCTTGTGGGCATTTAGTGCTATAAATTTCCCTCCACACACTGCTTTAAATGTGTCCCAGAGATTCTGGTATGTTTTGTCTTTGTTCTCATTGGTTTCAAAGAACATCTTTATTTCTGCCTTCATTTCATTATGTACCCAGTATTCATTCAGGAGCAGGTTGTTCAATTTCCATGTAGTTGAGCGGTTGAGTGAGTTTCTTAATCCTGAGTTCTAGTTTGATTGCACTGTGGTCTGAGAGACAGTTTGTTATAATTTCTGTTCTTTTACATTTGCTGAGGAGTGCTTTACTTCCAACTATGTGGTCAATTTTGGAATAAATGCGATGTGGTGCTGAGAAGAATGTAAATTCTGTTGATTTGGGGTGGAGAGTTCTGTAGATGTCTATTAGGTCCGCTTGATGCCGAGCTGAGTTCAATTCCTGGATATCCTTGTTAACTTCTGTCTCGTTGATCTGTGTAATGTTGACAGTGGAGTGTTAAAGTCTCCCATTATTATTGTGTGGGTGTCTAAGTCTCTTTGTAAGTCTCTGAGGACTTGCTTTATGAATCTGGGTGCTCCTGTATTGGGTGCATATATATTTAGGATAGTTAGCTCTTCTTGTTGAATTGATCCCTTTACCATTATGTAATGGCCTTCTTTGTCTCTTTTGATCTTTGTTGGTTTAATGTCTGTTTTATCAGAGACTAGGATTGCAACCTCTGCCTTTTTTTGTTTTCCATTTGCTTGGTAGATCTTCCTCCATCCTTTTATTTTGAGCCTATGTGTGTCTCTGCATGTGAGATGGGTCTCCTGAATACAGCAACACTGATGGATCTTGACTCTTTATCCAGTTTGCCAGACTGTGTCTTTTAATTGGAGCATTTAGCCCATTTACATTTAAGGTTAATATTATGTGTGAATTTGATCATGTCATTGTGATGTTAGCTGGTTATTTTGCTCATTAGTTGATGCAGTTTCTTCCTAGCATCGATGGTCTTTACGTTTTGGCATGTTTTTGCAGTGGCTGGTACCGGTTGTATCTTTCCACGTTTAGTGCTTCCTTCAGAAGCTCTTTTAGGTCAGGCCTGGTGGTGACAAAATCTCTCAGGATTTGCTTGTCTGTAAAGCATTTTATTTCTCCTCCACTTATGAAGCTTAGTTTGGCTGGATAGGAAATTCTGGGTTGAGAATTCTTTTCTTTAAGAATGTTGAATATTGGCCCCCACTCTCTTCTGGCTTGTAGAGTTTCTGCCTAGAGATCCGCTGTTAGTCTGATGGGCTTCCCTTTCTGGGGAACCTGACCTTTCTCTCTAGCTGCCCTTAACATTTTTTCCTTCATTTCAACTTTAGTGAATCTGACAATTATGTATCTTGGAGTTGCTCTTCTTGAGGAGTATCTTTGTGGCATTCTCTGTATTTCCTGAATTTGAATGGTGGCCTGCCTGCTAGGTTGGGGAAGTTCTCCTGGATAATATCCTGCAGTGTTTTCCAACTTGGTTCCATTCTCCCTGTCACTTTCAGGTACACCAATCAGACATAGATTTGGTCTTTTCATATAGTCCCATATTTCTTGGAGGCTTTGTTCATTTCTTTTTCCTCTTTTTTCTCTAAACTTCTCATCTTGCTTCATTTCATTCATTTCATCTTCCATCACTGATACCCTTTCTTCCAGTTGATCGAGTCGGTTACTGAAGCTTGTGCATTCGTCACGTAGTTCTCGTGCCATGGTTGTCAGCTCCATCAGGTCATTTAAGGACTTCTCTACACTGGTTATTCTAGTTAGCCATTCATCTAATCTTTTTTAAAGGTTTTTAGCTTCTTTGCAATGGGTTCGAACTTCCTTCTTCAGCTTAGAGAAGTTTGATCGTCTGAAGCCTTCTTCTCTCAACTCATCAAAGTCATCGCAAAGCTTTGTTCTGTTGCTGGCGAGGAGCTGCGTTCCTTTGGAGGGGGAGAGGTGCTCTGATTTTTAGAATTTTCAGCTTCTCTGCTCTGTTTTTTCCCCATCTTTATGGTTTTATCTACCTTTGGTCTTTGATGATGTTGACAGACAGATGGGGTTTTGGTGTGGAAGTCCTTTCTGTTTGTTAATTTTCCTTCTGACAGTCAGGACCCTCAGCTGCAGGTCTGCTGGAGTTTGCTGGAGGTCCACTCCAGACCCTGTTTGCCTGGGTATCAGCAGCGGAGGCTGCAGAACAGCGAATATTGCTGAACAGCAAATATTGCTGCCTGATCGTTCCTCTAGAAGCTTCGTCTCAGGGGTACCCGGCCGTGTGAGGTGTCAGTCTGCCCCTACTTGGGCTACTCGGGGGTCAGGGACCCACTTGAGGAGGCAGTCTGTCCATTCTCAGATCTCAAACTCCGTGCTGGGAGAACCACTGCTCTCTTCAAAGCTCAGTTGAAAGTGCAGAAATCACCCATCTTCCGCATCGCTCACGCTGGGAGCCGTGGACTGGAGCTGTTCCTATTCGGCCATCTTGGAACCGCCAGTTCATTCTTATCATAACTATCATGTGGGTTAATTTAGAAGTCTAGATAGGCCAGCTGCAGATCAAATGAAATTACATATGAAAGTGCTTTGTGCAGTATAAAGCACTATGAGATTATAGAGTGTATTGGATAATTGTATGCAGTTGCATCCATTAGACTGGCTTTTTCAGATTTCATTTGTAGAGTATCTGTGTGTGTGTGTGTGTGTGTGTGTATTTTTAAGGGATGAATATTTTGAATTATCAAAACAATAATAAAGGTCACTGCAGTGTGTTTATAATAAAGTCCTTACTGAGTTCTTATTAATGTTTTGTCTGACATTTCTTTATTAGGAACTTAAGAGATTTGAGAACTTCATAAAATCTCGTCCTCCTTTTGATGTTGTCATTGATGGTCTCAATGTTGCCAAAATGTTTCCTAAAGTTCGTGAATCTCAACTTGTAAGTATAAGTTTTACTTTGTTATTCCACATCTCTAGAAATATTTATTATACCCATTTATGACCTTCTTGGGGCTCTTAGCTCCTCAGTTTTTCTTCCTCTAAAACTAAGGTCTTCAGGGTGCCACAGTGACCAACTGCATGCTCCCCTAAGATTTACTATTTTCATCACTAATAAGTCGCTCTTCAAGGCTGGGAGAAAACAATTAAAAGTGAGGAATTAAAAGAAAGATTGCAATACAGGGCCAGATTTTCCCGTTTCGTGTAACCTTTAGCTAACCTTCTCCTGGGTCTCTGCTTTCTCTTTGGGGTCGCTCTGTCATTTCCCTTTGGGTCATATCCTTATATTTGAAAATTATCAATATACAATATCAAGAGATATTAATCACTCATTACTCACATTTGTTTTTTCCAAACATAGTATGTTCATAAATTAACCTAAGCAGTTTTTTTTTCTATATGGTAGCCATTTGTTAATTTATAAATGCCCTACTAGTTTCTAATAAGACTATCATTTTTCATAGCTGCAATTAACAGTTACTTTAATCTCTATTTTGTAGATTAAAAAATTGAGGCTAATTTTGTATAGTAAATCTATAGAAAACAGTCATAACATCAAAATTAGATTGTAGAGAGCTCCTGGGTTTCAGACTTGTGGCTCTTATCATTGGCAATCTATAGCCATTCATCTGTAATTAAACTATTTCTTAAAAATTGCTGCCGCTGGCTGGGCACAGTGGCTCATGCCTGTAATCCCCAGCACTTTGGGAGGCCAAGGTGGGTGGATCATCAGAGGTCAGGTGTTCAAGAGCAGCCTGGCTAACATGGTGAAACCCTGTCTCTACTAAAAATACAAAAATTAGTTGGGCATGGTGGCATGTACCTGTAATCCCAGCTACTCGGGAGGCTGAGGCAGGAGAATTGCTTGAACCTGGGAGGCGGAGGTTGCAGTGAGCCGAGGTCGTGCCATTGCACTCCAGCCTGGGCAACAAGAGCAAAACTGTCTCAAAAAAAAAAAAAAAAAAGTAATGATAAAAAGAGTAGTAAAATACATATATATTATTTTTATATTTGAAATTGAAGCATATGTAAAGTTGAGGAACCCTAATGGGAAGAATAGAAAAATTTGCTAGACAGTAAAAAACAAAACAAAACTGAACTAAAAAATATAAACACTGTTGAAAGACAACAAACTGCAAAATGTAGGCCAGGCATGGTGGGTCACACCTGTAATCCCAGCACTTTGGGAGGCTGAGGCGGGCAGATTGCCTGAGGTCAGGAGTTCGAGACCAGCCTGGCTAACATGGTGAAACCCCATCTCTACTAAAAATACAAAAAAATTAGCCGGGCATGATGGCGCACACCTGTAGTCCCAGCTACTTGGGAGGCTGAGGCAGGAGAATCACTTGAACCCGGAAGGCGGTGGTTTTAGTGAGCTGAGATCATGTCACTGCACTCCAGCCTCGGCAACAAAACAAGACTACATCTCAAAAAATAAAAAGTAAATAAAATGTTTACAATATGTGACAAAGAGCAAATTTCCTCACTGTATCAGGACTCATAAGCCTATAAGAAAAAGATGAACCGACTGGGCACGGTGGCTCACGCCTGTAATCCCAGCACTTTGGGAGGCCAAGGCGGGTGGATCACCTGAGGTCAGGAGTTGAAGACCAGCCTGGCCAACATGGTGAAACCCCATCTCTACTAAAAATGCAAAAATTAGCCGGGTGTGGTGGCAGGTGCCTGTAATCCCAGCTAGTTGGGAGGCTGAGTCAAGAGAATTGCTTGAACCCGGGAGGTGGAGGTTGCAGTGAGCTGAGATCTTGCCATTGCACTCCAGCCTGGGCGACAGAGTGAGACTCCTCGAAAACAAAAAAGAAAAAGATGACCCATGCAGTGGAATAGTGGTTTAATTTTACTTATATTTATAGATACACAGATTAAAATATTTATCTTCCAGATTGGTAAATCTTTAAAAGTTGGTAATATTCAGTGTTTAGAATAGTTTGAAGAGGTAGGAAGGATGATATCAGTGCGATATTTTTGGTGGATGATTTGTCTGTAACTTTCATTATCTAAAATACTGAAATTCTGCTTTTAGGAACTGACATAGTAACACTAGTACATAAAGAAATGTATTCAAATGTGTTCATTATTGCATTATTGGTGAGCAGAAAAATCTAAACAACCTAAATATCTATCAATCTTAAGCCCGATACATATTTAAATATTAATTTTTGTGAATAAGGTAAACCAATATGTGCTGCTGTGGAACAGTTGTCAGAATATAAGTGTAAGAAGCAAAATGAAAAACAACATGCTTAGAATTGCTCTATTTATATTAAAAACAAAGCAAAAAATTATCCATGTATAGATAAATGTTTGTTAGATAAGTTTGTGTGTGTATGCCCAAAAAATTTCTAGAAGTTTAACACATACATACATACACACACACACACACACGCACACACACACAATTTAACAGTGTAGTTACCTTTGGGAATTGGGGATAGAATACTGTATAAGAGAATTGAGAGGACTTCTGGTTTTTGTTCACGTTTTTTGAATTTTCTTTTACCATGAGTATATATTACTTAAAAATTTTAAAAATATCAGGAAAGGAAAAAAGTTAAAAAGCATTCTTGATAAATATTTTAAAATAATTTTGTAATACTCTGTGTCTTGTGGATGTACAATAATTTTTAAATCATTTACCTGTTGTTAGACAAATGAGGCTTTCCATTTTTCACTATAATAAGTAATACTTGGAAGACAGCCTCTGTGCATGTTTCATAGGATGTCTTTGGAATAGATTTTGAGAAACTGGACTCTTTAGTCAAAGGGTATATATATTTTTAAAGATCTCACTATATATTGCCAAATTGCTTTCCAAAATGATTGTAGTAATTTATACTACCACCAAAAGTGTATAATGGTGCCTAAATATAACACATTTCTTTAAGGTTACTTATTACATGATTGTTTCAGCCACTCACCTATGCCATGAGTCCGCTAAGTGAAAAGGGCTGGATGGTTTCTTCCCCATTTTTTAGGTCAAACAGATTTTTTTAAATTGTGGGACAAACTTTAATGAAATAGTTCCAGAAAGGGAATATTCTTCACTGTCTTTTCTGTCTTCCTTATCTTTCTCTTAATACAATTACCTATAAGTGTACATAAAGGAAAAATTAGGAATTCGAAGTTCTATAAGTTTTAAGTTTTTTCCATCTTTGAAGAGATTTCCAGACTTTTTGTCTGTGGAGTGATGTACATATTATTTATGCTCTTCCTATAAACTCTCTGCATTATACATTACACATTTTTCTCGGTCCTTTTACATTAATGGTTGATTATATATCTAGTATTCTCTGTAAGTTCATTAATGAGAAGATAACTTTTTTACATTCATTGTTTATGGAATAGCACCATTATCACATATCTTGATCTCAGAGCCTATAGCTTAAGGGTGATAGAGATTAAGGAACTAAAAAAAGAAAGTTCTAGTTGTAAATGTATTTTATTTTCTCAATTTTCAAATGAATCTTTTTTATATTTTAACTTTTCTGAAGTCTATGTTATAATTCATGTCAGTAGAAACTTGCCAGCCACCATGTAGAGATTTATTGGTGACTGTCATTGCCTGGGTGTGTACAGAATTAGCTATACATTGCCACCTCAGTTGAATTAGTTATATTCGTAGCTCCACACACTGTTACACTGTTTAATTTTAACCTAAATCTTTTTTAAAAAACTTTTATTTTAAGCTTGGGGGTACATGGGAAGGTTTGTTACATACATAAACATTTGTCAAGGGGGTTTGTTATACATATTATTTCATCACCCAGGTATTAAGCCCAGTACTCAATAGTTAATCTTTTCTGCTCCTCTGCCTTCTCCCACACTCCCCGCTCAAGTAGACCCCAGTGTCTGTTGTTTCTTTATTTGTGTTCATAAGCTTTTATAATTTAGTTCCCACTTATAAGTGAGAACATGTAGTATTTGGATGTCTGTTTCTGCATTAGTTTGCTAACGATAATAGCCTCCATCTCCATCCATGTTCCTACAAAAGACATGATCTCATTCTTTTTTTGGCTGCATAGTACTCCATGTTGTATATGTGCCACATTTTCTTTATCCAATCTGTCATTGATGGGCATTTAGGTTGATTCCATGTCTTTGCTATTGTTAATAGTACTGCAGTGAACATTCATTTGCATGTGTTTTTATGGTAGAATGATTTCTACTCATCTGGGTATATGCTCAGTAATGGGATTGCTGGGTTGAATGGTAGTTCTGCTTTTAGCACTTTGAGAAATTGCCATACTGCTTTCCACAATGGTTAAACTCATTTACACTCCCACCAACAGTGTATAAGTGTTCCCTTTTCTCTGCAACCTCACCAGCATGTATTATTTTTTGACTTTTCCATAATAGCCATTCTGACTGGTGTGAAATGGTATCTCACTGTGGTTTTGATTTGCATTTCTCTAATGATCAGTGATATTGAGCTTTTTTTCATATGCTTGTTGGCCACATGTTTGTCTTCTTTTGTGAAGTTTTTGTTCATGTCCTTTGCCCACTTTTTAATGGGATTGTTTTTCTCTTGTAAATTTGTAGTTTTAACCTAAATCTTAACTTTAAATATTTGCCAAAGGTTTCCTGACAATGTAATAAAAGACAGTGGAAGTTGCTTTTCTAAGACTAAGGTACAGAATTTTAAAGCAAGAAGAGGTTGTTATGACTGATTTTTGCATTTTGAAAAGTTGCCACTGAGCCTGCAAACTTCCACCTGCCAATACCTTCCCATAGACATTCAAGCAAAGTTGACTAACTTCCAGAATGGCATAATTCAAAGAAAGAAAAAGCAATAATCAGATGTGAAATACAGGTAAACTCCAGTATTTTTCAACCTTAGTGTCATGCTGTTGGTCCTAAAAGTGTTATAAAAGTGAAGATGAATAGCACAGGCTCTAAGGAGAGTGGTGTGTAATATGTCACCATGAGGATGTACAGAACTGTTATGGCCAAAAGTGATTTAGAACAGAACAGCCTTCAATTCAGATATGAAAGTGTATACTTACATGTTAATTGTGATTCCAAAACAAGATTATGGTATGAACTATATGGATTAATGTACAATTTTGTTGGTTACTGAAATAGTATACTTTTTTGTTTGTTTTTTTGCTTAAAAGTTATTTATTCCTAAACCAGTGTTTCATCTTACAGTTTCTGGAATGTTAATAATGAGGAAGTATGATTACAAGATGTGCTAAGTGGAACTGGGGACTATAAAGTCCCTGGGCTCAAGACACCCCCCAACCTCAGCCTTCTGAGTAGCTGGGACTACATACACATGCCACCAAGTCCAGCTAATTTTTTTTTTTTTTTTTTGTGGAGACGGGGTTTTGTCATGTTGCCCGGGCTGGTCTTGAACTCCTGGGCTTAAGTTGCCTGCTGTGGCCTCCCAAAGTGTTGGGATTACAGGTATAAACCACCATGCCGCCTAGATTTTGCTTTTGGCACAATTGGAGACTTGGCCAAGTCATGTCTCAATTCTTTAATGGTTGTATTTTTTTTTCTTTTTTATTGAGAAATATAATATTTATATAACATAATATTCACCCTTTTAAAGTGCACAATTCAGTGGTTTTTACTGTATTCACAAAGTTTTGCAATCATCACCACTATCCTATTCCAGGACATTTTCATTTTTCTTGAAGAAGCCTCATACCCATTAGCACTAACTCCCAGTTTCTTCCTCCCATTGGTCCCTGGCAACCACTAGTCTTCATTCTGTCTTTTCCTTTTTTCTTTCATTTTCTTTTTTTTTTTCTTTTGAGACAGGTACTTGTGTTGCCCAAGCTGGAGGGTAAGGGTGCAGTCATATCTCACTGCAGGCTTGACCTCCTGGGCTCAAGTGGTCCTCTGCCTCAGCCTTCCAAGTAGCTAGAACTGCAGGCACACACCACCAGGCCCAGCTAATTTTATTATTATTATTATTATTTTTCATAGAAACAGGGTCTCACTGTGTTGCTCAGGCTGGTCTTGAACTCCTGGCCTCAGGCAGTCCTCCCAAAGTGCTGGGATTACAGGACTGAGCCACCATGTCTGGCCTTCTTTCTATCTTTATGAATTTACCTATTCCAGACATTTCATATTTTCACTTAGCATAGTGTTTCAAAGTTCATCCATTTTGTAGCAGGAATCAGTATTTCATTCCCTTTTATTGCCAAATCGTGTTCCATTGTATGGATATGCCACATTTTATTTATTTGTTCTGTAGTTGATGGACCTTTGGGTTGTTACCACTTCTTGGCTATTATGAGTAATGCTACTATGAACATTTAGGCACAAGTTTTTGTGTGGACATATGTTTTCATTTCTTTTGGCTATATACCTAGGAGTAGAATTGGTGGGTCATATGATAACTCTGTGTTTAATCTTTTGAACTTCCCAACTGTTTTCCAAAGCATCTGCACCATTTTGCATTCTCATCAGCTGTGTATAAAGGTTCCAATGTCTCCACATCCTCACGAACACTTGTTATTTGTCTTTTTGATTATAGTCATCCTAGCAGGTGTGAAGTGGTATCTTTTTTTGTTTGTTTTGGTCATGTAAGAAATGCAGGACCTGGTATATTGTAGTTTCTTTGTTTTTTTTTTTTTTTTAGATGGAGTCTCACTGTCACCGAAGCTGGAGTGCAGTGGCATGATCTCAGCTCACTGCAACCTCTGCCTCCTGGGTTAAGCAATTCTCGTGGCTCAGACTCCTGAGTAGCTGGGACTGCAGGTGTGCACCACCATGCCTGGCTAATTTTTTTTTTTCGTATTTTTAGTAGAGACGGGTTTTCGCCATGTTGGCCAGGTTGGTCTCAAAGTCCTGACCTCAGGTGATCTGCCTGCCTTGGCCTTCCAAAGTGCTGGGATTACAGGCGTGAGCCACCGCACCTGGCCCAGTATCTTGTAGTTTTGATTTGCATTTGTTAATGATGCATGATGTTGAATATCCTTTAATATATTTAATGGCCATTTGTATATCTTCTTTGAAGAAATGTATATTTATTTTCTTTTCTTTTTTTTTTTATTTTTTGAGACAGAGTCTCGCTTTGTCGCCCAGGCTGGAGTGGTGCAGTGGTGCGATCTCGGTTCACTACAACCTCCACCTCCTGGGTGCAAGCGATTTTCCTGCCTCAGCCTCCTGAGTAGCTGGGATTACAGGCACGGCCACCACACCTGGCTAATTTTTGTGTTTTTATTAGAGACAGGGTTTCACCATGTTGTTCAGGCTGGTCTTGAACACCTGACCTCAGCCTCCCAAAGTGTGGGGCTTATGGGCATGAGCTACCGTGCCTGGCCAGAAATGTCTATTTCTTTGCCCATTTTTAATTGTTTTTTATTATTATTGTTGAGTTGTAATTTTTTTTTTTTTTTTTGAGACAGAGTCTCGCTCTGTTGCCCAGGCTGGAGTGCAGTGGCATGATCTCGGCTCACTACAACCTCCACCTCCCGGGTTCAAGCGATTCTCCTGCCTTAGCCTCCTGAGTAGCTGGGATTATGGGCGTGCACCACTATGGCTGGCTCTTTTTTGTATTTTTGGTAGAGATGGGGTTTCACCATGTTGGTCAGGCTGGTCTCGAACTCCTGACCTCGTGATCTGCCCGCCTCGGCCTCCCAAAGTGCTGGGATTACAGGTGTGAGCCATCACACCCAGCTAAGTTATAATTTTTAACTATATACCAAATACTAGATCTTTATCAGATATATAATCTCTAAGTATTTTCTCCCAGGCTTTGGATTCTCTTTTCGGTGTTTTGATGATATCCTTTGAGGCATGGAAGTTTTAGTTTTGATGAAGTCCAATTTATTTTTTCTTTTGTTGCCTGTGCTTTTGGTGTCTAATCTAAGAAATCATTGCCTAAGAGCCGGGCGCCGTGGCTCACGCCTGTAATCCCAGAACTTTGGGATGCCAAGACAGGCAGATCACGAGGTCAAGAGATCAAGACCATCCTGGCCAACATGGTGAAACTCTGTCTCTATTAAAAATACAAAAATTAGCTGGGTGTGGTGGTGGGTGCCTGTAGTACCAGCTACTCGGGAGGCGGAGGTTGCAGTAAGCTGAGATCGTACCACTGCACTCCAGCCTGGCGACAGAGCAAGACTCTGTCTAAAAAAAAAAAAAAAAAAAAAAAGTATTGCCTAATCCAAGGTCATGAAGATTAATGCCTATGTTTCTTCTAAGAGTTTTATAGTTTTAGTTCTTGCAGTTACAGAGTTTGCATTGTTAGGGAAATAGTTCAATCTTGAGTACCTGATAAACCAACATAATTTAGAATATAGTGAGATTAAAGGGGACTAACCTTCACCCTATTTATTTGTTTAACCTGTAAATCTAGGCAGACTAAGTCTTACTACTTTTCTTGTAGATGTTTTTCAACTGTAAATTGTATTTTGCTTAAAGTATTTTTGTTGTTGTTGTTTTTAGAGATGGGGCCTTGCCATGTTGTCCAGGCTAGTCTCAAACCCCTGGGCTCAAGTGATCCGCCTGCTTCAGCCTCCCAAAGTGTTGGGATTATGGGTGTGAGCCATGGTGCCCAGCCTGCATAAAGTAATATATTTCCCTGGTTTCAATTTTTCAGAAAAAGAAAAATTCTGAGCTTTTTTTTTTTTTTTTTAAAGAAGAGGGAAGGATTCTGAGTGACTAGCAGATTGATTATATAGCCTGCCTTTTAAGAAGAACAGTTACAGAAACTTGGCAGGGAATTATTAGGTTGATTCAATTACTGTTTCTTGAGCACCCATTCCAAGCCAGATACTGTTTTAAGCTGTGAGGATATGACCATAGATCAATAACAGGAATGCTAGCCACAAGGTTAGGCTAATGATTGTGTTATCTAAACAAGAAATGCATATTGTGTATTCTGTTGTCTATTAACAATGATTCTTGTGTTCGTGCATGACTCTTTTCATTAAAGATTTACTTGAATTGTCAGAATAGAAAATAGTATTTACCCAAAATACATGAGATAAAATTTTTTTAAAAAATAAGCATAGCAGGCTGGGCATAGTGTCTCATGCCTGTAATTCCAGCACTTTGGGAGGCTGTGGCGGGTGGATCAAGAGGTGAGAAGTTCAAGACCAGCCTGGCCAAGATGCTGAAACCCTGTCTCTACTAAAAATACAAAAATTAGCTGGGTGTGGTGGCACTTTCCTGTAATCTCAGCTACTCGGGAGGCTGAGGCAGGAGAATCGCTTGAACCCGGCAGCAGAGGTTGCAATGAGCTGAGATTGCGCCACTGCACTCCAGCCTGGGTGACAGAGTGAGACTCCGTCTTAAAAAAAAAGGCTGGGCGCAGTATCTCATGCCTGTAATCCCAGCACTTTGGGAGGCCGAGGTGAGTGGATCATCTGAGTTCAGGAGTTCAAGACCAGCCTGGCCAACATGGCGAAACCCTGTCTCTATTAAAAATACAAAATTAGCCGGGCGTGGTGGTGCATGCCTGTAATCCCAGCTACTCGGGAGGCTGAGGCAGGAGAATCGCTTGAATCCAGGAGGCAGAGGTTGCAGTGAGTCGAGATCGAGCCATTGCACTCCAGCCTGGGCAACAAGAGTGAAACTCTGTCTCAAAAAGGAAAAAAAAAAAAGTATTGCAAAATGGTCTAGTAACATTTAAATCTCCAGAGTATGTTGTAATTTTGAAGAAACTATGACTAAATTTATTTTATTATTTTTATTTATTTTTATTTTTTTGAGATGGAGTCTTGCTCTGTCACCCAGGCTGGAGTGCAGTGGCATGATCTTGGCTCATTGCAACCTCCGCCTCCGGAGTTCAAGCAATTCTCCTGCCTCAGCCGCCTGAGTAGCGGGGATTACAGGCACGTGCCACCACGTCTGGCTAATTTATGTATTTTTAGTAGAGGCGGGGTTTCACCATGTTGGCCAGGATGGTCTCAATCTCCTGACCTCCTGATCCGACTACTTGGCCTCCCTAAGTGCTGGGATTACAGGCATGAGCCACCGCACCCGGCTGACTGTATTTAAAAGTATTAGTTATGGACCCTTACATACTACTTGAGTCAACTTTTATATAGCACTTGAACCAACATCTCTTCATCATAATCTGTTGCAAGATATTTTAGATTTTCTTGGATTGGATTTCTTTTTTCTTTTTTAATTTAATAAACTTAATTTTCCTAGAGCAGTTTTAGGTTCATGGATTTCTTTTTATGAACAACCATTTCCCAACATGTTATTTGGACTCTTACAAATACTTCTGAACAAAGCCAGGCATGGTAGCATGCACCTGTTATATGATTTGGCTATGTCTCCACCCAAATCTCATCTTGAATTGTAGCTCCCATAATTCCCACATGTTGTAGGAGGAACTTGGTGGGAGATAATTGAATCCTGGGGGCAGTTTCCCTCATACTGTTCTTGTGGTAGTGAAGAAGTCTTACAAGATCTGATGGTTTTATAAGAGGTTTCCCCTTTCACTTCTCTCATTCTCTCTTGCCCACCGCCATGTAAGACGTGCCTTTTACCTTCTGCCATGATTGTGAGGCCTCCCAAGCCACGTGGAACTGTGAGTCCATTAAACCTCTTTTTCATTATAAATTACCCAGTTTTGGGTATGTCTTTATCAGTAGCATGAAAACAGACTAATACAACCTGTAATCCCAGCACTTCAGGAGGCTGAGGCGGGAGAATCACTTGAGCCCAGGAGTACGAGACCAGCCTAGGCAACATAGCGAGACCCCATCTCTACAGAAGATCAAAAACATTAGCTGGATGTGATGGCATGCACCTGTGGTTCCAGCTTCTCAGAAGGCTGAGGCAGGAGGATTGCTTGAGCCCAGGAATTCGAGGCTGCAGTGAGGTGTGATCATGCCACTGCACTCCAGCCTGGACAACAGTCTCAAAAACCAAAACCAAAACCAAACCAAAACAAACAAACAAACAAAAAGAAACAAAAACTGGGGTGGGTAATTGGCACTACTATCCACCAAATTGCTCAAACCAAAAACCAAGGATTCCAGCCAGCCACAATTACTCTTTCTCACTACTCCTATATCCAGTAGACTGACAAGTTTTCTTGGTTTTAACCCCAGTAGACTGACAAGTTTTCTTGGTTTTAACCCCAGTAGACTGACAAGTTTTCTTGGTTTTAACCCCCCAAAATATCCCATAGTCTAGTCACTTCTTTCCATTTCCATTAACATCATCTCTCACCAAAACTCCTAAGTGGTCTCCTTGCTTTTTTCATGCTTGCCTCAATAACTTCCCTTTACACTTAGAATAAAATCCAAGTTCCTCATCGTGGATTATAGTAACTCTCATTATCTGGTCTTTGCCTCTCTTTTCAACCTCATCTGGTTTTTTCTCATTGTCTTTCACTGAATTGTAGGTACACTAGGATTTTTCCTGCCCCTCAAACATGCTGAATTTGTGCCTGCCTCCAAATCTTCGTACTTGCTATTTCTTTAATATTCTTCCATCTTCAAATGGCTGGATTATTATCAGCACCTCAAAGGTCTTTCTTGATTCTTCCAAAGTAACCTCATTCTGCCTAGTCACTTCTGTCTGTATTTTCAGTTACATCAGGATTGCCAAGTCTAGCCCAGGAACTAGAGATGAGTTTCAACATGGCAATGCAAAACTGTCTTTGCCTGGATTGTCTTTTTCAATATCAAGTTCCTTCATAGTAGTTTTTTGTGAAAAGAGACCATGCTGTTGTTGACCATTTATCCTAGAATGATCAGGGAGGGAATTCTAAAAGTCTCCATGACTCATACTTTACACATACCTTTGTAACTTCCATTTCAATAAATTAGGTTTTCTTTTCAGTTATCACTAATAATTGGTGCTGTGAGACCCCCTTGAGGAGGCAGGGACAACATAGTATAATAACTTTCCATTAAGAAAACAAAAGGAGGGGCCGGGCATGGTGGCTCACACCTGTACTGTAATCCCAGCACTTTGGGAGACCAAGGAGGGTGGATCACCTGAGGTCAGGCGTTCAAGACCAGCCTGACCAACACGGCGAAACCCTGTCTCTACTAAAAATACAAAAATTAGCCAGGCATGGTGGCGCGTGCCTGTAATCCCAGCTACTAGGGAGACTGAGGCAGGAGAATCGCTTGAACCCGGGAGCCAGAGGTTGAGTGAGCCTAGATTGTGCCACTACAGTCCAGCCTGGGTGACAGAGTAGAAAAAAAAAAAAAAGAAAAAGGATATGAAGTGGAAAGCTTCTAATGCTGCATTTTCTCTCTCATTCTCTCTTCCCCCACATACCTACCCATAATTCAGTCCTAATGCTTTTGTTCTTTGTTCCTTTTGCAGCTTGCATTTTGGATTTTCAGTGTTCATAAGCTCCTCTAATAGAAGATGTATGGGGGGAAAAGCACATCATTTTAGTTAATCATGCTAGTTCTTCAAAATTCTGCTCCCTATTTCTGTGGATAACTGAGAATTGGTTAAAATGGCTTCAGCAGAATGAAAATTTATAATGTAATTTAAAAGAATTATGGCTGACACCAGCACTGAATGCTTTCATTCTTATAGCATGCTTGGGGCATTGAATAGAAAGTGGTTTGGTGAAAACACTGTAGAATTTGTTTTGATTGCCATCTGTTAGTTGGTTTTACTACAGTGAGAGAAAAATAGAGGCACAAGTATTGGTCATTAAAGGTCATTTGGTAAAGTGTTTACTTGACAGTAAGTTCTTATTTTTTCTGCCACTCAAGTTATTTTATTTCTTTCTGTTGATTTACATAACCTCTTGTAAAAGTTTCAATACCATAAAGCACCTAAGATACAATAAACTATGCTCAGTATTTTTGTGTGTATATAATCCCGGGTGTATTTTTTTTTTTTTTTTGCCCCAACTGTAGAAATGTGAGTTTCTCGATCCCCATGCTTGAAATTATGTTTCAATAACGTTAAAGTGGGAAGGAAACTTAGAAATACCCTATTATGTTTACAATAGGAAATGTTAAATATTGAAGTAGAATTTTTATCATACCTCCTTGACTTTTAAATACTCTTTTCCATATAATTGTTTCTCCCGTTTAAAGACTCTCTCTTAACATCTGGCTTTAGAGGTAGAATGTCTTGTCCCTTATGTCCCAAAACTTGGGTGTCTTATTCACACTTGGGTGTCCTTCTTTGAAGAACATACTGTCTTCATGTCTGCTCTGAGAAGCTGTTTGAGGAATTTTTTTTTCTTTTTCAAATATATATATGAGGAGCAGCATATTAGAGTTTTTATGCATGGATTGAAAGTGGAGGGATGGGATTACTACTAGAGGCAGGTATGCTTACATTAGGGAGAAGAGAGAGACTGCTGTCCAGGTTGAAAGAAAAATGCTGCCATAAGAAGTCAAAAAGTCCTTCACTTCCCTTGTAAGTTGTATTCCTAGGTATTTTACTCTCTTTGTAGCAATTATGAATGAGAGTTCACTCATGATTTGGCTCTCTGTTTGTCTATTATTGGTGTACAAGAATGCAACCCAAATGCTCATCAGTGATAGACTGGATAAAGAAAATGTGGCATATATACACCATGGAATACTATACAGTCATAAAAAAGGATGAGTTCATGTCCTTTGCAGGGACATTGGGAAAGCTGGAAACCATCATTCTCAGCAAACTAACACAGGAACAGAAAACCAAACACCTCATGTCCTCACTCATAAGTACAAGATGAACAGTGAGAACACATGGACACAGGGAGGGGAGCATCACACACCAGGGCCTGTCGGGGGATGAGGGGCTAGGGGAGGGATAGCATTAAGAGAAATACCTAATGTAGATGACGGGTTGGTGGGTGCAGCAAACCACCATGGCACATGTATACCTATGTAACAAACCTGCACGTTTGGCACGTGTATCCCAGAACTTAAAGTATAATTAATTAATTTTTTTTTAAAAAGTCAAAAAGTGCAACCTTCTGGATCCAGCTCAGCCTTCCAGCAAACAGCTCAGTAGCCTCAACAGCCATTACTGTATTAAAGAAAGTAGCATCCAATATATAATCTTCAAAATTATAAAGAAAGTCTTAAACTATGACTAGTATATCCTATTTCAAAAGATAGGCAAATTGTGATTTCTTTTTTGAAAATTTATAATTGTAAAGAAAATCGTAAATTGTAACTATCTGCATAATTAAGAAGGCAAGAAAATCATAATGCTTTTCAGAAAGTTCCTCTCACACATGATTTTGTTTTATTTATCTTGAAATTCATTTATATGAAACTTATATTTGAACAGTGTTCAGATAAATGTGGTATTAGCATATGCAGTGTTTTATTATATAAAATATTTTAATTATAGATATTAGAAAACATTAACTAGGCCATACTCTTTTATGCCATACGTGGGAATGTAAGTTAATTCAGCTTTATGGAGTCTGTTTGGTACTGTATCTATTCAAAATATACAGTGATGTATCAGTTCCACTTTCAGAAATCTGTTCTGCAGAAATATTTGCACAGGTACATAAAGATACATAATTTTCATTGTATCTCTGTAATAGCAAAAAATTGGAAATTATACAGAAGCCAACTGAGTACTGGAGGTGAGTTTACTGACATAGAAAGGTACCCATGATACATGAAAAAGACAAGTTGAAAACAAAATATACAGGATGATCCCATTTTTTGAAAATAAAAAAAAAATTACTGTGTGTGTTTTTATGTATATTCAGGGAAAAAAGCCTGGAAGTAGAAATTCTCCACTGACCAGTCACTTCTTCCTTTATATAGTTATGTATTTTTACAAATACTTTTTCTAGTTCTTTTTAAAAACTCACACATATTTTAAAGATAAGAAACTAAAATAAATCTTTAATGGTATAAACTTAAACACTAATGTTTCTGCTCTTCTGCAGAATATTAATTTTCAAACTTGAGTTTGAGAAACTCAAAAACAAGCAATTTTAGAAGTCAGATAGGTCTTTTAATGATTCTTAGGGTAGAAATCTATTTTTTTAACTATATATGTGAAACTTAGGAAACTGGAACTTAGTTCTAAGAGTGATATACTTCTTTCATTTTCAAAAAAGAAGCTTCTCATGTTTTCATAACCAACAGTTATGTTATCAAGGAGTTACTTTAGTATTATAATAGTTTAAATTACCTAGTTATGACTTTAAGAAACATATGTTAAGGAGTCCAAGGAGAATGTATAAATTGGGAAAAACCTCAGACTTAAAGTAATTATATGTAATATCAAAGCAATGTAATTGTAAGCTTCTCCCTAGGGAATCTGAAATATCCCCCAATAAATATCATCCAAACAAGTCACTGTTAATGTGGATTCTTGGAAGAAGATCTAAAAATAAATAAGTCAATAGAAATTATAAACTTGGGCTGTGAATCTTAAAACAACTAATCAGTTAGCAGCATTTAAGTGCTATTTCAGGCCAGGCATGGTGGCTCATACCTGTAATCCCAACACTTTGGGAGGCCGAGGTGGGAGGACCACTTGAGCCCAGGAGTTAGAGACCGGCCTGGGCAACATAGTGAGACCCCCCTGCCCCCTGCCATGTCTACGAAAAATAAATTTTTAAAAATAAGCTGGGTATGGTAGCACACACCTGTAGTCCCACCAACTCAGGAGGCTGAGGCGGGGGGAGGATCACTTGAGCCCTGGAGATCTAGGCTGCAGTGAGCCGTGATTGCGCTGATGCACTCCATCCTGGGTAACAGAGTGAGACCCTGTCTCAGAAAATAAATATTTTCATCACATGGGGAAAAGTAAATCTAATCATGACTCCTTAGTTTTAAGGAGTTACTGCTGGGTAGTCAAGGGTGATATAAGTGACTTGAGGAAACAAATTTGCATTAGTGGATGCCAATCCAGAATTCACTAAAGAACACAAAAGAATGGTTCTTGGGTTTTTTTCTTACTATTCATTTTTCATGACATGGCAACTCAGGGAAGTCATATTGCCCTAGGTCAAACAGTGCCAGGCTGACTACTTCCTTTTGTCATGTATCACTTCACCCACTCCTGCCTTGACATGTGTTAAGAGTTATGTTTTGTCATGTGACTGCTGGGATCGTCTGCATCACTCAGAATTATTCTTACCAACTGCTAATGAAGTTAATGATCAACTGTCAGGTGGGTTTTTAGTGAAGTGATCAAGGGCATAACTAGCAAGATGAATGGAGCCAGGCAAAATTTCTATAGTGATTTGGCTTCATAGTCCTTTCTTTTCAAATGTCCCAGAAAGGAACATTCTGCATAGTGTTTGAAACAAGATTTCCCCAATTGTTGTAGAAGTCAAGTGATCCAGTGTCTTTGAACAGCATTAAAAACACTGTGTTGCCAAGCTCCCATATCTTTTCTCTCTCTGGCAAAATCCTAATAGCAAGTTGATTTCCCATCACTGATGTGTCATTGATAATGTCTGTGTGATAACCATTTAGGGTGTGGTGAGATTGTCTCGTGAGTCATTATTGTGTATATCTTGCTTCCATCACAGTGTTTTAAAACACTCTCATTGAGAGTGTGGTAGGAAGAGGCCACTTATGAAAATATAATATCCATTTTAACAAGAAAAGTTTAAATATTTGTTGTCAGTAAGGTAAACAGCAATTGCAGAGTGAGTAGTAAATTTACTTAAACTGTTTATAAAGCTATATAAATTATTCTTACCTAATTATTACAGTGGTAACACTTTAATCATAATTTTCTGGTAATGTTTATTTTAAAACAGCATTTTTTTCCTTTTAAAATTGTTTCTGTTTCACAATTTTCACTAATATAAAGGCTGATTTTTATCCCAGTCAAATACGATTAAGATCAGTTGATTAAGATCAGTTCAGATCTTAGATTTCTTTTGCAGTGATTTAGACATGGCTTTTTTTCTAGATAGTATTAGGAAGGGTATATTGTTCCTTAGAGTATTCACTCTGCCAACTCAAGTGGATACTCCTTATTGGTATATTATTTCTACCCCATTTTGTCTTATGAAAGATGTAAGATGGTTATAATATATGTGATACAGAAAATAAAATAAATTTAAAATAAGTTAAAATAAAGTTAATGTAAAAAGGGTACAAAGGGAAAATAAGCTTAGGGAAATAAAAGGTTTAAGGTTGGTGCACAAAATGCATATGGTGAAGTGCTCTATTAATTTGGCTGTAAATTCTGTCAGCAAACCTGAAGATGATAACATGATCACTTAAGAGCAGGGGCTCATGCTTTTATCTGCTTGCACATCATTTGTAAGTACCTCACATTCTCATCATAAACATTTCTCTTTCCTAAAGAGATTCTCAAAGGAGGTAGGCTAAGAGCAGTAGCAGAAGGGAGAAATCAGAGCTTTGGAGAATGGGGAAATTTGAAGGAACACCCAATTCTGGTATATCTTCCAAAGGAGCTATTTCCACTATAAGACTCATTCATTTATAGGCTTCACATAATTCATAAGATTAAATAGAAACAAATTGTTCAGAGAATGTTCCATTATTCCTAATATTGAAACCAAAGGGATTTTTCCTGTGAACCCTCAGAGGGCAGGGCCATGTGGGCACTCTGAGTACTATTCACAACATTCTTGTTACGAACCGGTGAATGGATTGTGTAAGCATCAGCAGTAAAGGAGTCAGGAGAACAGTGGGTGAGCTTGAGAGAGGCTTCTGAAAGTACTAAACAGGCCTCAATACCTCAGCAATAACTAATGCTAGGAAGTTGGTGAGAAGACTAAATAGGAGGACTCCTGCCCTTTGACTCTTGGAAAATAAATTTTTAAGCTGATTTTTTCACTTCAGATCCATGGTAATCCACAGCAGGGCTAGACCTTGTTTTAAAATTTTATAATTATAATTTCATTTCAGTTCTTTAAAAGTTTGGTTACAAAAAGAAGCATATGTCCCTAATATTACTGCTGTGTAGTAAGCACTCTGAAGAGGTACTTATGTAAGTTCTAGTATCAGAATTGCCTTCGATGTCTGTTAAATAATTATAGTGAGGGCTGGGCGCAGTGGCTCACGCCTGTAATCCCAGCACTTTGGGAGGCTGAGCGGGCAGATCACGAGGTCAAGAGATTGAGACCATCCTGGCCAACATGGTGAAACCCCGTCTCTACTAAAAATACAAAAATTAGGCCGGGCGTGGTGGCTTACGCCTGTAATCCCAGCACTTTGGGAGGCCGAGGCAGGTGGATCACCTGATGTCAGGAGTTTGAGACCAGCCTGACCAACATGGCGAAACCCTGTTTCTACTAAAAATACAAAAAATTAGCTAGGCCTGGTGGCGGGCACCTGTAATCCCAGCTACTCCGGAGGCTGAGGCAGGAGAATTGCTTGAACCCGGGAGGCGGAGGCTGCAGTGAGCCGAAATCGTGCCATTGCACTCCAGCCTGGGCAACAAGAGTGAAACTCCTTTGAAAAAAAAAATACAAAAATTAGCTGGACATGGTGGTGCGTGCCTGTAGTCCCAGCTACTCGGGAGGCTGAGGCAGGAGAATCGCTTGAACCCGGAAGGCGGATGTTGCAGTAAGCCGAGATTGCACCACTGCACTCCAGCCTGGCGAGAGAGTGAGACTCCATCTAAAAAAAAAAAAAAAAAAAAAATTATAGTGAGTACTTGCTATAGTTTGAATGTGTCCACTCCACATTCATGTTGAAACTTAATTCTCAATTTCACAGTATTAAGAAGTGAGGCCTTTAGGAGGTGATTAGGTCATGAGGACTCTGCCCTCGTGGATGGGATTAGCACCCTTATAAAAGGGCTTGAGGGAGTGAGTTCAGCTCTTTTTGTCCTTCTGTTCCTTTTGCCTCACTGTGTGAGGACACAGTGTTCAAGGTGCCATCTTGGAAGCAGAGACCCAAGGTCTTCACCAGATACAGAACCTGCTGGCATCTTGATCTTAGAATTCCTAGCCTCCAGAACTCTGAAGAAACAAATTTCTGTTCTTTATAAATTACCTAGTTTCAGGTGTTTTGTGTGAACAGACTGAGACCGTAGTATTTCTTTAATGTGAAAAAAGAAGCTTGCAAAGTCAACCTGACATCATTTAGTTTAGTCAGTCTTACCTAGACTATAAATAAGTAGAAATTGCTTATGCATGTAAAGTTACAGAATTAATTGAAATGGAAACTTTCCAATTATAATAGGTCTCTCTTTCTCCATGTTATGTTATGAAAGCCTCTGTTATATCAGGAAAACCCCCTGAAAATTTTCTCATCTGTTGAGGAAAGAGATAACAGGTAATCTTATTGGGTTTAAGCTTGGAGGATAAATGGAAACAGCCATTCGTCTTCAAATGAACCAAAATAATCCTGCAAGATAAAAATACAGTATTTTAACAGTATTAATATTTTACCAAAAGAACTTGAAGGTGAAAATCCCAAAAGCCACGACAATTCCATGATTGTGAAAATATTAAGTATGCAAAATTTTTTGTTTGTTTGTTTGTTTTTTTCTTTTGAGACAGAGTCTCACTCTGTTGCCCAGGCTAGAGTGCTGTGGCACGATCTTGGCTCACTGCAACCTCCACCTCCCGGGTTCAAGCAATTCTCTGCCTCAGCCTCCCGAGTAGCTGGCATTACAGGCACCCACCACCACGCCCAGCTAATTTTTGTATTTTTAGTAGAGGCAGGGTTTTACTATCTTGGCCAGGCTGGTCTTGAACTCCTGACCTCGTGATCTGCCCACCTTGGCCTCCCCAAGTGCTGGGATTACAGGTGTGAGCCACCGCGCCCGGCCTAAGTATGCAAAATTCTTAATTACTCTCCAGTATTTTGT
This sequence comes from Homo sapiens, assembly GCF_000001405.40. Taxonomy (NCBI): domain Eukaryota; kingdom Metazoa; phylum Chordata; class Mammalia; order Primates; family Hominidae; genus Homo; species Homo sapiens. The sequence goes on from NC_000014.9 coordinate 35,200,529, forward strand.
TTTAGCATCTCCATTTCTTATATCTCATTTAAACTATTTTAAAATTAGTGTTATATTATTTTTATTAATAAAATAATTCTTCAGGAATAATTGACTTTTATGATATTTACTTATCCCATCTGAGAAAATTATATATATGTTATATATATAGTAGATTTTAAAGTTTTTTTACAATAAGACTTTTATTTTAGAAAAGTTATAAATTTATAGAAAAGTTTCAAAGATTAGTAGAGTTCTCATATACCCCACACCCAGTTTTTTCTATCACTAAGATATTAGTATGGTACATTTGTCAAAATTAGTGAACCAATATTGATATATTGCTATTAACTAAAGTCCATACTTTATTTAGATTTGCTTATTGTCCTTGTTCTCTTCTGGAATCCCATCCAGGATACCATATTACATTTAATCATTTTGTTTTTTTAGGCTTCTTGTTCCTATGACAGTCACTCAGACTTTTCTTCAGTTTTGATGAAGAAATTGACAATTTTGAGAATAATGGTCAAATATTTTGTAGAATGTCCCTCAATTGGGATTTTTATGTTGTGTTTTTCATAATTAGACTGCAGTTGTGGGTTTTGGGTAGGAAGACCACAGAGGCAAAATGCCATTCTCGTCATACCATATCAAAAGTAGATAGTATCAACATGACTTATCACTGTTGATGTTAACCTTGATCACCTGGCTAAGGAAGTTTTGTCAGCTTTCTCAACTGTAAAGTTACTCTTTTTTTTCCCCTTGCCATACTGTACTCTTCAGAAGGAAGTCACTATGTGCAGCCCTCAGTTAAAGAGCTGGCGGGAGGAGTTATGTTTCACTTCCTTGAGGGCAGAGTATTTACGTAAATTATTTGGAATTCTCCCCATGAAATTGTCTGTTCTACCTTATTTACTTATTTATTTATGGTAGTATGGACTCATGGATATTTATTTTTAGTACTTTGGGTTATAATCTAATACTGCTTATTTTGCTGCTCACAGTGTTCTACCTTTGGCCATTGCAAGCTTTTTGTTGCTGTAGGTGTTTTTTGTTTCTTTATTATTTTTTTTTAGTACTTCCTTACTCTCTGGCACTACAAAATGCCTCATTGTATACAAAATTTTATTTATTTATTTATTTATTTATTTAGAGACTGAGTCTCACTCTTATCACCCAGGCTGGAGTGCAGTGGTGCGATCTTGCAGTGGTGCGATCTTGGCTCACTGCAACCTCCGCCTCCCAGTTTAAGTGATTCTCATGCCTCAGCCTCCTGAATAGCTGGGATTGCAGGTGTGCACCACCACATCTGGCTAATTTTTGTATTTTTAGTAGAGATGGGGTTTCACTGTGTTGGTTAGGCTGGTCTCAAACTCCTGACCTCAGATGATCTGCCCACTTGGGCCTCCCAAGGTGCTGGGATTACAGGCATGAGTCACCGTGCCCCGCCACAAAATTATTATTATTTTTTTTTTTTTTTGAGACAGAGTCTCGACCTGTCACCCAGGCTGGAGTGCAGTGGTGTGATCTCGGCTCACTGCAAGCTCCACCTCCCAGGTTCACGCCATTCTCCTGCCTCAGCCTCCCGAGTAGCTGGGACTACAGGCGCCCGCCACCACGCCCGGCTAACTTTTTGTATTTTTAGTAGAGACGGGGTTTCACCATGGTCTCGATCTCCTGACCTCGTGATCCGCTCGCCTCAGCCTCCCAAGTGCTGAGATTACAGGCATGAGCCACCACGCCTGGCCTCACAAAATTATTTTTTAAAAGCTAAAAAACATGATAATTAGGTAGGTTCTTCCAATCATCTTTGAAAGAAAAATGCTGTTCCTGTTTTTTATTATTGAGGGCAACTAAAGGAAATGTGTTTCTGCCACTTGGTGTCACAATTTTGCCCAGTCACCTTATGATTTTTTTTCAGGGGTTAATCTTATTTGTGGGTTGTCTTTTTGGAGGATTAGCATGTATTTTTGATTTTTGTTTTTGTGTTTCCTTAGCAGTGGAGTAGGAAGGGCACAGATAAAAGGAGAAGTTTAAGCAATTAGTATAAACTTATTTAGAGCAGCTCTCCTATTACTGTCTCATGCGATCAAAAGGTGGTTTTTTGTTTAGTTGGTTAGTTTGGTTTTTTTATTTTTTAGAGACAGGGCCTCCTTCTATCACCCAGGCTGGAGTATAGTGGCAGGATTATAGCTCACTGCAGCCTTGAACTCCTGGACTCAAGCAGTCCTTCCGCCTCAGCCTCCTGAGTAGCTAGGACAACAGGCATGTGCCGCCACACCTGGCTAATTAAAAAAAAATTTTTTTGTAGAGATGGAGACTTGCCATGTTGCCCAGGCTGGTCTTGAACTCCTGGCCTCAAGCAATCCCCTCACCTTAGCCTCCCAAAGTGCTGGGATTACAGGTGTGAGCCAGGGCACTTGGCCTGAAAAGTGGTTGTTAAAACTCAATTGATAGCACCAGTTACCTCCAAAGGAGAAGTTTAAATAAAATGTTGGTTTTTGATATTATGTATTTGTGTAGTGTTAAATTTTTTTAATAAGAAGGTTTTTTTAAAATAATCTGGAAAATAATAAAGGTTTATTTTTAAAGTTACTGGAAATGCAAAGAAAAGAACTTACCCTTTCTGTGGTTTGAAATACTTTAGAACTTGAGAACTTTTTTCCATACTTGATGCACTCAAAAGTTTTGATTATTTTGCATTAATTTTGTTTGGCTGTACCTGTTTTTCACTAGTTCAGCTGTACTAATGAAATTGGCACTTCAGCTCAATTGTTTTTATTTAATTGCAATGATCACTTTAGCATTTGAAGAGTTTGAGGCCAGCCTGGGCAACATGGCGAAACCCCATCTCTACAAAAAATGGAAAAATTAGCCGGTGTGGTGGTGGGCTTCTGTATTCCCAGCTACTTGGGAGGCTGGGGTGGGAGGATCACTTGACCCCAGGAAGTGGAGGCTGCAGTGAGCCAAGATCACACCACTACACTGCAGCCTGCACGACAGAGTGATACCCTGTCTCAAAAAAATTAAAATTAAATTAAAAATCCAGATTTTAGTCTAAAGATATTCTTTTGAGGCTGGGCGCAGTGGCTCATGCCTGTAATCCCAGCACTTTGGGAGGCCGAGGCGGGCGGATCACAAGGTCAGGAGATCGAGACCATCCTGGCTAACACAGTGAAACCCCGTCTCTACTAAAAATACAAAAAATGAGCCGGGCAAGGTGGCAGGCGCCTGTAGTCCCAGCTACTCGGGAAGCTGAGGCAGGTGAATGGCATGAACCCCAGGGGGCGGAGCCTGCAGTGAGCTGAGATCACGCCACTGCACTCCAGCCTGGGCGACAGCGAGACTCCATCTCGAAAAAAAAGATATTCTTTTGATAGAACCAATCATTTTATTATTGCATTGAGGCAATGACAACAAAAATTCTCCTTTGAAGATAAAGCAAGAACATCCTAAGGTTATTTATTGGATTGGTTCATTAAATTCTGAACCACTAAGTATGTACATATTGTATAGTTATCTTGAGCTTTGTATTTCACATATGGTATCTGTTACCTCCTTTAATCTGGCAACCACAAAAAACTTCCTGTGGAGGAACACTTTGTATTCTTAGGTAATACTCTGCTTATTTACCTTTCTCCTTTAATTTTTTTTCTTCCACTTTAAACCGTTGTCAGAGGTGATACTCATGTCACATGGTCATGTTACTGGAAAGTAGTGTTGGGAAAATATTTAAGAAAGAAATGAGAAAAAAAAATTCTGCTTGAGAAAGAAAATAGGTCAATGAGACCACAAAACCTAACATTTAATTTTATGTGTCAAGACTCCTGCCTCCCTAGTCACAAAGTTACCACTTAAGAATACTGTTCAGTTTCTTTAATGAATCACATTCTAGTTACTTTATGATTTTAATGTATACATTTTAAGATATTGCTATGCTACAAAGTTACCAAATTTATTTAGCCTGTCTTCAGTGACCACAACTACATTGATCTGAACATCCTAATCATTTTATTCATCAAATATTTTTTGAGGGCCTCCTTGTTTTAAGGCCCTGTACTGGGTGTTTCAGAAGTACAAAGGTGAAAGAAACATAGTCTTTATCCTTAAGAGTTTTATAGTCTCTTGGGGGAAATAAGAAAAAAAAAGATAAATATCTGTAGCAGAAGACAATATCAGCAACGTGTTCATTGTACCGGTAACTCTATGTACAAGAACTGCAAGTAACATTTCTTAGATTTCTCAGATTTTCTTGTAGTTCAGACTAGTCTTTCTGTCCAGTTGTTCAGAAATATTAAGCCTTTATGGTATTTCCAGTTGACTTATTCATAATGGCCCCAACATCTTTTGCTTTTTTTGTTTTTCACTAACATTTATTAAGAATTTCACGTGTACCAGCAACTGTTTTGAGTACTTTATACACATTATTTCATTTAATCCTCTCAACAGTCTAATAAGGTATTATTTTTATTTTACAAATGTAAAAACTGAGGGTTAGAGAAGTCAATGATAAATCACCCATGATAAATTCAGAGCTAGTAAATGTCAGAATTGGGATGCAAACCCGGATTTTCTATGCCAGAACCTGAGCTTAATGATACTATTATTTTCTCTCTTTATGGGCTTTGTCAACATTCTTCAACATCTGCTCTATTTTTTAAAAAAATATGCAGTTTTTGTTGTTGTTGTTTTGAGATGGAGTCTCGCTCTGTTGCACAGGCTGGAGTACAGTGGCATGATCTCGGCCCTCTGCAACCTCCACCTCCCTGGTTCAAGCAGTTCCCCTGCCTCAGCCTCCTGAGTAGCTGGGATTACAGGCTAATGCCACCATGCTTAGATAATTTTTTTGTATTTTATTTTTTAGTAGAGATGAGGTTTCACCATGTTGGCCAGACTGGTCTCGAACTCCTGACCTCAGGCAATCTGTCCACCTCGGCCTCCCAAATTGCTGGGATTACAGGCGTGAGGCACCATGCCTGGCCTACAGTTTTAAATATAGAGACAAGGTCTCGCTATGTTACCCAGGCTGGTCTCGAACTCCTGGGCTCAAGCAATCCTCCCACCTTGGCCTTCCATAGTGTTGAGATTAAAGGCATGACCCACCATACCCAGTGATATCTGCTCTATTAACAGAGAAAAGCAGTTTCAGAAGTGAAAGAAAAGTTATTAGTGGTTTTTGTTTGTTTTAATTAGATATTTATATGTTTTTGAAGTAGAAAGTTTGCACTATCACCATGGTGGCTTCATACACACAGTTTTTTGTTTGTTTGTTTTTTCTCACACCTCTCAGGGATGAAAACGTGGCTAATTTCTTCTCACCCTTCAGGTCTCAACTTGGGGGTTCCTCTCCAGGAAGTCTTCCCTAATCTCCATGCTACCCCTGCCACCAAGTCCTCTTCAGTCTGTGCACTTGACCCCTCCTATGTTCTCTCTAAGAAGCTTACTATAATCTCTGTCATACCACCAGTCACACCATTGCAGTGATCTCAGCTCCTTGACAACAGGGTCTGTTATTTGTTTTAGAAATCGCAACATCCAGCATGGTGTTTGGCATGTCATAGGTACAAAAAAAAATGTTGAATGAATATTTGACTTGAAGTGCATTTTCAGACTTGCAGAATGTTTGGTGACTCCTTTTAGTCTGTGTTTTTGCACCAAACGTGACTTGTGATAGAGTGCTGCTTATGACGGACATTGTCCCTTTTGATCCTCTAGTCTTTCTGGTGAAGAAGGTTTGTTTTTCATATCCCTGAATCCTTGAGGTCATTAGCTGGGAGAGGAGTGAGGGAATGCTGTTAGCGAATTCCCTGAGTGAGGTGGAGGACACTGTTATTCTGCTTCCTTCTTCCCATGGTGAGAATGTGGCCAGGCTTTAGAGTTTGGAGGAAGATAATCACGATAACATTAATCCCCAGAAATTATCAGTAGTAGTTCACTGTTTACTGGCTGGGACTTCTGTTTTAATTACTGGCCAGGTCTACTCTGTTCAAACCCATAGCTATTTCATACAGCTTTATATTCCCACCAACCAGACCCAGGTTTAAACTTTGTAATTCGAGATGATAGATCATTCCTGTGTTCACTTCTAACCTGAAATCATCTTCTTCTCTACCATAAGTCTATAGACTAGCAACATCATCATATAGCAGAAGGCAGGAGAACTGCACACCATCCCACCACCACTATTTATTGACTGGGTGACTATAGGTAAGATAGTGAGCCTCTCTGGGCCTTAATCATCTCCTTTCTAAGGTGGGAGTGCTAAGATTTTATGTTCCTGAGACCATGGGGCTAAACTGGATTTTTTGTCAAGGTCCATTCCATTTCCATATTAAGATGCATAATTTATATGAAATATTCATCATGTTCTAATGCTCACTTAGAAGGACGATTAGAAGTTTTCTTCTCTGTAGGGATTATGCATGTATCATTTCTTTGTAATTTAGCAGTGTTGAAATCTTAACAAATGAACTTATTACATTCAGGGTTGTGATTTTAACCCCTACATTTTTCTGCTTTTAAGATTATTAATATCACATGGAGGCCTCTCTTTTTAAATTTTTCTTCCCAAGGTGGCTGTGTATCTTTTATTTTTTTTTCTTTAAGGCTAACAGCCTAATATGCCAAACAAATGTATACTGTCAGGCCATTTACCTGGCGATGCCGGAGCCCTCTGGGCACATGCATATATTTATATCAGTACATGAGATACATGCTGAAATGTTATTGCCTACACGCTTTAACTCTTTACTCTCAAAATTCAGTTCTTGAATGTAAAATAAAAAGACCTTACAATTCTGCTTTATTAAAGGCTTACTTCCTGAAGGCAGAAATCAGACAAGGAAAGTTAAGAACTGTTGTAATCACAAAAAATTACCTTCTTCAATATTACTACAAATACATTGTTGTCCTATTCACCATCAATAAAGAAACTACAAAGCATACAACATTTTTAAAGAGGAGGGTGTCTGTAACAGGTCTTCTAACCCTGTCATTCATTCCTTTTTCTACTATTCCATGTTGCTACAGCCTTCCTGTTTCCCTTTTTATCAACATTTTATTTAAAAATTTTTCAAAAATATAACAAAGTTTAAAGAATGTGTTATAGTGAACGCTTAACACAGCTGTCTCCTTAGATTCTACCATTAACATTCTATTGTACTTGCTTTCTTGGGTATCTGTCTATCCCTCAATTCATTCATTAATCCATGTGGGTTTTTAAATGCATTTCATAGCATATTGAAGATGTCTATATCTATACCTATTTCTCTTTTGATGAGTTTCATTTTTCTGCTAAAATTGACTGAGCTCAAGTATGCAGGCACAATTACCTCTTCTTACTGACTTATATAAGATGTAACTGGCCGGGCGCGGTGGCTCACGCCTGTAATCCCAGCACTTTGGGAGGCCGAGGCGGGTGGATCACAAGGTCAGGAGTTCAAGACCAGCCTGGCCAATATGGTGAAACCCCGTCTCTCCTAAAAATACAAAAATTAGCTGGGCATAGTGGTGTATGCCTGTAGTCCCAGCTACTTGGGAGGCTGAGGCAGAAGAATCGCTTGAACCTAGGAGGCAGAGGTTGCAGTGAGCCGAGATCGTGCTACTGCACTCCAGCCTGGGCAAAAGAGCAAGACTCCATCTCAAAAAAAAAAAAAGACTATAGTTAAAGATGTAACCCATATCACTGGCCTTATCAGTACTATGCTGTCAGCCTGTGCAAAGTGGTTTTCATAGAGTTGACCAGTGACATTCTAGATTAGCACCAATAGAAATATAATGTGGTTTTAGCTGGGCATAGTGGTGAGCGCTTGTAGTCCCAGCTACTCCTGGGGCTGAAACAGGAGAATCCCTTGAGCCCAGGAGTTCAAGGCCTGACGGGGCAGACTATTATTTTAGTGAAGCCCCATCTCTAAAAGTAATAATAATTTCTAAACATTATAAAGACATATAATGTAATTTTAAATGTTCTAGTAGCCACAATTTAAAAAGTTAAAATTAACAGGTCAAATAGTTTTAAATTTTATTTAAGCCAGCACATCCAAAATGCTATCATTTCAACATGTAACTTAAAATTATTAATGGCCGGGCATGGTGGCTCACACCTGTAATCCCTGCACTTTGGGAGGCCGAGGCAGGCAGCTCATTTGAGGTCAGGAGTTCGAGACCAGCCTGGCCAACATGGTGAAAACCCGTCTCTACTAAAAATACAAAAATTAGGCCGGGCATGGTGGCTCACACCTGTAATCCCAGTACTTTGGGAGGCCAAGGTGGGTGGATCACCTGAGGTCAGGAGTTCTAGACCAGCCTGGCCAACATGGTGAATGAAACCTTGTCTCTACTAAAAATACAAAAATTAGCCAGGCCTGGTGGTATACGCCTGTAATCCCAGCTACTCAGCAGTCTGAGGCACGAGAATCACTTGAATTTGGGAGGCAATCACTTGAACTTGGGAGGCAGAGGTTGCAGTGAGCCGAGATTGCACAACTGCACTCTAGCCTGGGTGACAGAGTGAGACTTTGTCTCAAAAAATAAAAATAAAAATAAATAAAAATACAAATACAAAAATTAGCCAGACATGCTCACTTGAACCCAGGAGGCAGAGGTTGCAGTGAGCCGAGATCGTGCCACTGAACCCCAGCCTCGGCGACAGAGTGAGACTCTGCCTCAAAAAAAAAAAAGTTATTAATGAAATACTTTACCGTCTTTATTATAGTAACTTTTATACAAATCCAGTACATCTCAATTCTAATTAGCCACCATACTTTAAGAGCTCAATGATAGTAATATGTAGCTAGTGGCTTCCACGTTGGACAGCAGTTCTAGACCTTCAAACATAAGGAGTACCTTCCTCCTCATAAATTTCCATAGTCTGTCTATACTGACTTAGCAGACAAATTTCCTAATAAGTGCAAAAGAAGTAGTGATGTTCATCACAGCAAGCCCTAATTATACTGTTTCATGTTAAGGTCGGTTTTAATTTTAGTTTCCTTGTCAGAAAGTTCTTAGGATTTTTTTTCCTTTATTCATTTGTCTTGATTTCTTTTTGTTTTGTTTTGTTTTTTGAGACAGGGTCTCGCTCTGTTGCCCAGGCTGGAGTGCAGTGGCTGCAACCTCTGCCTCCCAGGTTCAAGCGATTCTCCTGCCTCAGCCTCCTGAGTAGCTGGGATTACAGGCCATGCCACCACACCTGGCTAATTTTTGCATTTTTGGTAGAGATGGAGTTTCACCAGGTTGGCCAGGCTGCTCTTAAACTCCTGACCTCAGGTGATCCACCGTCCTCGGCCTCCCAAAGTGCTGGGATTACAGGCGTGAGCCACCATGCCTGGCCTCTCTTGATTTCTTGACATATGTGCTCAGTTGAGTTACATTCCCTCTAGCAATGTTGGGTTATTTTATTACTTGTCTTCTATCCTTCCTCTAGTTTCATACCCCACTAATATATCTTCTCTGATTTTCACTAGAGCACTCTCTCTAAATGAGATAAGATCTTTAAGTTTCTCTTATCAAAATAAAAAACACATGCTGGTGTTAAAATATTAATCAGCACAGAATTGTAAAAATTAAAATTAACAGTAAAATTGTTCTGTATCCTAATTGTGGTTGTCATTAAAATCCATAAAACTGCACACATACTCACAAATGGAAAAAAAAGAACTTGGTTAAGTATTATGAATTGAAGTTTTTATTTTATTTGACTAGAAGAAGGACCTTTGGCTGAGTTACTGGAAAAATATTCCTACCTATAAAGTGCAAACTCAGTCCCCAGTAATTACTTGTCAAAAAACATCTATATTCTTCCTTTCTCCACTAACAAAATGGTTAATTTTGGATCATGAATATGTTTCATCTTATTCTCTGCTTTGAATTATATTGCATCCAGAAAATGAATGAGGTACAAAGTCATATAAAATATATCTGACTTCAGATACATCTTGGTTGTTTTTTGTTTTTAACTTTTAGTTTGTAGTTAGGAGTTTTATTCAGCCCATAGAAAAAGACTTATACAGGGAAGTCAGCAGGAGTGGCAAGAATAGCTAGTATTCTGACAGTGGCAGAATTTTGCAGGAAGAGGCTCATGTTGATAAGTATCAGTTATCTTGAAAATCAACACATGCAACTAGCTAGAAATACCTAAGTCACCAAATTTAGATACTAGATAAATAAATTAATTTAGATATCGGGAATACTAAGATATGCCTGCTGGGCTTCTGGAAAAGTTTTCCTTTTCTTCTTTTCTTTTGCCTTTTTTTTTTTTTTTTTTTTTTTTTTTTTTTTAAGACAAAGTCCCCTTCTGTTTCCTAGGCTGGAGTACAGTAGCATGAAATGGCTCACTGCTGCCTTGATCTCCCAGACTCAAGCTATCCTCCCACCTCAGCCTCCCAAGTAGCTGAGACTACAGGTGCATGCTACCACACCTGGCTAGTTTTTTAAAAATTATTTTTTTGTAGAGACACAGGGTCTTACTATGTTGCCCAGGCTGGTCTTAAACTGCTGGGCTCAAGCGATCCTTCCAGCTCAGCCTCCCAAAGTGTTAAGATTATAGATGCGAGCCACCACGCCTGGTCAAAACAGTTTTCTTTAGTAAAGCAAATTACTACAGGCCTCATGCTCCTATCCTATTACATCATAATGAACAGTGATATACATATATAGGATTGGCTCAGGTACCATAGTGGAACTGGTGAACGTTTTTTAGTGGGTAACACTATAGAGATACTTTTAAAGTTTTTTCGTATATTATCTGTTTTATTGTCTTCTCAGCACTTCTTAAACATCTTATTTATTTGTTTTTGTTTACTGACAGCTTCCCACCTCTAAAGCATGTAAGTTCTGTGAGAACAGAGACTTGGCCTCTTTTATTTACTGCTATATTCCCAGCACCTAAGACCATGCCTTGTGTATAATGGCTGCTCAGTAAATATTTGCAGAAGAATGAATGATTCTTGTTTTTACAGCTTCATCAATAGACAGATAACTATCAGCCAAGAAGAAATATACGTATACTGCAGAGATATTGCAAGTTTGGTTCCAAACCACTGCAATAAAAAGTCACACAAGTTTTTTGGTCTCCCAGTGCATATAAAAGTTACGTTTATACTATACTGTAGTCTATTATGTATGCAATAACATTATGTCTAAAAATAATGCACATACCTAAATTTTAAAATACTTTATTGCTAAAAAATGCTTAAATCATCTGAGCCTTCAGGGCATCCTAATATTTTTTTCTTGGAGGATCTTGGCCTCAGTGTTGATGGCTGCTGATAGGGTGGTTGTTGCTGACAGTTGGGGTGGCTGTGGCGATTTCTTAAAGATAACAATGAAATTTGCTGCATTGATTGACTCTTCCTTTCACAAAAGATTTCTCTGTAGCACGCAATGCTGTTTGATAGCATTTTACCCATAGTAGGACTTCTTTGATAGTCAGAGTCAATCCTCTTAAACCCTTTCACTTGCTGTATCAACTAAACTTATGGAATATTCCATATCCTTTGTTATCATTTCAACAACGTTCACAGCATCTTCTTCAGGAGTACATTTTGATTCTGTCTCAAGAAACCATTTTCTTTGTTTCTCCATAACAAGCAACTCCTCATAGGTTCAAGTTTTATTATGAGGTTACAGCAATTCAGTCCCATCTTCAGGCTCCCCTTCTAATTCTAGTTCTCTTGCTGTTTCCACATCTGCAGCAACTTCCTCCACTGAATTTTTTAATCCCACCAAGCCATCCATGAGTATTGGAATCCACACCTTCCAAACTCCTGTTACTATTGGTATTTTGACCTCCTCCCATGAATCATGAATGTTCTTGCTGGCATGTGGAATAGTGACTCTTTTCCAGAAAGTTTTCAATTGATTTTGCTTAGATCCATCAGAGGAGTCACTATGGCAGCTATAGCCTTATGAAATGTATTTCTGAAATAATAAGATTTGAAAGTGTAAATTACTCCTTGAGCTATGGGCTTCAGAATGGATGTTGTGTTCACAGGCATGAAAACAGCATTCATCTCCTTGTATATCTCCATAAGAGCTCTTGGGTGACTAGGTGCATTGTCAATGAACAGTAATATTTTGAAAGGAATCTTTCTGAGCTCATTTTCTGGGCTTAAAATACTCAGTAAATCATGCTGGAAACAGATGTGCCATCATCCAGGCTTTGTTGTTCCGTTGATAAAGCACAGGCAGGGTAGATTTAGCATAATTCTTAAGGGCCCTAGGATTTTTGGACTGGTGAGTGAGCATTGGCTTCAACTTAAAGACAACAGCTACATTAGCCCTTACAAGAGAGTCAGCCTCTCCTTTGAAGCTTTGAAGCCAGGCATTGACTTCTCTTCTCTAGTTATGAAAGTCCTAGATGGCATCTTCTAATAGAAGGCTTTTTTGTCTCCATTGCCAATCTGTTGTTTAGTATAGCCACCTTTATCAATGATCTTAGCTAGGTCTTCGGAATAACTCACTGCAGCTTCTCCATCAGCACTTGCTACTTCGTCTTACACTTTTATGTCATGGAGATGCCTACTTTCTTTAAACCTCATGAGCCAACCTCTGCCAACTTCCAGCTTTTCTTCTGCAGCTTTCTTGCCTCTCTCAAACTTCATAGAATTGAAGAGAGTTTAGGGCCTTGCTCTGGATTACGTTTTGGTGTAAGGGCATGTTGTGGCTGGTTTTGTCTTCTACCCAGGCCACAAAAACTTCATCTCAGCAATAGGCTGTTTTGCTTTCTTTATCGTTTGCGTGTTCACTGGCATAACACTTTAAATTTCCTTCAAGAACTTTTCCTGGTTGGGCACGGTGGCTCATTCCTATAGTCCTAGCTTGGAAAGCTGGTGGGAGGATCACTTCAGCCCAGGAGTTCAAGGCTGCAGTGAGCTGTGATTGCACAACTGCACTCCAGTCTGCAGAGTGAGATCCTGTCTCCTTAAAAAAAATAAAATAAAAATAAAGGAAAAAAACCTTTTTCTTTGCATACACAACTTGGGTAACTGGCACAAAAGGCCTAGCTTTTGACCTGTCTTGGCTTTCAACATGCCCTCCTCACTAATCATCTGTAGATTTTTATTTAAGGTAGGAAATGTGCAACTCTTCCTTTCACTTTTGAACACTTAGTGGTCATCACAGGGTTAATTGGCCTAATTTTGATATTATTATGTCTTGGGGAAAGGGAAGAGAGGGAGAGAGATGGAAGAACAGCTGATGGGTGGAGCAGTCAGAACACACACAACATTTATCGATTAGATTCTCCATCTTACGTGAGTGTGGTTCATGGCACCCCAAAACAATTACAGTAGTAACATCCAAGATCACAGATCACTATGACAGATATAATAATAATGAAAAATTGGAAATATTGTGAGAAGTACCAAAATGTGACATAAAGACAAGAAGTGCTGTTGGAAAAATGGTACTAATAGACTTGCTAAACACAGGACTGCCACCAATCTTCAATTTGTAAAAAATGAATATCTGTAAAGTAATGTGCAATAAAATAATGTATACCTGTATCATATTCCCTGTGCATCTGCTTAGTACACTTTAAAGACTGTTAATGGTGATGATGATAAAAGCCACACATTCTTTATTCATCACTTGTCAGAATGTTCATTTGTTTATTTTAGTGAGTCATCCTTCAAATAAGAGGAAAACAGCATGTTCTTTCAAAGAATACTGTCTGGGAAGCAAGGGTACTTCTCAGATCTAGGAGCAGGAGAATGAGAAAAGCTGAAATGACAAGCCCTGTATTATTTTTGAAGAAGAGTTGTATTTTTTATGGGTAGCCATTTGTAAACCAGCCTAAATAATGAAATTGTAGGAGTTTAGAATAATATCCCAGTACATTAGGTCAATTATGTGGTCAGAAGCCCCAAACAAATATTGAGTGTATTCTCATATTACGATTTTGTTTTCTGAAGTTAAATGGAATGATTTATATGCTTATCTTCTGTTGCATCTTAAAAAGATGTATTATTAGTAGACAAATGCAGAGGTTGTGTGGTTATATAAGTTATCTATTACTCTGACTTCTTAAGCAGCAGGGCAAGAATGGACATGTTTTTCTAAAATAAGACTTTTCTCCATCTTACATGGGTGTGGTTCCTGGCACCCCAAAACAAAGCTGGGGCCGGGTGTGGTGGCTCACGCCTATAATCTCAACACTTTGTGAGGCTGAGGTGGGTGGATCATCTGAGGCCAGGAGTTCGAGACCAGCCTGGCCAACATGGCGAAACTGCATCTCTACTAAAAATACAAAAATTATCTGGGTGTGGTGGTGCACACCTGTAATCCCAGCTACTTGGGTGGCTGAGGCAAGAGAATCGCTTGAACCCAGGAGGCAGAGGTTTCAGTGAGCCGAGATCGTGCCACTGCACTCCAGCCTGGGCGACAGAGCGAGACTCCCATCTCAAAACAAAACAAAGGTGGGTGTCTTGAGTGCCTTTTGAGTATAGGCCTTCAGACTTTCTGAGGATTGGGAAAGCATTTTTTTTTAACCTTAAAATATTTATTGAATAAAGAATGGCAAGATCAGAAAAATAAGCTCTGGTTAGGATTTGATGTGGGGCTTCATTCTCAGCTCTGTTGCTACCTCCTTTTATGATCTTCGGTGGTCTCTTTTCCTGTTCAAACCCCAGTTTCCTTATTTATAAGGAGATAATGAGGAGACCAGACTTAATATTCTCTAAAGATTCTTTCAGCTCTAAAAACTTAATGATTCAAGCAGGTTGCCTGTGAAGAACAATGCATTTCTTCCAAAAGAGGGTGCTGTGGTATTTCTCAGTACTTTAGCATCTTCTTGAAAGGAACTGAACAATGGTAGAATCTCAGCTTAATTTTGTGTCTTCAGACTCCCAACCTTTGAGAAATAGTGTCTAATTCCTTCCTTTATTTAGATGAGGCGATATAAACCAATTCCTGATGTTACTGACACTTAAGTAAGTTTCAAAGAAAAAAATAAAAAATACACATAATTTTACCAGGCAAATATAGACAGTTTTGTCAGATGTGGTGGCTCCCAGCACTGCAGGAGGATCACTTGAGGCTGGTAATTTGAAACCAGCCTAAGCAACAAAGTGACCGTGACTCAAAAAAAAAAATTAAAAATTATCTGGGAATGGTGGCGTCTGCCTATAGTCCTAGCTGTTTTGTTGGCTTGGAGGCGGAAGGATTGCTTGAGCCCAGGAATTCCAGGTTTCAGTGAGCTATGATTGAGCAATTATTTCACCACTGCACTCCAGCCCAGGTGACAGAGTAAGACTCTATCTCTCTTTTTTTTTTTCTTGGGGGGACAGGGTCTCACCCTGTCGCCCAGACTAGAATGCAGTGGCATGATCTCGGCTCACCACAGCCTCCACCTCCTGGGTTCAAGCAATTCTCCTGCCTCAGCCTCCTGAGTAGTTTGGATTACAGGTGCCCACCACCACGCCTGGCTAATTTTTGTATTTTTAGTAGAGACCGGGTTTCACCACGTTGGCCAGCCTGGTCTTGAACTCCTGACCTCAAATGATCCACCTGCCTCGGCCTCCCAAAGTGCTGGGATTATAGGCATGAGCCACCGCACCCAACCGTAAGACTCTAGCTTTAAATATAAATTACATATATGTATATATTTATATTTATATATAATATATAATATATTTATATAATACATTTATATTAGAGAGAGAGAAGGAGAGAGAGAGATAGTTTTAACATTTTGATGTATTTTCACTCTTATTCAACTTCTTCCCATAAAATTGAGAAAATATATAAATTATGTGTGCGTGTGTGTCATTTTATTTGTTTTTGTCTTTTTCCTTTCTGGGTTTTTTTTGTTGTTGTTGTTGTTTTGACAAGGTCTTGTTCTGTTGCCCAGGCTGGAATAGAGTGGCATGATCACAGCCCACTGCATTCTCAACCTCCTGGGCTCAAGCAATCCTCCCGCCTCAGCCCCCAAGTAGCTGGGACCAGAGGCACGTGCCACCACACCTGGCTAATTTTTTTATTTTTAGTAGAGATGAGGTCTCACTAGGTTGTCCACACTGGTATATCACATTTTATTTATCCATTCATCAGTTGAGTTGTTCCTACTTTTTGGCTATCATGAATAATACTACTGTATGAACATTTTTGTGCCTGTTTTTGTGTTGACATGTGTTTTTATTTCTCTTTAGTATATATGTAGGAGTAGAATTGTCAGTTCATATAGTAATTCTTCTATTAGGTTTTTGAGAAACTGTCAGACTTTTTTCTCCAAAGGGCTGTACCATTCTACATTCTCACCAGCAGTATATAAAGGATCTAATTTCTCCATATCCTTGCTAGCACTTGTTGTTAACTGTCTTTTTTATTATAGTCGTACTAATAGGTGTGAAGTGGTATCGTAAGTGATTTTTGACTCGTGTTTCTCTGATGGCTAATGATGTTGAGCATCTTTTAATATGCTTATTAGCCATTTGTGTATAGTCTATGGAGAAATGTCCATTCAGATCCTTTGCCTATTTTAAAATTGGATTGATTTTCTTTTATTATTGAATTGTAAGAGTTCTTTATGCATTTTGGATATTAGGTCCTTCTCAGATATATATTTGCAAAATTTTCCCCCCATTCTGTTTTTGGCTTCACTTTCTTGAAGATGACTTTTGAAGCACAAAAGTTTTTAATTGTGATGATGTCCAATCTATTTTTTTTCTTTCATAACTTGTCTTTTTGGTTTTGTACCTTAAGAAACCATTGTCTAGGGTGGGCGCAGTGGCTCACGCCTGTAATCCCAGCACTTTGGGAGGCCAAGGTGGGCAGATCACCTGAGGTCAGGAGTTCTAGACCAGCCTTGCCAACATGGTGAAACCCCATCTCTACTGAAAATACAAAAATTAACCTGGCGTGGTGGCAGGCACCTGTAATCCCAGCTATTTGGGAGGCTAAGGCAGGAGAATCACTTGAACCTGGGAGGCAAAGGTTGAAGTGAACCAAGATTGTGTCACTGCACTCCGGCCTGGGTGACAGAGCAAGACTCTGTCTCAAAAAAAAAAAAAAAAAGAAAAGAAACCATTGTTTAATCCAAAGTAACAATGATTTACATCTTTTTTTCTAGGAGTTTTATAGTTTTACATTTAGGTTTTTTTTCTCTTTGAGTTGATTTTTGTACTTGGTATGAGTCCAACTTCACTTTTTGGTATATGGATATCTAGTTGTCCTGGCACTATTTGTTGAAAAGACTATTTTTCTCCTACTTGAATTATCTTGGTACCCTTCTTAAAAATGAATTCACCATAAATGTGAAGGTTTATTTCTGGACTCTCAATTTTATTCCATTGATCTGTTTGTCTGTCTTTATGCCAGTACCACACAGTCTTAATTAGTGTAGCTTTCTAGCAAGTTTTGAAGTCAGAAAGTGTGGGCCCTCCAATTTTGTTCCTTTTCTAAGTTGTTTTGGCTATTCTTGGTCCCTTGAATTTCCATGTGAATTTTAGAATCAGTTTGTCAATTTCTACAAAGAAGCCAGCAGAGATTTTGATAGAAGTTACATTAAATCTGAGGTATGTTGTTTTAATTTGCATTTAAAAAATAAATAATGGGGCTAACTTTTTTCAAATGTTTGTTAACAGTTTTAGTTTCTTCTGCAAATTCATATCATTTCTGTAAGCCAGGAAATCCCTGACACCCTCCTGTCAAGCTAAAAAACAAGAAACACAATAGAGCTGGGCATGGTGGCTCATGCATGTAATCTCAGTACTTTGGGAAGCCGAGGTGGGAGGATCACTTGAGCCTAGGAGTTCGAGACCAGCCTGGGCAACATAGTAAGACCCTGTCTCTACAAAAAAATTAAAAAATTGGCTGGGTGTGGTGGTGTGCACTTGTAGTCCCAGCTATTATGGATGCTGAGGTGGGAGGATCACTTGAGCCCAGGAGGTCAAGGCTGCAGTAAGCTGTTCTTGTGCCACTGCATAGTAGCCTGGGCAACAGAGCAAGATCCTGTCTAAAAAAAGAAAAAAAAAAAAAAAAAACCAACAACAAAACACAACAGAACACTGATTGTACTTTTTTTTTTTTTTTTTTTTTTGTTGAGACAGAGTCTTGCTCTGTTGCCCAGGCTAGAATGCAGCGGCGCGATCTCAGCTCACTGCAACTTCCGCCTCCTGAGTTTAAGCCATTCTCCTGCCTCAGCCTCCCGAGTAGTTTGGATTACAGGTGCCACCACCACGCCTAGCCAATTTTTGTATGTTTAGTAGAGACGGGGTTTCACCATGTTGACCAGGCTGGTCTTGAACTCCTGACCTCAAGTGATCCGCCCACCTTCGCCTCCCAAAGTACTGGGATTAAAGGCATGAGCCACCACGCCTGGCCAATTGTACTTTTAAGCACTAAGGAGTTTAGAGCCCCAGATATTCTATGTGGACGTCATGATGCTCATGCTTGTTTGTTTTAATAAGACTCTAGTACAAAGGGTCACATTTTCATAGAAGCTACACTTTTTCAGTTCCAAGAGCGAATAAAGACAGGCAGCCCTCTAATCTATAAAATTGAAAGTCGATGGCTCAGGGTTAGGGCCATTTCTTGGTAATGTTGAGATGGTTGGGCTGCTCTAGAACAAATATATACAGGAGAACTTGGAAGTGTTGGCCACCTTCATGGCCTTGAAGACCTTAGCTCTGCACACCATGCTGTGACCTTACTCCTGTCCTGTGATCAGATAGGGCACGCCCAGCCAGTAAGGTTCTCCATACAGTCTGCGACCACTGGTGTTTCCCAGTCCACTGCCTGCCAGGAATGCGACTGCAGCAGAGGAAGGCAGTCAGGAACATGGTGCATGTGGCCGAGCCCCTTAGGACTCTCTGCATGGTGGAAACATGCCCACCTCAGGGTGGGGCCTTCTGCTGCCTTCCTACTCAGATTTTCTAAGCCCATTCTGTAAAATTAATAGCAAGCTAAAGGTAGGTGAGATAGGCCTATGGAGACATTTTTTCTACAAAGGGACATGCAGCATTTATGAAAACTGTTGGCCCACATGTGACAGTGTTTAGGTCCTGAGTACTTGAAAAGTATTTGGTGGCCACTCAAAAAGCATACCTTGCCCCTTACCTGCATGATTTGGATTTGCTGTCATTCTCTAAGTGACCATGACATTTGGGGGTGCCTAATGGCACCCTACATGTTGGACACAGCTTCATGCATTGGTTAGAGATAGGCTGGTACTGAGAAATTTATAACATTGCTAGTTAATTTATACTGGCAAATTCTTGTATGCCTACTTAATATTTGCTTGTATCAAAATACACCTCTCTATTGTCTAGAGAGTAGAGGTGTCAGTTTCTGGAAACACTGCAGAAAAACTTTACTAGCTTTCCATGTGGTAGCTTCCCACATGGACTCTATTTTTTGAATTGTTTGTTTGTTTGTTTTCTGCCAGGCAGGAAATGGCTAGAAAAAAGTTTCTTAAATTTAGAAGGTCTTAAAGTCTACTTGTCTAAATTCCCTGCCGCCATCTTCTCACAACTGCTTTCTCTGTGTGTTGTCTCTTTTTGTCTCAAAAGGTCATTGGATTTAATACCCACATGGGTAGTCTAGGAGGATCTCATCTTGAGTCCTTAACTTGATTGTATTTGAAAAGATCCTTTTCCCAAATAAGGTCACATTCACAAGTTCTGGGTGTTAGGACATAAACATATATTTTTGAAGTTCACCCTTCAACCCATTATACCACCATGTCCCCTATCTCACTTTCCTTTCTACCAGATTCACTTTACAACACTCCAAACAAGGAGTTTCAGGTTTGTAGTCATGACACATTCGTCATTTTATGTCAATATATGCTGTTTATGAACAACTCTAAAGGTTAAAAATTATTCATTCTATTGAGCTAAATCTATTCTGGTATAATATTTGAGAACACATTCTAGATCTCTCCTGCACAGTTAATAGGGGTTAAGAAAGACTAGTCCCATGATTCTCAGGTTGAGGGAGAATAACACATGCACTGCCTCTCCACCATTCTGACACGGCATTATAGGAGGTGTAAGATCCTCTCTAACACCAGCCCCGCAAAACCTCAGACTTAATGAACAGTTCATGACATTGTGAGCCAGTTGTGATGGAAATGTAATGAATCCCCTCCAGGAGGGTTGGGAGCAAACAAAAAAGACTGAGGAACAGCAATTTCAGTCTTCCTCATGATAGCCATTCAGATGAAGACAACTACTATATTTTCCTGAGTCTGTTCTTTTCCAAGATCAACACCTTTAATTTTAATTATTCCCCATGACATGGCTTTTATTCTATTCATTCAGCAAATATTTATTGAGGGCCTAATATGTGCCAGGCAGTCTAGTAGGTATTAGAATGATGCAGGGATGAGTATACTAGAATCCATGTCATCTAAGATTATAATCTGGGGGAGGATGTAAACAAATAAATTGCAAGACACTGTGATAAGTATTTGGATAATGTTTAGTATAGGATCTAAGGGAGCACAAGCAGAGATTCCTAAGCCAGTGTTAAAGACCTGAAGATCAAGAAGAGACTGGGGAGGCAGGACAGATTCACATTCCAGGCAGAGGGAGCAGCCAGTACAAATGCCCACAAGTTGTAGTAGATATTAGCTGGGTTTCTGGCAGCCCAGCATCCTCATCCATCCACTTCCTGTTTTAGAGCCTTGCCTCCCATAGGGGAGAACGCAAGGTGGTTCCAGGCAATTGTGCAGGACTGGGACTAGGGTGAGGAGAGTGAGCCACTTGACTCAGCTGTAACATTTAAGGGGATACCAAAAAACTTATAATTAAGATAAAGAATATTTTAATGCATTGTTTATTAAAATCATAATTGATGCAAAAAAATCCATGATGAATAAAATATCAAAACCTTAAAGAAAGACATGATCAGTATAATTGGTTTTCCCTTTTGCCTCAAGCTCTAATATGGCTTGGTATGGCACTGCTGTTGATTCTGTCTTTCTTTAAATTTTTCTATTGTATTTCAACATGGATTTTTTTTTGGCATTAGTTTTGATTTTTTGAAATATTGTTTGTCTTGATTGGGGAGTTTGTTGGTGCTCCTTTAAATTGTGTGCCAAAAACGAGTGCCTTAGTCACCTCACCCTGGCTCCAGCCCTACAACCAGGACATAAACACAAAATCTATGCTTGGCCAGTTGTGCTGTCTCCTGGGGCTTTGACTCTGGAGCATAAATGTGGTTAGAGACATTTCACAGTGGTGGCAGCAGAAGTTAGTATCCTACTATGACCTGGCCTCCCATGGTCATGCCCCTTTTCTGAGCGGTTGTTCTGGTATTCAAGAACCATATTCTCTTCGTTTTTGAAAATCACAGTCATGTTTGTTTATCTTCAGACTTCTATTCTTCCCTTTCTCCCTTCTTTACAGATAACCAGTAGTGGTTGTATATTAATATATGCAAGCTTTCTTTTTGGTATCTGAGGACAAAATTTATCCAGGTGTAGCAAAATGAATTCATCGGAAGTAACTATTTTTTTCAGTCACTTCACTTGTCTTGTACTTCTTTTCCCATTTAATCTTTCTCCACCATTTCCACCTGAACGTAACCTTGAAGATTTATTTTTAGTTGTCATTTCTTAATATTATATTCACCTCTCCAAACACAAAAATACTTTCTGTTATCTTTAGCTTAAGAAGAATAATAGCAGTCACTGAACCTGAACACATGAACAACAGAGATTAAAGGATGCCAGATTCAGAGGTCCTCACTAAAAGTAAGCACCAGAGGCATCCATAAAGAAAACAATGTTCACCAAGAAACAACTGGAAGATTTAGAGATGTTATTCATTAAGAACCCATACCCAAACTCCAGTCTTTAGAAAGAATGGCCTCAAAAACTGACATCTCTCCAACAGTACTACAGATTTAATTCAAGAACCTCAGAGCAAAACTCAAGAAATGAAAATACAACCATATTCAATAAAAACAACAGAAGACTCAACAATAACAATTACTTTAGGGAAGAGTGGAGAGAAATATTGGCACACCACCTGGATCCACTACCGGTGCCAGCCCTGCCTCTCCAATTTCTATAAATCATCTGGCACCTTCAGTCCAAGTTAGCATGTCCCAGTTTTAAGGTCCACACAGATAACTCTGTTAGTCATAGAATAGCCTATTATGGCTACTGCCAAAACCATAATATATACTACCCCTTCCCCATTTTGGACTCCCAAGTTCTTTGCCCAAGTTCTGATTCTTTGGTCTCTTCACCTAGGTAGAACTTAACTGGCCGTTCTGAATTGCAAGAGAGAAAAACAATAGGTAGCCAAAAATTATTTACCTCATGCTGGGCATTACCTTTCCTGATAGTTTACTGAGTTTGTGCCACTCTTCACATTTATCCTGTAATAAATGAATCTCTACCTGTTTTTGTTTTGTTGCTTCTCTCCATTTTTCCCCATCAGAGTCAGTTATATTATAATTTTGTTTTTGAAGCCTTACCTTCTGTCTGTCTGGGGTTACACTCCCTGTTATAGTTTCTGGCTTAGAATTACCTATCCTACCTCTGAATGCTTGAAATTTACTCTCTTAGGGTCAAGGTTCCAGGCTTCCTTTGCTATTACAACACCGAAGCTAACTAGCATACTGTCTTCTTATAAAACTCTTGTCACCCCACATCACTTACAGTTTCCTTCTTGTCAGTCATTATAGTCTTGGATAGAAGTTCTCTTTGTTGTTTTCTCCACTTTCTGAGAAATGAAATTGTCAATGTGGTATCACCTTATCAGGTGCTCTTTTTTTTTTTTTTACCAGAATGAAACCTCTCCCCAATGCTGGGAGAGGTGACGTTTCCCGTTACTACTGTATATTGTGTCTATATCTGTTTTGTAATCTGTATTAGGAAATCATCACTATATCAACCACAAGAGTATCACTAGAATAGAACATACTTTACTAATGTCGTGAGCCGTAGTGACACTTGCCTCCTTGTATTAACCTTCTAAGTGTACTTTTTAGACTTTAACTTTTTTTTTTTTTTTTTTTTTGAGATGGAGTCTCACTCTCTCGCCCAGGCTGGAGTGCAGTGGTGTGATCTCGGCTCACTGCAACCTCTGCCTCCCAGGTTCAAGCAATTCCCCTGCCTCAGCCTCCCAAGTAGCTGGGATTACAGGTGCGCGCCACTGCGCCCAGCTAATTTTTTGTATTTTTAGTAGAGACGGGGTTTCACTGTGTTAGCCAGGATGGTCTTGAACTCCTGACCTCGTGATCCGCCTGCCTCAGCCTCCCAAAGTGCTGGGATTACAGACGTGAGCCACTGCACCTGGCCTAGACTTTAACTTCTAAGTGTACATTGTTCAGATTCCAGAGATTGTTATTAGGAATGAGGCTAGTAGCTTATTTTCCATCTACTTGAGTCTTTGCTGATAAATTATTGGAAGACTCTACTACTAAATAATAATTTTAGGTATCATACCAGCACCTCTAGTACCTCTGTATGGGAGTTCTGCTCAGTTTTAGATAATCTTATGAGATTTCAAACTCTATCCCATCACTGGCTTTAATGCTGTCATATATCTAATAAGGGAAGTGATATATTCCTTTCTTTCTCTCTCATTTCCTTAAAGGCATGGCAGACCTGGAGGAGATGAACACTTAAGGAACCTGAGCAAGTGGCATACTGTTTATCTTTTAGCTAGCATTGTAAAGCCAGAGATATGAATCATAGGGGAAAGAAAGGACAGAAAAAGAACAGTGCTTCTTCAAAAATAGAAAACTTTTTTTTATTTCCACCTAGTGTCATCATAATACTATATATATCTAGAGATATTCTCTATCATAGGAGCCAAAATTTGTCTTAAATCAGATAAGTATCTAAGTTATCAAGGACAGATTTTATTTAGCAAATATTCATTTAGAACTTGCTGTGGGATATATGTTCAAAGTGCTTTATGAACAGTAATTTATTGAATACTCATAGCAAGTGGAATCTCCTATCAGATGGGAACTACTACCAGTTCCCATTTTACTAATGGATGAGGAAAGTGAGGCTTAGAGAGGCTAAGTAACATCCCTAAGGTCTCACAGCTAGTAATGGGGGAGAGCTGGAATTTGAATTCAAGAAACCTGGCACCAGAGTCTATGCCTTAAACACTAATTATGCAGCCTCTCCAATATATTTTCTTCCTAAAGTTCCAATAGAGAATAATGATACAACTCATACTAGAAAATACCTAATGAGCATAAAATACTGTTTTTGTTTAAAACAACTAATTAAGGACTTTGTCAGACGTGTAACACTTTAACCTTCTTAGTTATAACTTGGCCAAAAGCTGCTTAGTTAAAACAATGTTCCTTCCACATTATTATTGTCTGCCTGGCCTCCCACCTATTTCCTAGGATTCAAATTAGACAGTTGGTGTCTAGCTCTTGTTTGTGTATATTTGACAATGAACTCCTTTTTTTTTTGGTCACATGTGTTCTGGGATTGTGGAAAGTTTATTGATTGTGTCCAGGGTTAGACGAATGATGTCCTTTAATCTAATCTCTTTTACCTTAATTATAGTTCTGACCTGCTAATTATTTCTACCTATCCATGTTCACATCCAATCTTCTCTTCCATGTAAGTGTTGCTAGTATCAGAAATTTTTTTCCATGTTTGCATAGGTTTTATTTTATTCTTTCCTAAATGTATTAATCTTTATTGTTTCAAGAGGAACTTTATTATAGTTAATATAGTATGACTTACCACATACATGTATTTACTAGGACTTCTGAATACATTTACTGAGAACTTGAATACTTTGGTGTAGGAGATTTTTCTCCTGTAATGAAGGAAGCCCCAAGAAACTAAATCAATAAACAAAAAGCTAAGAATTCTGTTTAATACCTGCTTTTCTACCCAACACTTGGTGTATTTTTTTTTCTTTTTTTTAAGATGGAGTTTTGCTCTTGTCGCCCAGGCTGGAGTGCAGTGGTGCGATCTCGGCTCACTACAACCTCTGCCTCCCAGGTTCAAGCGATTCTCCTGCCTCAGCCTCCCGAGTAGCTGGGATTACAGGTGTCCACCACCATGCTCAGCTAATTTTTGTATTTTTAGTAGAGATGGGGTTTCACCATGGTGACCAGGCTGGTCTCGAACTCCTGAGCTCAGGTGATCCACCCACCTTGGCCTCCCAAAGTGCTGGGATTACAGGCATGAGCCACCGCGCCTGGCCCACTTGGTGTATTTTAAAATGTGTTTATGCTTTCTTTTTTGGTAGCCATGACATCTCCCTGGCAACTGTACAACCTGTCTAATCTATAAATTATAGTGAAGAGTAGAAAACAGCTTAGGGCTGGGCACAGTGGCTCACACCTGTAAGCCCAGCACTTTGTGAGGCCAAGACAGGCAGATTGCTTGAGCTTAGGAGTTCAAGACCAGCCTGGGCAACATAACGAAACCCCATCTTTAAAAAATAAAATAAAATAAATAAACAAATGAGAAAAGAGCTTAAGAAGCATAGCTCCTAAATCACTTGCCTCTAGCCTAACCAAAGCTGTAACTCTAAGTTTTCACTAGACTTCTGGTGACCTAGTGATACCTGTTATTACTCTCATAAAACCACCAGCTTAAGTATGTATATTTTACTATAGTTGGTATAGATTCTAGCTTTCCTAGTCTGTGAAATATTTAACAAAGACCCTCTGTTGTTAATATTTGTGCCATGATGTTTCTCAAATTAACTATTTGGTGTTAGCCATGTAAGCTTTCAAATACAAACATTCAATATTCATTAAATCTTTAACTCCTCATCATGTGCCAGGCTCTGTGCTAGATACTATGACAGATGCAAAGATGAATAAAATGTAGTCCCTTCCTTTGTTTAGGGGTTTATAATCCCACAGATACCTAAATCATTAATATGTAGAATATTTACAAGGGCTGTAAGAAATGTTTAGGCAAAGAGCTAAAACATCCACAGGCTAAGGAAAACTACTTTTAGCTAAGGAGGGATCAAATAATTATGTGGAAATTGGCATTTAATCTGGATCTTGGCAGGTTAGACTTTGATAATCAGATTTGGAGAGTGGAAAAGGGGCTGACTCCACTGTTCAGACAACAACGCTGTTTAGACAGCACCACATAATAAAGTAGTACTTTGGAGATAGGCAGTGATGGGTTGGGGGGAGTAATAAATATTGCCTAACTTTGTTCTATTACCAAACTTGTGGCAACTTTACTGTGACGAGATTTGAGGAGAAAGATAAAATTTAATACCCAATTGAAAATAGATGGTTAAACAAACAAGCAAAAATTATTATTATTATTTCATTATTTTTTGAGACACGATCTCTCTGTATCATCCAGGCTGGAGTGCAGTGGTGCAATCATGGCTCACTGCAGCCTCAAACTCCCAGGCTCAGGTGATCCTCCCACTTCAGCCTCCCAAGTAACTGGGCCTAGAGACATGCACTAACACACCTGGCTAATTTTTGTATATTTTGAAGAGACAGGGTTTCACCATGTTCCCCATGGCTAGTCTTGAACTCCTAAGCTCAAGCGATCCACCCGCCTCTGTCTCCCAAAGTTCTGGGATACAGGCGTGAGCCACCGTGCCTGGCCCCAAGAAAAATTCTTACCGTCCTTGTGATATTGGTGGATTTTGGTTATCTCTAAAATCAGATTTCTTCCTTTTGATTATAAGAAACAGTTTTAATGGATTCCACTTATTTTCCTTAAAAGTTATGTTAGCCAGGCGCGGTGGCTCATGCCTGTAATCCCAGCACTTTGGGAGGCCGAGGTGGGTGGATCACGAGGTCAGGAGATGAAGACCATCCTGGCCAACATGGTGAAACCCCGTCTCTACTAAAAATACAAAAAATTTAGTCGGGCGTGGTGGCAGGCGCCTGTAGTCCCAGCTACTTGGGAGGCTGAGGCAGGAGAATGGCGAGAACGTGGGAGGCAGAGCTTGCAGTGAGCTGAGATCGCACCACTGCACTCCAGCCTGGGTGACAGAGCGAGACTCTGTCTCAAAAAAAAAAAAGTTATGTTATGACAATACAACACATTGGCATAATGTCCCCTTAGAAGCATGGAAATCATCTGTGCTTTCCTTCATTCAGGTTTCTCCAGCTTGCACCTATAAATCTGAACCAGTCCTTTAGCTTTTAATGTTCTTCTTCCTCTTCCATCCTGGTCTATCCTTACATAAGAGAACTCCCACCAAAAATATCCTTACTTCTCCCAGGGACTCTCTACTTCTCAGAGAGTCCCAGTTTATATCTTACAGCAAAATGAAATAAATAGGAATTTGGGCATATTTTAAACTTTTTTTAAAATTTTAGTTTAAAATTATAATTTTTTTCTTTATTGTTCACAGTTAAGTAACAAGTAATTTTTTTTTGCACAAGCCCGCAGAAATACGTAACAGGTAATTTAAAGACTTAAATCAGCCGGGCGCAGTGGCTCATGCCTGTAATCCCAGCACTTTGGGAGGCCGAGGTCGGTGGATCACAAGGTCAGGAGTTCGAGACCAGCCTGGCCAATATGGTGAAATCCCATCTTTACTAAAAATACAAAAATTAGCCGGGCGTGGTGGCACACGCCTGTAGTCCCAGCTACTTGGGAGGCTGAGGCAGAAGAATCGCTTGAACCCAGGAAGTGGAGGTTGCAGTGAGCCAAGATCGCGCCACTGCACTCCAGCCTGGGCGATAGAGCAAGACTCCGTCTCAAAATAAATAAATAAATGAAGACTTAAAATCATAAGTGCTAGCTTTACAATATTAATTTTTAAAAGATAATAGCCAGCCATTGAGCATTATTGCCTTCCCTTGTGTGTGAAAAAAGAAAACATAACATGTAACTCTGAATAAATATAGAGTTAAAAAAATAATTTCAACTTCTGTTTTAGATTCTGGGGCTACATGTACAGATTTGTTACACAGATATATTGCACGATGCTGAGGTTTGGATTACGAATGATCCCCTCACCCAGGTAGTGAACATAGTACCCAATAGTTAGTGTTTTCAACCCTTGCCTTCCTCCCTCCATCTCCCCGCTAGTAGTCCCAGTGTCCGTTGTTGCCATCTTTATATCCATGAGTACCCAATGTTTATCTCATACTTGTAAGTGAGAACATGCAGTATTTAGCTTTCTGTTCCTGTGTTAATTTGCATAGGATAATCGCCTCCGGCTGCATCCATGTTGCTGCGAAGGACATGATTTTGTTCTTTTCTGTGGCCACATAGTATTCCATGGTGCATATGTACCACATTTTCTTTATCCAGTCCACCATTGATGGGCATCTAGGTTGAGTCCATGTCTCTGCTATTGTGAATAATGTTGCGATGAACATATGAGTGCATGTGTCTTTTTGGTAAAATGATTTTATTTTTAATATATACCCAGTAATGGGATTGCTGGGTTGAATGGTAGTTCTAAGTTATTTGAAAAATCTCCAAACTGCTTTCCATGGTGACTGAACCAATCTATATTCCCACCAACAGTGTATGAGCCTTCCCTTTTCTCCACAGCCTTGCCAGCATCTGTTTTTTACTTTTTAACAATATCCATTCTGACTGGTATGAGATGGGATCTCATTATGGTTTTGATTTATAGTTCTCTGATGATTAGCGATATTGAGCATTTTTTCATGTTTGTTGTCCACTTGTATGTCTTCTTTTGAGAAGTGTCTATTCATGTCTTTTGCCCACTTTGTAATGGGACTATTTGTTTTTTGCTTATTAAATTGCTTAAGCTCCTTATAGATTCCTGGATATTAGATTTTTGTTGGATGCGTAGTTTGCGATTATTTTCTCCTATTTGTAGGTTATCTATTTCTTCTGTTAATAGTTTCTTTTGTTGTGCAGAAGCTCTTTAGTTTAATTAGGTCCCACTTGTTGATTTTTGTTTTTATTGCAGTTGCTTTTGAGGACTTAGTCATAAATTCTTTCTGAAGGCCGACGTCCAGAATGGTGTTTACTAGGTTTTCTTTTAGGATTTCTATAGTTTGAGGTTTTATGTTTAAATCTTTAATCCATCTTGACTTAATTTTTGTATATGGTGAAAGGTAAAGGTCCAGTTTCATTCTCCTGCTATGACTGGCCAGCTATCCCGGCACCATTTATTGAATAGGGAGTCTTTTCCCCATTAATGCTGGTATTTTAAAAGGGCATGAAGATGTTGGCCTATAGTATGCCAACCTTTTCATTTCAGTTACTCCCCACCCCTCATAAAATACTTTGTTTACATTATGCCCTGTAGATGGCAGTACTTATATGAAAAATGTAAGTTTAGAAAGAGCTTTGAGAATGATTAGCAGGTGGGGTCTTTAATGAGAAAGGCTTAATTGACATGTTCTTTGTCAATTTTTTTCATTCACTGGATTTTTTTCAAACAATCACAAGCTTTCTTTATCACTCATGATGTTTCCATTGAGTTTTCTTTCACCATCGCCTGACCTCCCTAGACCCCACTTTTGTTTCAGAAATCACATGTTACACAATCATTTTCTCTTTAGAGGGCAGTGATTAGAAACTAGTTGATTACATATATGATAGGATCCTGTGTAAACTTCTGGGTACATATTTTTTTTCTCAAGAAGCTCGAGTGCCAGCCAGATGTCATTACTGTAAATTCTTTTTTTTTTTTTTTTTTTTGAGACCAAGTATCACTCTGTGGCCCAGGCTGGAGTGCAGTGGTGCAATCTCTGCTCACTGCAACCTCTGCCTCCCAGGTTCAAGCAATTCTCCTGCCTCAGCCTCTCTAGTGGCTGGGATTACAGGTATGCGCCATAACTCCTGGCTCATTTTTGTATTTTTAGTAGAAACGGGTTTCGCCATGTTGCCCAGGCTGGTCTCTAACTCCTGGACTCAAGCAATCCACCCGCCTTGGCCTCCCAAGGTATTGGGATTACAGGCGTGAGCCACCACGCCCAACCCATTACTGTAAATTCTGATAGAGATGGGGAAAGCAGTATCACATAGCTTTCAAATATGATTTCATTACAAATCTACAGTTATAGGGTCAATCAAGTATATCTTTGAGCGGGAGAAAGTAACTCATTCAGGAATATGAAAAGCTGTCTTGTTCTCCCTAAACATTGGGGATTTTGACTGTGGGATTCATTTAGTAAGTATTCATCGAGTACTTATATGTTAGGCACTGTGCTGGGTAGGTATCCTGCATTACAATTATGAAAGGACATAGTCCGTACTCTCAGATATGCCTTTTCAAGTTAGTGAAACCTGGTGATTCTTGTGAAAGAGGTATGTGGAAGATACGGTAAAAGCACAGAATAGGAATAGATGGTTATGGCAGATATTACCAATTAATTACAACACACTTTTCTTCCAAGTCTGCTGGTCTCAAACTCCTCCACAACACTTGAGAAGCTGGTATTGTTCAATCAAAGAAGACATGCAAGAAGCCTGTTGCCTAAACATGGCATGGTGGGAGTAGTGCCTAAGATACTACTGAGAAATGTTATGCAGTATGCCACCAACTGTGTAAAGACAGGAAAAGAGAACACACACACACACACACACACACACACACACACACACACACTTGCTTGTTGATGTCTAGTCTCTAGAAGGCTACTGAAGAAATGGATAATACTGGTTGCCTCTCGGGAGAACAGCTAGGTGGCTGGGGGATGGAGTGGGAGAGAAACTTTTTATTGAATATCATTTGGTTTCTTTTGGAGTTTGAGCCATGTGAATTTATTACCCATACAAAAATGAAGTTCAAGGTTTACTACCTTACATCACATTACCATGTCTGAGGAGAATATATACCAGTTGTCTTTTATTTGGTGGGTTTTTTAATCTACTAAACTCCTAATCATATACTAAATAGAATAAAAGTATTGCCAAGGATCATTTAAGTATCTTGTAACACTTTTTGTTTTGGTTATGGGAAATTACCAGTTTTTATTTTTCACGCTTCTCAACTAGTATATCCTGATAAACCTTGAGTGGCTGAGAGTGGAAGTGGTTCCTCCCACAAAAGCCAACTATAGATTTTTTTTTATGTACAGCAAAGAGCTATGTGTTTTTGTATTTGTTTGGCTTTGTTGTTTTAATGGAAATTATACATGAGCTATGCCAGATAATCCTGGCAGAAAACAGATTGTGAACAGAAAACATATGGTTAGTAAGTCCATTTGCATTGCTCAGAATTTAGAGCAAATTAACATATTTCCTTGTTGAGATGAATTGGAGTAGTCATAGTAGGACAGATAGAGGCGCCAACTCTCTTGAAATAAATTTTTATAGCTGAAATTTAAAAATACTGGGAATGTGAAAGGAAAGTCCTTAGAATCAGCCATACCCCAGGGGTCCTTAGAAATTTGATATGTGTTTATGGATCACGTAAAGATGATGTTGAGGGTTGTAAAGTATAGGTTTATTCAATCTAAGGAACTTTAGGTCTAGTTGAAACCTGATAAATAAAACAGAATGAAAGTCACATATACACAAGGAATTGCATAAGTTATGAACTTTATTATATACATGCATACTTGCTAAAGCACAATATATAGTCAGTAGACATCAAATGGCTGGTTAATCTTTATGAACTCTGTTTCTGTTAATTGGATAAGAAAAACAGCTTATACCATGGTAGCATATAACAGTTTACAGATCACTTCTGCAGTGTTTATCTCACTTAATCATAGGTTCAAGATTTTATTAATATTTGGGGAGATGGTTTATATCATAATGAAAATCATATCTTTTATTCTGACTTCCATCCCCCTGTTTGGTATGGCCATGCAGATTTTTTTTTTTTTTCATTTTGGAGTTTTTTTGAGACAGGGTCTCACTTTGTCACCCAGGCTGGAGTGCAGTGACACAAACATAGCTTACTGCAGCCTCAGACTCCTGGCCTCAAGCAGTCCTCTCACCTCAGCTTCCCAAGTAGCTGGGATTATAGGCATGCGCCACCATGCCTAGCTAATGTAAAAAAAAAAAATTTTTGTAGAGATGGGGTCTCACTGTGTTGCCCAGGTTAGTTTCTAACTCCTGGCCTCAAGCAGTTCTCCTGCCTCAACCCATGTAGAAGTTTTTGATAGAAAAACAGCAATTATGTAAACTTTTCTTGACATACTTAGCCTGCCAATTAAGAAGAAAACCTCCATCTCTGCTAACGTGGTGTTTCCACCCCTTTTTATTACTTAATTTTTGCTTGGCCCATAGTAAGTCCTTGCCAGAGCATGGTAAAATCTGGCAACGTCCCAAACTGTTTCTACCATTCCTTCTCCTTCCTCTTTTTTTTTGAGACAGAATCTTTCTTCGTTGCCAGGCTGGAGTGCAGTGGCATGATCTTGGCTCACTGCAACCTCCACCTCCCAGGTTCAAGTGATTCTCCTGCCTCAGCCTCCTGAGTAGCTGGGACTACAGATGCATGCCACCACGACCGGCTAATTTTTTTGTATTTTTAGTAGAGGCGGGGTTTCACCATGTTAGCCAGGATGGTCTTGGTCTCCTGACCTCATGATCTGCCCGCCTCAGCCTACCAAAGTGCTGGGATTGCAGGCATGAGCCACTGCGCCCAGCCCTCCTTCCTCTTTTACAACAGGTAGGAGTTCCATTCCAAGGTTCTGGATTTTTGGACTCATTCTCTTAATCTCTTTCAGTTTTAAGAAATCCATCTCTCTTCTGTGCTCTCAAACTTCAGTTTCCCCTTTTCTTTTCATTCGTCAACCCATTCGGCAAATACTTATTGATCATCATAAGCATCAGGCCCTGTTTTTTGCGCCAGGGATACACCAATGAATTAAGTAGAGAAAACTCCCTTCACTCATGGAGCTAACATTGTTTCTGATAGGTACTTACCATCGGCTACGGCATTGCATAACTCTAGAGTATTATTTTTCTACATCTCTCTTCCTAATAAATATATGAATTGTAACTTTGTCTCTAGAATTGTTGTAGAGACAATGAATATTGCCTCTAGAGTTGTTCAGTGCACAGCCAGCTTAGTTCTATACAGTAGTCTTATCTACTGTGCTTAATTAGGATGTCTGTCAAAACTAATTTCCTATAGTAAAATCAGTCAGCTTCCACATTCTAACAATTGCCAACGTGCAATCCCTTCGTTTAAGAAAAGCATGCAGTCCTCTCCATGGTGCAAGGGTGGAAGAGGATTTTGTGGAGAAATCATCCTTTGTATTTCCTCAGATTACCTGTGTTAGGCCACCCTAAAATTTGCTTGTTGCTTCTTTCTTTACCTTCTACAGTATTGAAGGATTTTTTTCCTTTGTCTTTGAGTAGTTCTCTAATTTTTTTCGTTTCCTTTTTTTTTCCCTGCACAGAAAAACTATGTTCACATTTCT
The DNA here is from genome assembly GCF_000001405.40 of Homo sapiens. Lineage (NCBI taxonomy): Eukaryota > Metazoa > Chordata > Mammalia > Primates > Hominidae > Homo > Homo sapiens. The sequence continues at coordinate 35,233,751 of NC_000014.9, forward strand.
TTTCCCTTACAATGATCACAGCATGTGTTTTTCCTGAGCTCTGCAGTGGTTCTTCCACCTTGATTTATGTTCAGTAAATGTGCAATTGGTAAGAAGTCTGTGCTCTGCATTTTGAAGGCAAAGTTACAATTCATATATTTATTAGGAAGAGAGATGTAGAAAAATAATACCATTAGATTCCATTATAATATTTTCTTGCTTCGTGACTCTGCTCAGTCCTCTTAAGTTTGTTAAAGCTCAGGCTTTCCTTATGATCAAAATATGGATCTGAAAAACACTTATTAATACTACTTACTCTACTCCCTTATATAGAAAATAACTTTGAATTTGTCTAAGAAATCATGTCAAGACGCATCTTTCAATGAAATGTGTGCTCGAAGAGAGTAATTCTTTGTGCATGTAGGGTTGGAAAAGGTGAGAAGTATGTTTACTTGCACGTCATTGTAGTTGAAATCAGATGGAAAGGTTTAGAGATTGTGCAATTAGGGAATGTTTTCTACCCACAGATTCTGTAGCCGTGTGTTTCACATTCATTAACAATTAGGCCCAAGGATACTTGGATTCGCATCTGCTTTGGAAACTATTTTTTCCAAATACTGTGTTTCCTAGATCTTTACTGAAATGATCAACATTAGGTATGAACTGCACCAACTTTCCTCTTTAAGATAGCTTTGTTTGTCCTTTGATCTTTTCTGTCCATGTTCAGCCTCTTAAAACCATCTCTGCTGCAAATGTCATTTATATGATGCAGTAAGACACTCTTTCAAATAATTTTTGGATGTATGCTAATCATATATGAGACACAAAGGCTCCTACGCCCCTAGCCTTACTTCCCTCTTGGCACTTTTACTTACTTCATTTTTTTTTAGACTTCAAATGTGATTAACTCTCTCAAATCCTTTCTTTCCTCTTTCAACTGTTGTTCCTTTTTTTTTTTTTTTTTTAAGAGTAAGGGTCTCACTGTGTCACCCAGTTTGGAGTGCAGTGGTGTGATCATAGCTTACTGTAGCCTCTGAACTCCTGGGCTCAAGTAATCCTCCCACCCAGCTCCCAGAGTAGCTGAGACTGCAAGCACACACCACCATGCCCAACTAATTTTTTTTTTAATGTTTTTGTAGAGACAGAATCTCGCTTTGTTTCCCAGGCTGGTCTCAAACTCCTGGCTTCAAGTGATCCTCCCACCTTGGCCTCCCAAAGTGCTGGGATTACAGGCATGAGCCACCACACCTGTTCCCTATTTTTAATATCTTATAACTGAATGCTTTAATCCTGCAACTTAAGATACATCTTCACTGCTTAATTGAAATGGCACTCTTTCAATGTTACCAGTAACCTCCAAGGGGAAATGGAAGCTAATATTTTTTGAAGGAAAATTTGTATTATTTTAATTATTTTTATGTACAGAAAACTCAACAGTGTACATTTAACTCAGTTTAGTGGAAAGTTCTTTAGCCTTTGCCTTTTCGAGCTTGGTGATGCGAGCCACAGACTTGGGACCCAGGACATTGCCTCCCTAGTGATGGCGGATTTCATCATATCTGTCATTGTAATTGGTCCTGATAGCTTCCACCAGCTTAGCCAAAGTGTCTTTGTCTTCCGAGTTAACCTGTGTAAAGTTGACAGTGGTGCAGGTCTTCCTGTGGACTAGATGTCCCAGTCTTGCCTTCCCCTTGATAATGCAGTAAGGGACCCCCATTTTATGACACAAGGCAAGCAGGAAGACAACTAGCTTGATGGGATCCACTTCATGTGCAGTCACCACCAGCTGAGCCTTCTTGTTCTCCTCCAAGGTGGTGATGGTGTTAACTCCTGCTCGAAGGACAGGTGGTCTTTTAGTGGGGACGTCCCCTTTGCCAGCAGCTTTCTTCTTGGCCTGGACAAACAGCCTCTGCTTCTTCTCTTGGGAAGCTAATATTTTTTAGTACCTTCTGTAGACCAAGCAAAAGTTGCCAATGCTAGACACTTGTATATGGAGTACCTCATTTAATTCTTACAGCTGTTATTGGTATTACCTCCTTAAGAATGTGGAAACTAGCCAGGCGTGGTGGCTCATGCCTGTGATCCCAGCATTTTGGGAGGCCGAGGTGGTGGATTGCTTGAGCTCAGGATTTTGAGACCAGCCTGGGCAAGGTGACAAAACCCATCTCTACCAAAAAAACAAACAAAAAAACACCACAAAAAACAGAAAACAAAAAATTAGCCAGGCAGAGTGATACACACATATAGTCCCAGCTACTGGGGAGGCTGAGGTGGGAGGACATCTTGAGCCCAGGAGGCGGAGGTTGCATTGAGCCGAGATTGTGCCACTGCACTCCAACCTGGGCAACACAGCAAGACCCCATCTCCAAAAAAAAAAAAAAAAAAAAAAGCATAAGGAAACTAAGACCCAGAAAAGGTTAAGTAACTTGTCTCATAGCTAGTAAATGGCAAAGTAACAGGATTAGACATGTCTCATTCCAAATTCCTTGTTCTTTCCCGTGTAACACACTGTTCTTTATATTTTAACCTACTGATCTATTTATCTGTTTTCTTGAAATACCATGGTAGACTCTTTGAGACATGCTTTTCTGATTCTCTTGGATCTCCATTGCTTTAATCACTAACTCATAAATAGCTAGCTTGCTCTAGTTTCTGTCCTCCTCATCTAAACCTCTCAAAAGACTGGTATACAATTCTTTTCTTGCTACCCATTTGCTCCCTAACCCCTAAGCCCACTGAAGTCTGGCTTAGTCTCCATCATTGCATTGAAAATGCTCTCCCTCAGGACAGCAGTAACTTCCTAATTGCCAGTTTTGATGAACATATTTTAGTCTTTATCACTCTTTTTCTGCATTTAATACTTTATAGATTCCTTTCTTCTTGAAATTGTCTATGTCTTTGAATTCTGTGACTTCACATTCTTATCCTTCTCATTACACTCTCTGACCATTCCTTGTTCTCTCTTGTTTTTGAACTTCCCTTCCTTCTCTTACTCCTTAAATGTTGGTGTTCTCTGATGTTCTATCTCTGCATCTTTACCTTAGACAGGTACTTGAAACTAAATACTGTATGTCCAAAACTGAACTTGCCATCTTCCTGCCAGACATCTACACCAATAGGTGGTACCAAATGTTCACCAAGTCTTGCCAATTTTACCTCCTAATTATTTCTCTCTCTCTCTCATCTTCTTTCTTTCTCTCTCTTTCTCCTTCTTTCTTTCATTTTTCTTTTCTTTCTTTTCTTTCCTTTCTTCCTCCCTCCCTCCTTCCCTCCTTCACTCCTTCCTTCCCTCCTTCTCTTCCTTCCTTCTCTTCCTTCCTTTCCTTCCCTTCCTTCCTTTCCTTCCTTCCTTCCTTCTCTCTCTCTCTCTCTTTCTCTCTCTCGACAGAGTCTTGCTCTGTCACCCAGGCTACAGTGCAGTGGCGCCATCACAGCTCACTGCAGCCTTGACCTCCTAGGCTGAAATGATCCTCCTGCCTCTGCATCCTGAGTAGCTGGGACCACAGACGTGCGCCACCACATCCAACTAATTTTTAAATTTTTCGTAGAGACAAAGTCTCCCTATGTTGCCCAGGCGGATCTCAAACTCCCAGACTCAAGCGATCCTCCCACCTAGACCTCCCAAAGTGCTGGGGTTACAGGCATCAACCACTATGCCCAGCTCTGTTTCTCAAATCCATTCTTTTCTCTTCTTCTTTTACCATATCTTTCTCATCAGATCCTTGTTAGTACCTGCTTAAATCCCTATCATAGCCTCCTAACTGGTTTCTCATCTTCAGTTTTGTTTCTTTCAAATCTATCCTCTTCCACAGGCAAAAATGACCATGTAACTTAAATCAATTTACAGTTAATGTTTTGACTAGGGAGATATCTGAATATATTAAAATATTTATAGTTCCCCTTTCCAATTTTGCCTTTTCACCTTCTTAAACTTCTATTTTTTATTTGAGACAGCGTCTTGCTCTGTTGCCCAGACTGGAGTACAGTGGTGCTATCTCGGCTCACTGCAACCTCTGCCTCCCGGGTACAAGAGATTCTCCTGCCTCAGCCTCCGCTGGGACTACAGGCGTATGCCACCAAGCCCGGCTAATTTTTTTTGTATTTCTAGTAGAGACGGGGTTTCACTGTGTTAGCCAGGATGGTCTTGATCTCCTGACCTTGTGCTCCACCCACCTCGGCCTCCCAAAGTGCTGGGATTACAGGCATGAGCCACCGTGCCTGGCCTTAAATTTTTAAATTAGATATAATATCTGTTCATTAAGTCAAACAAACAAAACTCTAAATACAGTGCACATAGCCATTCTAAGTTAACACATCTTTTTTTTTTTTCTCTGCGTTTTATGTGAAGGGCCAGAAACCAAACACTGTATTAAAGGTGGGCACTGTGCTTAAACAATCCTATGAAGAAATTAGATTCTCATTTTACAAATGAGAAAACTGAGGTGCAATTAAGTCACTTCCCTGAATCGTTAATAAAAGTAACAGATTCAGAATTGAAATGCCAATCTGACACCAAAGTCTGTGGTCTTTTACCGTGCCGCACTATCATGCCCTGTGGTATGCATTTGTAATTCCCAAACCCACATATCTAGACCGCCCCTCACTGGGTAGTTCTCTGGATTTGTTTACACCTGTAGGTTTGGACAGCCTACCAATGCCAGAAATTAGGATTTGGAGGATGAGTATGTATAGGAAAATGACACAAAGAAAGCCAGGTTGTAGGAAAGTTAACCTGGCAATGTCACAGGAGAAACAGCATTGAAAGACCAACCAAAAGACCTAATGACATCTTGAACTAAAGTGATGACAGTGGAATCTAAAAAAGAGGAAAAGAATGTGCTTAAAGGAATGAAAGTCTAGGACTTTGGGAAAAATATGTCAACTCTGTTGTCATTAAACCTCTTAATTCTCTTAAAATCTTAACCTTTTTAAGATTAAGATTCATTAAGTGAAACAAACAAAACTCTTTAAATACAGTGCACATAGCCATTCTAAGTTAACACGTCTTTTTTTCTCTGCATTTTATCTGAAGGGCCAGAAACCAAATACTCTTATTAAAGCTGGACACTGTGCTTAAGCAGTCCTATGAAGTAAGGCATATCAAAGCTTTTTTAAGGCATCACAAGGCTATATATAAATGTATGACATTGTGCTTTTACAGCCTAACAATAACAACACGTAGTCTTTTACAGCTTATAGAGTCCTTTCATTAATATTAAGTGATTTGATCCTCACACATCCCTATGGACTAAGTGTTGTATTTTTCTTACTTTACATATAAGGAAACTGGCTTAAAAGGCTGTGACTTGCCCAGAGGTAACAGCTCTCAAAACACTACACTAGGCCAGGTGTGGTGGTGGCTCACGGCTATAATCCTAGCACTTTAGGAGGCGAGGCGGGCGGATCTCTTGAGGTCAGGAGTTCAAAACCAGCCTGGCCAACATGGTGAAACCCCGTCTCTACTAAAAATACAAAAAAATTAGCCAGGTGTGGTGGCAGGTGCCTGTAATCCCAGCGACTTGGGAGGCTGAGGCAGGAAAACCCAGAGGCGGAGGTTGCAATGAGCCAAGATTGCAACACCGCACTCCAGCCTGGGTGACAGAGTAAGACTCCGTCTCAAGAAAAAAAAAAAAAAAACAAACTACACTAAATCCACTTCCTATGCTTTCTCCAGAGATGTCTGCTTCCCTAAAAACAAACAATATTTTTTCAAAGTACATGATCAAGGTGGAGCCCCTTTTCTCCTCAGCATTTGAATACCAGCTTATAATTAAGAGTTTATTAGATCAGGCAACGAGCTGGTGAAGAACAAGAACAGACTACTGTATAGTGTTCATAAAATTAGATGGCTGGTCTAAATTTTAGAAACAAGATTCTCGTGACCTTTGACAGGTTACATGTACATGACACATTGTTTCTTTGGCATTTCAGACGTTGCCTGCAAGCATTCTGTGAATGAAGCCATACCAGTGTCATGCCAAATCATGAACTGTCCTGCCCTGTACAACTAAAGAAAACCAAGGGTCTTCTGCTCTGGCCTCTATAGAATAAATTAGAAAAGTTGGCTGGGCACGGTGCCCCATGCTTGTAATCCCAGCACTTTGGGAGGCAGAGGCGGGCAGATCACCTGCGGTCAAGAGTTTGAGACCAGCCTGGCCAACATGGTGAAACCTTGTCTCTACTAAAAATACAAAAATTAGCCAGGCGTGGTGGCGTGCGCCTGTAGTCCCAGCTACTCAGGAGGCTGAGACAGGAAAATCGCTTGAACCTGGAAGGCGGAGGTTGCAGTGAGTGGAGATCATGCCACTGCACTCCAACCTGGGTGACAGAGTAAGACTCCATCTCAAAAAAAAAAAAAAAAGAAGAAGAAATTAGAAAAGATGTTGAAGAGCTTAGTAGGAATGTTGTACTGATTGGAATTAGAGTTGGTGGTTCATCAATCATTTCACTACCACCAAAGTTATGCCAGTTTCCTTGCATTCTGCATATACACATTTTTATTTTAGCATTCTTTAAAAATACTGTGGTTCCTGCTTCCTGGGCAGTGGTCAACTTTTAAACCATCTTTTTTTTTTTTTTTTTTTGGTTTAAAATTTACCCGGGTGGGTTTTCTTGATCTTTGTTTGTTTACGCCCATCCATAGCTACATGTGTATGCACACATGCAGGTAGTTACAGCCATTTCCAAGGCAACCAATTGTGTTTTGAGACAGCAAATAATTTCAGGGACAGCTGTGGTGCCTCCCACCTTCTTTTGCTGGTGTCACTTTTCCTATGCTGTATTAGCTATACAGGTGAAAAGAACCAACATTTAGTTCAAGTAAACATCCTTGGACTAGCATGTAGGATCACACTGGATCTCCTCATTTTTTTATTCTACAACATATCAGAAGTTCATAGCAGTTTTCTGGCTATTAGATTGTTCTTAAAATTTAATATCTTCACCTATTGAGTTACCCAAGCCAGCAATCACAGTGATTTCTACCTCCTTGTTCCTCCTCCTCCACATTGATTAAATCAACAAATTCTGCTGAAATTGCCTCCTCAATTAGTCCCTCTGGCCCTGCATTATCCAATATGGTAGCTACTAGCCAGTGGGTCTGTTGAGCACTTGAAATGTGGCTGACCAAATTGAGATGTGCTGTGTGAAATAGCCCTCCATATTTGTGGGTTCCCCTCGCCCGTGGATTCAACCAACCACAGATCAAAAATATTTGAAAAAAATTGTGTCTGTACTAAACATGTACAGACTTTTTTTCTTGTCATTATTCCCTAAATAATACAGTATAACAACTACTTACATAGCATTCACATTATATTAACTATTATAAGTAATCTAGAGATGATTTTAAATATATGGGAGGGAAGGCTAGGCGCAGTGGCTCACGCCTGTAATCCTAGCACTTTGGGAGGCCAAGGCGGGAGCATCACTTGAGGTCAGGAGTTTGAGAGCAGCCTGGCCAACATGGTGAAACCCTGTCTCTACTAAAAATACAAAAATTAGTGGGGTATGGTGGCACATGCTTGTAATCCCAGCTACTCAGGAGGCTGAGGTAGGAGAATCTCTTGAACCCGGGAAGCAGAGGTTGCAGTGAGCTGAGACCATGCCACTGCACGCCAGCCTGGGTGACAGAGGGAGACTCCGTCTCAAAAAAAAAAAAAGTATACGAGGATGGCAATTTTATATCAGGGACCTGAGCATCCAAATTTACAGTTAAACTTTTGGCTCTCATTTGTGGCTCACATTATATTTCTCTTGGACAGTCTGCTCTGGATTATTTTGGTCTTAGACCCTTTTCATCTCTCACTGTTGCTGAAGTCTAATAATTGGCCTCAATACATTCCAAACCTCAGTGAGAATGTTCTTTCTGAAATGGAAATCTGAAACTGTCACTTTCCTGCTACTACCACCCTTCAGAGGCTTCTCATCACAAAACCCAAGATCCTGTGTGCCTTATGCAAGAGTCCTGCCTACCTCCCAGCCTCGACTCACCTCTCCTCAGCTTTTCTTCTCTCCCACCCTGCACTGTACACTCCACTGGTCCTAAAATTCTTGTTATTCTCTCAACATACCGTAACATTTCACTCATTTGTGCCTTTGCATTTGCTGATTCTTTAATCTAGAAGATTAAAGAAGTTCTAAACTGGGGAGTTCCATTTTAGCTTTAAAAACTTTTCATAGGCTTCTCTTTTCTCCTACCCTGGTGATTCTACTGACACCTTTTATTTACTCCCACTGGGCTCTAAACTCACTGAGGGCAGGGACCATGTCTTGTTTACCCTTATATCCACCCGTGCTTCAGGTAGTACCTGGAGCAGAAAAGGTACACACATTTGGTAAATTTGTGTATTATTTGTATTGCATTAGAATAATATACATCTTAGTGATTTATTTATGTCTGTCTTCCTACTATGGAATGAATTATTTAAAGAAAAGAACTGAATCTTATGATAGAAAGATCTAAATATCCCTGCACCTCAAGTAGTACCTATCATATGTAGACACCATATAAATATTTGTGTTGAATTTAATAAACTCAGGCTGAACCTACTCTGCATATATTGTGATGACTTTCAGATTAACCTTTAGACACATTCACAGGGTTACTCTCTTGGAAGATCTCTAGGGATCCTCATTTATTTTTGGTCTTTGGGGTTACTGTATGTTCTGCTGTTGGTGTTTTTTACTCTTTGAGTATTGTTTTTCTTCCTTTACAAAGATAGTGTACATGTTTATTGTTGGGGGGGAGTCAAATCATATCAAATGATAGAAAATGAAAGCCATCTCCCTAGTTCTATTCCCCAGAAGAGACCACTGATAAGAGTGTAGTGTGTATCTTTTAAGACTATTTTCAGCACATACATACATACGTATTTTGCACATATATGGCATAATTAATATATTGTTCTAAAATTTACATTTTCATCTATCTAGCTAGCTAGCTATATCTCACGTATTTCCAAGTGCAATATTTTGGAAGTTTTAAATAGTCAGATTAGGGCCATGTTTGGTATTGTGACTTTGTTCCTGACCTGGGTAGAGTGCTGTGCTTAGCTGACATATTTTACAATCCAGTGATCACTCCTGACATTATTTGCAGAGTGCTCTTACCAGCAGAGGAGAAAGAGCTACTGTCCCCAAAGATTGGAGCAAATAGCCCTGAGGGAAGTGGAAAATGTCTTTGGAGTGTTATTTCTTTTATCTTAAAATTTAGTGCAGATCTTGCATTCAAAGACATCATGGTATATCTGTGTTTGTTTCCTTTGTTTTTACAAGGAGTTTCTCCCAAAAAACTGAACCTGAAGTAATGGTCACTCCAGGAATTTATGTCTTGTTTATCCTATGGCTTCAAGTACCTTCAGTGTATTGCCAAGTACTGCTCATGTACACTCCAGCTGAGAAATACAGTGTTAGGTTTCCAACAAAAGTACCTAAGGATTTCCCACAGTTCACTTAAGAAGGATGCAAAAGATGTTACTGGAATAATCATAGTCGCAGTTAGCTGTAGAATAAAGGACAGGACCCGGTATGGTGGCTCACGCCTGTAATCCCCACACTTTGGGAGGCAGAGGCAGGCAGATCTCTTGAGCCCAGGAGTTTGACACCAGCCTATGAGCAACATAGTGAGACTCTCATCTCTATAAAAAAATACAAAAATTAGCTAGGTGTGGTGGTGCGCCCCAGTGGTCCCACCTACTTGGGAGGCTGAGGCAGGAGGATGACTTGAGCCCAGGAGGTTGAGGCTGCAGTGAGCCGTGATCACACCACTGCACTCCAGTCTGGGTGACAGAGTGAGACCATGTCTAAAAAAAAAAAAAAGAATAAGGGACAGGTTTAATAAGGGAATGTTTTAAAAAGAAAGGAGTTAAAATTGAGAGTTATATGCTACAAGAAGAGTGACTGATTAAGAATGTAGGTTTGTGGTTAGAATGTAGGTTTGCCTAGGTTCGAAACCTAGTTCTGCTACTTACTGGCCTGTAACTTTGAACTAGTTCCTTAACCTTGCTGTGGCTCAGTTTCCCCATAAGTAAAAGGGAAGTAGGAGTGGGTGGTAATAATGGTACCAAATTCATAAGGGTGTCTATGAGGATTAAGTGGTGATGTGTATAAGCACATTAATATTTAAAGTACTTTTGACATATCATAATTGCCTAGTAACTCATAGCTAAAGGTGAAAAAAATGGAAGACTCTTCTTTTTGGTTTAGGTCATTTTTTAAATTTATATACCTGAAAAAAAGAGGCTTAAAACAGCTCTTCTACCAAGAACGAACTCAGACCATCCATGTTTCTGCCTTGATTCAAGTATAGTGAATACACTTGTCTCATTTTATATTCTAATTCCTCACATCAATCCCCATTATTGCTTCCCACCATTTCCACTTTCTGTGTCCCATTTCTGCCAAGAAAAGCAGAAGTAAGGGAGATGTGAGGGCTTGGGGATTTCTAAAAACTTTTCATAAGTCCTCATTGTTATGTTATATTGAACTATAGTTATGTTAATGTAATATTTGCCAAATCTTCCCTCTGGGAAACACAAAGAATTTCCTCCATTAGAGACTAACATTTTAACTTTTTAGAGGACCAGTATTATGGTGTTACATACATAATATGAGAGTTACTCGATTATGAGAGTTTATTAAATATAATTTAATGCAGAAACCCACTTTTTTAAATTCTTTTTTTCTCTTATGTTTACTTATCTTCTTGGATATTATCTTTTTTTTTTTTTAACTTCATTTTGCACATGGGGAAACTTAGGCTCTTAATTTGCCTCAAAGGCACAAAGTACATTACTGAGCCTGAATGATTGGGTTTAAACATATGAGGTTGCTATTTTTATACCTCAAAAATGGTAGAATATTGGCAATTTTACGTGGTTCTCTAATAAATACAAAGCCTCTGTGTGTGCGCGCATAAAATATATCATGTGTAAAGACTGTTTTAATATAAATGTGTAGTTTAAAGAGTAATAATAAAACTAACACCTTTGTACCCACCAGTTGGGTTAAGAAGTTCCCTGTGTGTCCTGTTTAACCTCTTCTAACCTCGTCTCCTTTCCCCTGCTAACTTCTTCTTCCCCAACTCTCCACCCCAGTCAGGTAACATAATCCTGACTTCTGTGTAAATAATTTTCTTGCTTTTCATTGTTTAGGATTGAAAAACTGAGGAGTAAGCTCAACTCTAGCTGTGTGAGGAAGGGGCAAGATTGTCACTGTCAGATGAAAGCTCCCTTGAGAAGATAAGCTGAGCAAGGTCTTTGGTTTATGATCTGGCTTTATTCTTTGGGAGCCCCTTCTGGGGAAGTCAGAGCTAGTCTTACAAAACAGAGGGTTTACCACATCAGGGCATCTGGCAAAGCTGTAGTTTGGACCAGGTACCCAAAAACATCCAACAGAAAATATGGTCAAACAGAACAAGCTGCTGTTTTTCTGCTTCTAAACTCACCATGGCTTTCCTCCAGCTTTCAGGAGTAGGTCAAAACAAAAATTTTTTACATTTTCAATAAAATGCAAGTCTTCACTGATTACGGCATCATGGGATGTCAGGGAGTATGGAAACTCTAGACTACAGTTAAAACAAGCCAAATACAGGCTCACTCAGGCATTCTGTGCTCCAGTTAAAAGGATGGTGGCCATGCACAGTGGCTCACGCCTCTAATACCAGCACTTTGGGAGGCCGAGGCGGGCAGATTGCTTGAGTCCAGGAGTTCAAGACCAACCTGGGCAACATGGTGAGACCCCCATCTCTACTAAAAATACAAAAAATTAGCTAGGTGTTGTGGTGCATACCTGTAATCCCAGCTACTTGGGGGGCTGAGGAAGGAGGATCGCTTGAGTCCAGGAGGTCTAGGTTGCAGTGAGCCCTGATTGTGCCACTTGCACTGCAGCCTAGGCAACAGAATGAGACCCTCTCTCAAAAAAATAATAAAGTGATGGCAGTGAGGATCTTGGTGATGACAGTATGCAATGTGGCTATCTCTTGAGTCACTTTTCAATCTGGATTAATTGCCCTCTGTATCTGATACACAGCAATCATCCTGGGATCTCCCTTCACCATCCTTTGGGGGATTCCCATTACCGCTCTCCTGTATTGGAACTCCAATTTCCTGTCTTCCTCTTTCTTGGGTTAGTCTCTTTAGTGAAAAGTTCTCCAGGAGCTTCTCAAAGAAGGGTACATAGGAGGTAAAATTTTTATGAGTTTCCGTGTCTGAAAATGCCTTTATATTATTCTTACACATGATGGTATAGCTGAAAATAGATCTCAGGTTAGAAATAATATTATTTCAGAATTTTGAAGGCAGTGTTTTATGCTCCCAGTGTTACTCTTGAAGTCTGAAGACATTCTGGCTCCTTATCTTTTGTATATGATCTGCTTTATTCTCTCTGGAAGTTTTTGGAGTCTTCTTTTTGTCTCCAGTGTTTTAAAATTTTACGGTGCTGTGACTTTGTATGGTCTATTTTCATTCATTGAGTTGAACACGCAGACTATTTCATTCTAGAAACTGATATCTTCTTATTTGGGGAGATGTTCGTTGGTTATTTTGTTGATGATTCCTTCCTCTGTGTTTTCTGGTTCTCTCTCTCTAAACTCAAATAATGAATCTTCAGACTTCTATCTCCTACCCCAGCAAAAGCAATATGTAACTGAGGGGGCAAGGGTATCTGAGTCTAGGAATCTAATCCTTCTTCAGCAGTTTTCCCCAGTTCTCCTTAGTTCAGCCACACACTTCCATTAAGTCTTACTCCTTTACTTCCAGTTCTGGAGTCTTTTGAAAATTGGGTTGGTTCTTAGCTTACCTCTCTTCAGATTTGACTTTGTTGGATCTGTAAAGTCAGTTACCACTTGTTTATCTGCTTTCCAGCTTCCAAAATCTTGTTGCTATTGTCTCTAAAGTCATTGTGGATTTGTGATTTTAGAAGGTCTATATTATAGTTTTAATGGAATTTCAAGTGGGGTTAAGATTAGATGCATGTGTTCAGTTTGCCTTAACCTGAAAGTTTATGTTCTACTCCTACCAAGTGTTGACAGAGATTATCACAAAAACCACCCAAATGTGTGATAATGCCAAAAGAAACTCTTTTTTCTCTGTCTTTTGTTTTATTCTTTCCTCTCTCTTCTTTTCTTTTTTGCTCTTTCTTTGTTTTGGATGCGGGGAGAATATAGTAAGGATTGGGAGCTCTAAATTCCCTAATCCCGTCCCGATTGCGTAGTAATAGCTAACATTTATTGAGTATTTTCCCATGTGCTTTGTGTCTACATACATTATCTAAAGTAACCCTCATAATAACCCAATTATTATTTCTACTTTACCAATGATGAAACAGGCTCAGAGAGGAAATGTAACTTCCCCAAGGTCACACAGTTGGTACATAGTAGAATTAGAATCTGAACCCAGGCAGCCTGATGCCAAAGCTTGTGCTCTTAATTATGATTATTGAACTATTAAGTAATAGAAGTTGGAAAGGTCTCTATTATGTGTCTATCCAGTTTTATTTATGTATAAGTCCTTCCACCGCAGAGCTGCATAGATTGCTTAAAACATGAACTGGAGATGTCTAAGGTGTCTCTCCCTCCCTCCCTTCCTCCCTTCCTTTCTCTTACTATTTTTTCTGCTTCCAGTCATCCATTATAAGGTGTCTTTTTATATAGCCAGGTATTTTATATATTTCGAACAGACAGTACTTTACCAGAAAACAGAATCCATAACCATAGTGTACAACTGTGTGGGGCTTTGTAGCAAGACAAAAGCTGTGTAAATTAGTGCAGCCATGGCCAGGCTACACAAGTTTTCAAGCTTCTGAACTCCCCACTCATCTTACTCTTTCTCTTCTAGTCATGAAATGGAGCCCTTTGATCCTGACAGTATTCATATACTTTCCCAGAGTGAGCAAATTATTCCTTATATATGGACTGGACCTAGAACCCTAGGGTGAATTTTTAATAAACCTTTTGAGAGTGGAAATTTAATCAAATTTTGATATTTCCATATCAAAATAAGTTAGTTTAATCTTCCTGAAATTAGTTTTCAGTCTTCAGAATACCTATCCTTTCTTGCCTTACAGGATAGGGAGGAAACACAGATATCTTACAGAGAAAATAAAAAGACCAAATGCATATAAATGTTTGGAGAAAAGTCACACTGTGAGTCAGGAGGCAAATCTGTCTTCTAGACAGCTTTGACTCTCAGCTAGCTGAGGAAATCCATCTAGGCCAACGATTTAATAGTTTTCTAAAAGGCTGGATGACTGTGTGGGTGCTAATGGCATCAGAGAAGATAGTGGTGAGCAGGAAACATCCCACACTTGACAGGATGTTCCCAAAGCAGGAAGGGATTTCTCTTCCTCCGTAGAATTGTTTCATTAACTAAGGACGAGAGGAGATAATTGAAATCTCCCTAAAATACCAAAGACTGACGAAAGCAGGATATAGGACATGGTGGGTCTAATGTAAACCAGTGGGATCATTTATGACATTATAATGAAGTAATAATATTTTGTATATATCCATATATCCATTTTTTCCCAAAGAGATTCAAAATGCTTTATATAGTGAGTCAGTCATTAAATACTTTTAGATCTGTGTACAAAGAGGCAGAAGTAGGACTCCTGCTCAGTCAGCCTCAGCCTCTCTCCTCTGGATACACCACCAGACTTAGAAAGCTTGCAGCTTACATACCACCTGGTGAAAGTTTCCTTTTCTCATCTTCCATTTCTCTCATTTTCATCAAGTGCTAATCTGTCTGTTGTATGGTATATAGCTCTGAAGTAGTTCCAGCAAGACAATATGATCAAGCTTCCTTTAAATAAATCATGATCTCTTTCTCTCTCTGCAAGCAGCAACAGCTGTCAAAGGTAGAACTGAAGCCAAGGCAGCACCAATGGAGCAGGCTGCTAATGAAAATATGACAAGAATATTTGAAACTAGAAGCCTCAAGCCACAACTTTGTTAGGTTTCCTGCACTCTCCACCTTGGTGGCATTTTCAGAGGTACACAGAAAAATGTTGAATATAGCAGTCACTTGAGAAATACAGTGTCACTCTATGTCTGGGACAGGGATTCTCGTCCCAAAACTTAGCTCAAGAGAAAAACAAGAGGAACGAAGACAAAGAAGGGACTTAAACTGGGTATTAGCTAACCTACAGAGAGTAATAGCATCATAAAAACAAGTAGAAAACCGCACTGGACTAGTGTAAGTTATGAGTTCCCTGTTTTTTTCCACTGTACATTTTGTGGCGAGCACAATGCATCAATTACAGGCATTATGTTTGTGATATCCTGAGTTCTGGAACACTGCCTCAAGAGAGTTCATCAATCATTGTCTTTTTCCCTAAAGTGGTCTTGCGTTCTCTCAGTCTGTGGGAAATAATTGTCAAAATTAATAAATGCACATGAAAGAATATTTACTTTTCTTGCTTTCTCCTGTCTGCTTTTGACTTAACCCCATTATATCCTCAAATCCAGCCAGACTCAAATAGGAAAATTCCCACCCAGGACAATTAATTCCAGTTCAAGCCCCAAATTACCATGAGGTTATCTTTAGTGAGGTAATCACATAAAAAGTGAAGATGGGCTGGGCATGGTGGTTCATACCTGTAATCTCAGCACTTTGGGAAGCAGAGGCAGGAGGATTGCTTGAGCCCAGGAGTTCAAGACCAGCCTGGGCAACATCATGAGACCCTATCTCTACAAAAAATAAAAAAATAAAAAATTAGCCAAGTACGATAGCATGCACCTGCAGTCCCACCTACTCAGAAGGCTAAGGTGGGAGGATCACTTGAGCCTGGGAGAGTGAGACCACAATGAACCATGATCATGCCACTGCACTGCCACCTGGATAACAGAGCAGGACCAAAAAAAATGAAATTGAATTATTACCTGGCTTTTTTGTTGTTGTTGTTCTTAAAGACCAGTGTGATAGTATATTTCCTGGCTTTAGTCTCCCAAACAATTGTAGAACTGGTATTAGAAATCCTTTATATCAGAACGCTATGTGGGTTACCTGTGGTTATTTTAAGGACTTCCATATTTTATGGAATTTCAAATATCTCAGCTTATGAATAACTAAAGATACTGTCTTAAATATCATCATACATTTAAAATTAATTTGCTCTTCTTTCAAAGTTCAGGCTTTGAACTATAGCTATGTGAATGTGTAAAGAGGAGGCAGGTCAAAGACTAAATCACTTTACATCCTCCCTGGTGTGCACACTCACATGGTTTTATCCAAGAAAAGGGGCCAGGCACAGTGGGTCATGCCTGTAATCCCAGCACTTTGAGAGTCCCAGGTGGGCAGATCACTTGAGGCCAGGAGTTCGAGACCAGCCTGAACAACATGGCGAAACCCTGTCTCTATAAAAAATACAAAAAATAGCTGGGCATGGTGGCGCATGCCTGTGGTCCCAGCTACTCGGGAGGCTGAGGCAGGAGAATTGCCTGAACCCAGTGAGCCACGATCTCGCCACTGCACACCAGCCTGGGTGACAGAGCGAGACTCGGTCTCAAAAAAAAAAAAGAAAAAAAAAGATGTCTTATACCCCTCAAATGCATGGTGCCTTGCTCCTCAAACACCCTACCTACTCCCAGTTTGGACTTAGAACAGCTGCTGACCATTTTCGGGGAAAACAGTTTCTACTTTAATCAGACTCCCCTTCTACATCAGGTCCTTTAGAGAAAATTATTCCTGAGTTTAGGGATCTGTGAACTTCCTCCGGTTCCTGAAGAGCTGTTTACATTGATTCATTTTACACATAGAATAATAAGATCAGAAGCTGCCAGGGAATGACACTGATGCATTTTCCAAGGAGTGCCAGACTAGCTGAATAGAATTGAGGTCTGCTCCTAACTAAGGCTCAGATAAAGTGGAGCTTCTCCTCACCATCCCCCGACTGATTCATTAAAGGGAGGGAAGTTGAACAGAAGGTAGAGAGGTAGATTGAGGAAGGAAATGTACTTCAGCACTGACACGTGGCCTCCCTGAACCACCTTATCAAATAGGCCCCTACTTGTTTCCTAAAGTCCTTAAAAGAGGGAGATATTGCCAGAGAGAACTTGCCTTGAGAGCCAGGTGGTTTTGAGATCCTGTATTTATTTTTCAGTCTTTTGGAGGTGGCCAATCTCCATTTTATTTTTTTTTTCGTTTTTTAAAATTTTTTATTTCCGTAGGTTATTGGGGAAAAGGTGGTGTTTGGTTCATGATTGAGTTCTTTAGTGGTGATTTGTGAGATTTTGGTGCACCCATCACCCGAGCAGTATACATTGCACACAATTTGTATTTTATCCCTTACCCCTTCCCACTCTTTTCCCCTGAATCCCCAGAGTCCATTGTGTCATTCTTTTGCCTTTGCATGGTCATAGCTTAGCTCCCACTTATGAGTGAGAACATTCGACGATTGGTTTTCCATTCCTGAGTTACTTCACTTAGAATAATAGTTTCCAGTTTCATCCAGGTCGCTGCAAATGCCATTAATTCGTTCCTTTTTATGGCTGAGTAGTATTCCATCATATATATATATGCCACAGTTCTTTTATCCACTTGTTGATTGATGGGCATGGAAGTCATTACACAGAAAAGATACTTGCACACACAAGTTTATAGCAGCACAGTTTGCAATTGCAAAAACAAGATCCTTTTTTTATATTACCACTTAGGAACACCTTGACTAAGTCCCTAATTTCTCTTTCCTTTACCTTCTTTATCCTGTAAATGAGAAAACACTGCTGACTTCCCTCATAAATTGCTATGAGAAATAATAGAAAATTATCGAAGATAATTTCATCTTTCCATACAAAAAATTGTATGTAAATAATGTTGTTTATATTTTTGGGTTTTGTTTGTTTGTTTGTTTTGAGATGGAGTCTTACTCTGTTGCCCAGGCTAGAGTGCAGCTACCTTGGCTCACTGCAACTTCTGCCTCCTGGGTTCAAGCGATTCTCCTGCCTCAGCCTCCCGAGTAACTGGGATTACAGGCGCCCACCACCGCGCCCAGCTAATTTTTGTATTTTTAGTAGAGACGGGGGTTTCACCATCTTGGCCAGGCTGGTCTCGAACTCCTGACCTCGTGATCCACCCACCTCGGCCTCCCAAAGTGCTGGGATTACAGGCATGAGCCACCGCGCCTGGCTGTTTAATATTTTTGTTAATGATGACTTGACAAATTTTAATAACACTGTAAGGATAGTGGAGGGGTCGGGGAGGCACAGGTGCAGGCGGGAGGGTACCTGAGGAATTCCTACCTTGGACCAGAATACAAAACCATGGATCCTATACTGATATGAATATAAATTTGGAATAGTATCTCCAATTACTAATAATAAATAGGAAGAATTATATTAGATGACTGACATTTCAATTATGTTTCTACCAGAAAGTGCATTTTGGCCAAATATTAACATGAAACCAGAAGTCAATCATGACCAGGCATGGTATCTCACGCCTGTAATCCCAACACTTTGGGAGGCTGAGGAGGGAGGACTGCTTAAGCCCAGGAGTTTGAGTCTAGCTTGGGTAACATGGTGAGACCCCATCTCTAAAAAAGAAAAAAATTAGACGGGTGTAGGGGCACATGCCTGTGGTCCCAGCTACTCAGGAGGCTGAAGCAGGCGGATGACTTGAGCCCAGGACGTCAAGGCTGCAGTGAGCCATGTTTGTGCCACTGCTGCACTCCAGCCTGGATGGCAGAGTGAAACCCTGTCTCAAAAACAAAAAACAAACAAACAAAAAAACAAATTAAAAAGAAGGCAGTCATTATCCTTTCTGGCTGTCTTCCAGTTGCCTTCTTTCATGGTGCAGGCAGGATGCTGAGCCCTGTAAATCTCCCCACTGGGCCAACTGCTGCTGCCTGTAGGTGTGGGTGGTCTCCAACCATGACTGGGCTTTACCCTGTCCAGCTCTCTCTACGTGTCTGCAGTCAGCTCCTGCTCCCAATCCCCACACCAGCTATATCTCATCTGCACTGTTGCCCTCAAGCCTCCTACTTCACCATCCCTCTGCCAATGACTTGCCTCCTGTTGCACACAGAAAACAGAAAATATCAGGATGAATGACTTCACATCTCTACCTACATACCACATACACACACCTACACACAAACCACACAATCAGACTTTCCTATGTTTAGACCTACCCTTATCCTTCCATCTCAGTGGCAAGAGGTGTTCTCTCCACCTGTTCTGTAGATTCTATCCCCGGCTTTCTCAGGAACCTTGTTTTCCTTTCTGTGCCCATATCTTCAGCCTCTACCTTGCTACTTGCTTTTTCTGATCAGAATATGAATATTCTCAAGTCTCTTCCATCCTTAAAAAAATTGAGAAACTTTCTGCTGGTCAGGTGCAGTGGCTCATGCCTGTAATCCCAGTACTTTGGGAGGCCAAGGCAGGCAGATTGCTTGAGGTCAGGAGTTCCAGACCAGCCTGGGCAGCATGGTGAAACCCCACCTCTACAAATAATACAAAAATTAGCCAGGTATGCTGGTGTGCACCTATAGTCCCAGCTACTCAGGAGGTGGAGGCGAATCACTTGAGCCCAGGAGGTCGAGGCTGCAGTGAGCTGTGATTCGTGCCACTGCAGTCCTCCAGCCTGGGTGACAGAATGAGACTGTTTCAAAAAAAAAAAAAGAGAGAGAGAGAGAAAGAAAGAAAGAAAGAAAAGAAAGAAAGAAAAAGAAAGAAAGAAGGAAAGAAAGAAAAAAAGAAAAGAAAAAAGAAACACACACACACACACTTTTCTCCCTTCGCAGTGAAGCTTCTGGGAGATGGGATTTTGAAGAGGCCACAACACTCAGTATCTGAAATGAAGAGCAGAATCGATTGTTTGCTCAGACAAAATAGAGCTATACTTATAGGACAGAGTCTCTCTGGGCAAAGCAAACTGCATCCTTATATAGGATTTAGGGAACCAACTGAAATCTCAGTCCTGCCCCCTCTGGCATCATCAAAATGACTCCCCTTGGTTGTAGGCCACACTTTGGTTCTTATCTGACATGGTGTCCCCGTAGCACTGGTACATAGCTGCTCCCTCCTTCTTGAAATGCTCCTTATAGTCTCTTTCTGAGAGACCACTGTCTCCTGGGTTTTCATCTTTTTGGTCATGCTTCAGTCTCTGTTATAAGCTTTTCTTAGTACCCCATCCTTCAAATAATGGTATTCCTCAAGTGTCTTCCTCCACTATCTTCCCTCCAGAGTTTTTACCTGTCCTGTTACGGCTCATCTACTCTCTGATGGCACCTGCCATTGCATGTTCCCTGAATGACTCCCAAATCTTTATCTGCAGCCCAGATCCCTCTCCTAAGTGGTAGAGAGCCACATAACTGGCCGCCTACTAGATCTCTCCCACCTTGAGATATCAAAAGCTCCTCCTCTCATAGACTCTATCTTGGTACCATCATCTATCCAGCTGTCCAATCTGTCTTGCTTTATCCCTCTCCTTGTTTCCCACATCCAGTCAGTGACTAAGTCTGCTCAATTCTGCTTTACTAACTCACAAAGAGCTCTGTTCTTTTCATTTTTACTGCCAGTTTTCTCATTATCTCTTGCCTGAATTACTGCAGAAGCCTCCTAATTGATCTCCCTTTTGTGGCCCAGCCTTCATGCAGTCCACAATTTTGATCTCTCTAAAATGGAAGTCATGTCAGTCTCCTGTTTTGGTTTGTTTGCTTGTTTGTTTGTTTGTTTGTTTGTTTTGAGATGGAGTTTCGCTCTTGTTGCCCAGGCTGGAGTGCAATGACGCAATCTCAGCTCACCACAACCTCTGCCTCCCGAGTTCAAGCGATTCTCCTGCCTCAGCCTCCTGAGTAGCTGGGATTACAGGCATGCGCCACCACTCGCAGCTAATTTTGTATTTTTAGTAGAGATGAGGTTTCTCCATGTTGATCAGGCAGGTCTTGAACTCCTGACCTCAGGTGCTCCACCCGCTTTGGCCTCCCAAAGTGCTGGGATTACAGGCATGAGCCACCGCGCCCAGCCCACTCTCCTGTTTTAAATCCTTTGATTTTCCCCCATTGCTTTCAGGCAGGAAAAGACTTTATACAACTTATAAAGACCCCTGGGATCTAACCCTTGCATTCATTTCCAGTCTTATTTCTGGCACGTCCCATGTCATCCTCCCACACCTCTGCTTGAGTCACATTTGACACCTTGCAGTTCCTCAAATTCAGTGTGCTAATAAAGAGCCTCCACCTTCAACTTGCTGCTCCTGTTCTTGGAAATTCCCATTCCTTGCCGGGCTAGTTCATCTGAAAACTCAGCTCTGCTGTCACTTCCTCTGTGGTGACTTCCCTGACCACCCTCCTCACCCACAGTCTGATTGAAGTGCCCATCCTTTGTGTTCCATCTTAGTGCATACATTATATTATATTAATTTGACTGCAAAGACCTTGAGGTTAGAGATAACTGTGTTTGGTTGTTTTTTTGTTTTTTTGAGATGGAGTCTCACTTTGTCTCCCAGGCTGGAGTGCAGTGGCGTGATCTCGGCTCACTGCAACCTCTGTCTCCTGGGTTCGAGCAATTCTCCTGCCTCAGCCTCCCAAGTAGCTGGGACTACAAGCATGTGCCACCACGCCTGGCTAATTTTTTTGTATTTTTAGTAGAGACGGGGTTTCACCATGTTGGTCAGGCTGGTCTCGAACTCCTGACCTCAAATGATCCACCCGCCTTGGCCTCCCAAAGTGCTGGGATTACAGGCATGAGCCACCACACCCGGCTGGAATAACTGTTTTTTTATATCTGTATTCCAAGTACCACATGCCTAGTGACTTACAGAGGAGGTTCTTCTTAATCTTTGATAAATGAACTGGCCTTTTCAATTCATCAGGACCATTATATTTTATTTTATCAAGAGATAGGGTTTTGCTGTGTTGCCCAGGCTACACTTGAACTGCTGGGCTCAAGCAATCCTCCTACCTCAGCATCCCAGGTAGCTGGGACTACATGCATGTACCACCAAACACAGCCTCTAGATTCAACTACCAGTTTGCAAGAAGCATAGAAGACTGGAGACTATGTTACATGATACCATAGGGATGCAATCGGTAAAATCTAAATGGAGGAAATTCTCTATGAACAATCATATGCCTTAGACTATAAGGGAGAAAAGATAAATAGATAAAGAGCTTATACAGAGTCTTAAGAGAGATACCAGGCAATTTCAATGTATGGGAATTTTTTAGATCCTTATTCAAAAAACAATTGTGACTCAGAAATATGAGTCATTTATGTTACATTTATGTTACATAAATTTTATATTAAATATATTTTACAACAAGAAAAGATTTTATCAGGCTGGGCGCAGTGGTTCACGCCTGTAATCCCAGCACTTTGGGAGGCCAAGGAGGGCGGATCACGAGGTCAGGAGTTTGAGACCAGCCTGGCCAACATGGTGAAACCCCATCTCTACTAAAAATACAAAAATTAGTTGGGCGTGGTGGCAGGCACCTGTAATCCCAGATGCTCGGGAGGCTGAGGCAGGAGAATCGCTTAAGCCCAGGAGGCGGAGGCTGCAGTGAGCTGAGATTGCACCACCGTACTCCAGCCTGGGTGACAGAGCGAGACTCTGTCTCAAAATCTCAAAAAAAAAAAAAGAAAAAAGAAATTGTGCGTATCTTTTTTTTTTTTTTTTTTTTTTTAAGACAGAGTCTTGCTCTGTCGCCCAGGCTGGAGTTCAGTGGTGCAATCTCAGCTCACTGCAGCCTCCGCCTCCTGGGCTTAAGCGATTCTCCTGCCTCAGCCTCCTGAGCATCTGCGATTACAGGCGCCTGCCACCACGCCCAACTAATTTTTGTATTTTTAGTAGAGATGGGGCTTCACCATGTTGGTCAGTCTGGTCTCGAACTCCTGACCTCGTGATCCGCCCACCTTGGCCTCCCAAAGTGCTGGGACTACAGGCGTGAGCCACTGCGCCTGGCCCTGTGCTTATCTTTTAAAGCATTCTTATATTTAGAAATGCATTCCAACATATTTACAGGTGAAATGATATGTCTGGGATTTGTTTCAAAATAATCCGAGAGAAGGAAGTGAATTGGTATATAGATGAAATTGGATTGGCCGTGAGCTGATAATTATTGCAGCTGAGCGATGGGTACATGGCAGTTCATTATGCTATTCTGCCTGCTTTTGTTTATATTTAAAATTTTTATGATAAAATCCTTTTTTTTTTTTTTCTTTTTTGAGACCGAGTCTCGCTCTGTTGCCCAGGCTAGAGTATAGTGGCACCATCTCAGCTCACTGCAACCTCCTCCTCCTAGGTTCAAGCGATTCTCCTGCCTCGGCCTCCCAAGTAGCTGGGACTACAGGCGCTTGCCACCATACCCAGCTAAGTTTTTTGTATTTTTAGTAGGGACTGGGTTCTACCATGTTAACCAGGCTGGTCTCAAACTCCTGACCTCAAGTGATTTGCCCGCCTCAGCCTCCCAAAGTGCTGGCATTACAGGCATGAGCCACTGTGTCTGGCCTGATAAAATCTTTTATTGTTGTAAAATATATTAACATAAAATTTACCATTTTAACCATTTTTCAGTATACAGTTCAGTGGCATTAAGTACTTCATGTTGTCGTGCAACTGTTGCCACCATTCATCTCCAGACTTTTCTCATCTTCCCAAACTGAAACTCTGTATCCGTTAAACAATAGCTCCTCATTCTCCTCTCCCTGCTGCCCTGACAACCACCATTCTATGCTGTCTTTATGAATTTGACTACTTTAGGTAACTTATGTAAGTGCAATCATTCAGTATTTGTCCTTTAGTGTCTGGCTTTTTTCACTTAGTTTTCAAGTTCATCCATGTTGTAGCATGTATTAGAATTTCATTCCTGTTTAAGGCTGAATAATAATCTATTATATGTATATACCACATTTTATCGATCTATTCATCTTCCAGAAATTGACATTTGGGTTGCTTCCAAAACAGTTTTTAAGTTCTTTCCTGGAGGTATCCCATAATGAATGTTCTTATAAATGAGGTATATTGATGATAGTTATCTTGCTGAGGAACAGACGAAGAATTTCTAATTTCTGAAGACATCAGATCCCAAAGGCTTTAGAGTTTCTGAACAGCTACAATCCATAAAACCTCAGGAAGTGCCATAGACTGCAGAGGAGGAGGTAAAAAGGTATAAGCACAGGGAAAGGAAGTTAACATTTGCTGTTTAGGATTACTGAGAAAAACTCTTGCTCTCATTGGCCTCTCTTACCTCCCAGGCAGCTTTTCTATTTCCGGAGCATCCCTACACAGTTATTTCTAACCCATGTAGCCCTGCCAACTATATTTTTACCCTAAGCTCAGGAACTACTTTTCATCAGTTTTATGCCAAAAGTTGATGTGTCACATATGAGTAAAAAAAAAAAAAATCTCTTATCTCCTCCTACTGGAGATAAGCCAAATTAGGGCAGAAGCCAAACCAGAAAAATTCAAACCAAATATTAATCTGAAATATGTTTGTTTGTTCATTTGTTTGAGACAGGGTCTCACCATGTTGCCCAGGCTGGTCTCGAACTCCTGAGTTCAAGAGATCCTCCCACCTCAGCCTCTCAAAGCACTGGGATTACAGGCATGAGCCACCGCACCTGGCAAAATATGTTTTTATTCTTCTGATTTTTAGAGAATTATCCTTAATCATCTTGAGAAAAAACAGTAGACAGAAAATTAAAATTTAACCCCGATGGTAATCAGAATAAAGAAAATGCAGTGGCAAAAGGAGACGTATTTCAAGGAAAAATAATTTTGTGAAAAGGAAAGGTGAAATAGTAGGAAATATTGGAAACAGAAACCCCAAATCAGAAGAGAGAAAAAAAAGAATTCTAAGATGATAAGTCTGACTTGAGTAAGCCTCCATCTTCCCATTCCAGAAGTCTGGGCCAAGTGTACTCCTTATCAGTAAGGGAAAGTATCACTAAGGAGGACCCGTGATGTTGTGTGGGATGGGGCAGGCAGGGTGTGGGGGCGGGGCAGAGATACCGTATTTTAGGTTAAGCCTGAGGTATTGGGTACTCAGGAGGTATTAGTTCTGGGATCAGTTTGGAATTTTAGATGTGCTCTAGAATGAACCGCGTATTGTTTATTTTGTTGTGCTATGTAGTCCAGACTCCAGAATGTATCCTTCCGGTATTATCACACAGTTTTGATTACCATAGCTGTATAAGAAGGACTAAAATGAGGTTAACTGATTTTTCTGCTTCATTCTTTCTTTTCAAAATTGTTTTAGCTATTCTACTTCCTTTGCCTTTACTGTCTATAGCCTTCCAATTCATGAACCTGGACGATGGTGTTGAGTTCTTCTATATGCTTGCTGATTTTCTGTCCAGTTATCTCAATTGTTGAGAGAGGAGTGTTGAGGTTTCCAACTGTAGTTGTAGATTTGGCTATTTCTCCTCCTGGTTCTGTCAGCTTTTGCTTTCACATATTTTGCAGCTCTGTTGTTTGGTACACACATTTAAGATTGCTATGTTTTCTTAGATTGACCCTGTTACCATTATATAACGTCTTTTGTGTCTCTGGTAATTTTCTCTGCTCTGAAGTCTATTTTATTTAATATTAATATAGCCACTCCAGCTTTCCTTTCATTGTTTGCATGCTATATAACTTTTTCCATCCCTCTACTTTCCACCAGTCTATTTGATTATATTTGAAGTGAGTTTTTTTTTAGATAGCATATAGTTGGGTCATGTTTTTTAATCCATTCTGCCAGCCTCTGTCTTTTAATTGGTATATGTAGACTTTTTATACCTCATACTGTTATTGATATGTTAGGGCTTATATTTGCCATTTATTTTTTCTTTTCTGTGTTTTGTCTCTGTTTTACTTTTCCTCCCTTCCTATGGACTATTGAACTTTTTTAGAATTCCGTTTTTATTTCTTTATAATGGCTTTTTAAAATCTATAGTGTTTTTTTCTGGGTGCAGTGGTTCACACCTGTAATTCCAGCACTTTGGGAGGCTGAGGTGGGTGGATCATTTGAGGTCAGGAATTCAAAACCAGCCTGGCCAACATGGTGAAAATCGGGCTTTACTAAAAATACAAAAAAAAATTAGCCAGGCATGGTGCCGTGCACCTGTAATCCAAGCTACTCAGGAGGCTGAGGCAGGAAAATTGCTTGAACCCGGGAGGCGGAAGTTGCAGTGAGCCGAGATCAGACTACTGCACTCCAGCCTGGCGGACAGCGAGATTCTGTCTCAAAAAATAAATAAAATAAAATAAAATCTATAGTGTTTTTGAGTGTATCTTTTTGTATAGCATTTTTAGTGATCACTGCAGGTGTTTTGGAGGTTTTTCGGGTTTTTTTTTTTTTTTTTTTTTTGGTGGGAGCTTTTCCAGATAGGGTTTCACTCTGTTGCGCAGGCTGGAGTGCAGTGGCACTATCATAGCTCACTGCAGCATTGATCTACTGGGCCCAAGGGATCCTCCCACTTCAGCCTCCAGAGTAGCTGGGACCACAGGCACACACCACCATCCCCAACTAATGTTTTTTATTTTTAGTAGAGACAAAATCTTGCTTTGTTTCCCAGGCTGGTCTCAAACTCCTGAACTCAAGCTGAGGCAGAAATTAAAGAAAGAAAGAAAAAATAAAATTAAAAAAGAGAAATAAACTTTCCTGTATTAGGCTGACTTGACCCAGAGGCAGCAACAGGCACAGGCCAGACCCAAGAAAAGTCTTGATAATACTATCTAATGTGCCCTGAAGACTCTCCCAGTACTCCCTCAACATAAGGAAGAGAAAAACAAATTTTCCTTTGTCTTATAGTATAAGTTTATAGATTCCTGTTCTCTGTAACTAGTAACTTCAAGTATTCTGTTTTACCTAAACAGTACAGTGAAAGTCATGAGACATCTGAGCAGGCCTAAGCTATAGCCACCTAGGTGCCATAGTGAATGTCACAGAATAAGCCGTGCTAGGCACTAAGGCAAACCTAGATAACAGCCATCTAGATTGCATAGCAACAGTCATGTGTAATCCTGAGTTATGCACCTATCACAGTTTGATTAACTGTCTTTGTTCTGCCTCTGTATTCTTGCTTTCGCACCACCATAAGTTTGTTTCAGGCTAGCCCACCCCCTTTTTGAAGGGTATTTAACAGTCAAGTGCTGTCTTTGTTCTTAGCCCAGTTTTTTAGATGTTAAGTCTGCTAGGTCTGAGTGCACTCAATAAAGATCCTCCTGCTTTACCCCGAAGTCTGTCTAGTCCTCCTGATTTCTGCAACAAAGCGATCCATCCAACTTGACCTCCCAAAGTGCTAGGATTACAGGTATGAACTACCACACCCAGCCAACTCTATTTGTTTTATACATACACAGACTCACACACATACACAGCATCATAATCTACTGATGTTATTTTACCAAGTTTTCTGAGTAAGACTGCCTCTTTCCTGGTCTTTGGCTAGAGAGAACAAGCCTTTGTTGGGTTTTTTTGTCTGCACACATTGGCATTTCTAGGTTGACAGCTTCTTCAGCTCCAATTCTGAGATCTATGTGGCAAAAAGAAAACCCAGGGAACTCACCACCATGTCAGTCCTTGTGTACTGAGGTCCCCAGCCAGTTTGCCATTTTTCCCTCTACCTTTCCAAGTCTTCTTATGTTTATTTTATATATAATGTCCAAGGTTTTTAGTTGCACTTAGTGGGAGACATAGGGAGAAGTACATCTACTCCATTTTCCCTCCTGGTTTTACTTTTGATCTAACATAGAATCTTAAGTTGAATTTTCTGTCTTTTTAAAAAAATTATTCCAAGTAGCCAGGCGCGGTGGCTCACGCCTGTAATCCCAGCACTTTGGGAGGCCAAGGCGGGCAGATCACGAGGTCAGGAGTTTGAGACCAGCCCGACCAACATGGCGAAACCCTGTCTCTACTGAAAATACAAAAATTAGCTGGGCGTTGTGGCGGGTGCCTGTAATCACAGCTACTCAGGAGATTGAGGCAGGAGAATCACTTGAACCCAGGAGGCGGAGGTTGCAGTGAGCCAAGATTGTGCCATTGCACTCCAGCCTGGGTAACAGAGCGAGACTCTGTCTCAAAAAAAAAACAAACAAACTATTCCAAGTATACCTATGACACTGATTCAGACCACTGGATCCAGCCTTCGAATTTACCCGAGAGGAAGTGGGTTCATGGCTGGACTGTCATGGAGTTTCAGGCCAGGGCTTTTATGCTGCACACTCATCTTTTTCCCTGTGTCTTTCAATTATTCTCCTTTGTTTTCATTGTTTTCAGAGAGCTGCTTCTAGTAGAGACTTCTCAGCCACAAGATGGTGCCCCAGAATAGTTCAAGATAGGCTTTTCTGCTCTTCTTTGGGCCCCAGTCTTTAATGTACTATTAGTAAACTCAAGGCCATTTATCTGAACCAGGATATAGCTATGAAGACACAACTGTATTATCTTAAGCCATGTTTTCCCAGTTGCCTGAAAACTTAAGCAATCAGTATCAGAAATAGTTTTTGTTTGAATTTTTTTTATAATTTTATTATTATTATTATTATTTAGAGATGGGGTCTTGCTGTGTTGCCCAGGCTGGTCCCGAACTCCTGGCCTCAAGCAGTCCTCCTGCCTCAGCATCCCAAAGTGCTGGGATTACAGGCCTGAGCCACCAGACCCAGCCTATGTCTTTTGAGCTATTTGAATCCATGAATCAAAGTTTACTAGTGTAGATGTTTGCCTTTTATTACTAGCCCAACTTTTAAAATAGCTTATAAGATTATGTTTAAAAATACATAGAATAACTTTCTTTGCCATGTCTACTGAGAGAACGAAGACCATTCTCAGCAACCAGACTGTCAACATTCCAGAAAATGGTGACATTACTCTGAAGGGACACACAGTTACTGTGAAAGGCCCCAGAGGAACCCTGCAGAGGGATTTCAATCACATCAGTGTAGATTCAGTCTTCTTGGAAAGAAAGAAAAGAGGCTCCAGGTTGATAAATGGTGGGGAAACTGAAAGGAACTGGCTGCCGTTCAGACTATTTGTAGTCATGTACAGAACATGATCAAGGGTGTTACACTGGGCTTCCATTACAGGATGAGGTCTGTGTATGCTCACTTCCCCATCAATGTCGTTATCCAGGAGAATGGGTCTCTTGTTGAAATCTGAAATTTCTTGGGTGAAAAATACATCCTCAGGGTTCGGATGAGAACAGGTGTTGCTTGTTCAGTATCTCAAGCCCAGAAAGATGAATTAATCCTTGAAGGTAATGACATTGAGCTTGTTTCCAATTTAGAGGCTTTGATTCAGCAAGCCACGACAGTTAAAAACAAGGATATCAGGAAATTTTTGGATGGTATCTATGTCTCTGAAAAAGGAACTGTTCAGCCGGCTGATGAATAAGATCTAAGAGTTGTCCAGCTTCTGAAACAAGATGCCGGATGATTCCTAAGACCTATTTGTGATGTTTAAATGATGCAAAAGACCTATTGATTTGGAAAGAAAAATAAAATAAAAATACATAGGACAGAAAGACTGGTAAATAGACATTAACAATCTTTGGGTAGTGAGCTGTGAGTCATTTGTTCTTTCATTTTTCAAGTTTTCAAATATGAGCTACTTTATGATGGATGAAAATGGATGTTGGGCATATTCTTCAGCTAATCAGAAAATATTTATTAACGAAAAAATATATTTATGACCCATCCAATGTGTGTAGAGCCAGCATATATGTTTTCTTAGTCTTGATAGTTACATAAGAAAATATTGGGGGCTGGGCACGGTGGCTCACGCCTGTAATCCCAGCACTTTGCTAGGCTGAGGTGGGTGGATCACCTGAGGTCAGGAGTTTGAGACCAGCCTGGCCAACATGGTGAAACTCCGTCTCTACTAAAAATACAAAAATTAGCCAGGCATGGGTGGCAGGTGCCTGTAATCCAAGGTACTCAGGAGGCTGAGGTAGGAGAATCGCTTGAACCTGGGAGGCAGAGGTTGCAGTGAACTGAAATTGTGCCACTGCACTCCAGCCTGGGTGACAGAGCAAGACTCTGTCTCAAAAAAAATAATAATAATAATATTGGGTACTCCGTTACTAAAGGCAGGGACTATGGCTTAAAATCCTGCAGCTGTGATACCTACCATGTGCCTTACACATAGAGAGGTCTAGGAAATAACTGCTTGAGCACAGAAACCATTATTCCTAGCTTTGAAGGAAAGAACTATATTTTACTAGTTGTAAATCTTTGAGTTTGGTGTCCTCAAGGTAATTACCTGCTTGAGTGTTAGCTCACATGAAGTGGGCAAGTTGTGTCCATTCTTTTTTTTTTTTAGAGATGGTGTCTCACTCTGTTGCCCAGGATTGCAGTGGTACGATTGTAGCTCACTGTAGCCTTGAACTCCTCAAGCAATCCTCCTGCCTCAGCCTCTCATGTAGCCAGGATCACAGGTGCATGCCACCATGCCTGGCTAATTTTTATTTTATTTATTCATTCATTCATTCATTCATTTTTTTTGAGATGGAATCTTGCTCTGTCACCCAGGCTGGAGTGCAGTGGTGTGATCTCAGCTCATGGCAACCTCCACCCCACGGATTCAAGCAATTCTCCTGCCTCAGCCTCCCCAGTAGCTGGGATTACAAACATGCATCACCACGCCCAGCTAATTTTTGTATTTTTAGTAGAGATGGGGCCATGTTGGCTAGGCTAGTCTTAAACTCCTGAGTCAAGTGATCTGCCCACCTTGGCCTCCCAAGGTGCTGGGATTACAGGTGAGAGCCACCGTGCCTGGCCTAATTTTTTTTTTTTTAATAGAGACGAGGTCTTGCTATGTTGTCCAGGCTGGTCTAAAACTTCTTGCCTCAAGCAGTCCTCCAGTCTCATCCTCCCACAGTGCCGAAGTTACAGATGTGAGCCACCATACCCGGCCCATTCTATGTCTTAATTATAGAACTAATAATTAGGGATAAAAAAGCCAACTACTCCTTACTGAAATAAGATTAGCAATGGAGTGGACAAAAATTCAATATCAGTCCAAAGCAATAAACAGTAATATTTTTAAAATTCAGCTGGCCAGGCACAGTGGCTCACGCCTGTAATCCCAACACTTTGGGAGCCGAGGCGGTTGGATCACAAGGTCAGGAGTTCCAGACCAGCCTGGCCATTATGGTGAAACCCCGTCTCTGCTAAAAATACAAAAATTAGCCAGGCATGATGGCGTGTGCCTGTAGTCCCACCTACTCTGGAAGTGCCACCACTTGTGTGGCAGAAGACTTGTTTGAACCCAGGAGGTGGAGGTTGCAGTGAACTGAGATCGCGCCACTGCCCTCCAGCCTGGGCAACAGAGCAAGACTTCGTCTCAAAAATAAAAAATAAATAAATAAAAAATAAAAAAATTCAGCCCTCGATAATTCATTATTAGATCATCAGAGTCAACGTGTATATTGGATATAACAGGTACGAATGTAATATTTGATAGCTGATTAAATAAATGAATTCATTTTATTGATGATAGGACTTTAAGTAATGTCCTGAAAATCTACAGAGGAGGAACTTATGAGTAAAGAGAAGCTAGACTAAAATAAATACCTTTTCCAACCAAGACCCAAGAAAATAAAGGATTTCTGCAAGACCTTTCAACTTGTGATTTTTGTGGGCCCACCAATTCTCATAAAGATCTTTTATATTTCTGATACATGATTATATAATACAAGTTATAATTTTTTCAGCTTTTGTTTTACTTAGTAATATCCATTTATAGCTTAGTTTAATAGGTGGTACATAAAAGTAATTTATGTACTTTTCCTTATGAAAAATTGAGTATAGGCAAGCTCACCAAAGTACTAGACTTCTAAAACCCAAGTCTAGACCTTTGAGGAGTTCATGTGCACACAATGAAGTGGAGGCCAGTGGGAAGTGGAGAGAATGGGGATAAAGTAACTGACTGGAAAGTAGGCTACAGGGTAGAAATCGACAGATCTTTAGTAGAAAAGGGGATTTCAATGAAAGGAGGCAGTATTAGCAATAAAGTCATAACATAGAAAAGTCACTGTCTAGTCTAATCATTTACAAACTTAAAAAGAAGTAGAAGCTTTTATTCAAATCAAAACTTATGTAGAATACCAATATGATAAATATATAAAGGTTGAGCCGTTTGGGTCGAAACAAGGTTTGACATGTATAGGAAACAAAATCCCATCCCTCTTGAGCCTCTCTATCTCTATCCTAGTGGGCCCTAGAGAGCACAGTTTAAAACAGCTGAACTAGGCTGGGTGCAGTGGCTCACACCTGTAATCCAGGTGCTTTGGGACGCCAAGGCAGGAGAATTTCTTGAGGCCAGAAGTTCAAGACCAGCCTGGGCAGGATCGTGAGATCCCATCTCTACCAAAAAAAAAAAAAAAAAAATTAGGCCAGGCATGGTGGCTCATGCCTGTAATCCCAGCACTTTGGGAGGCTGAAGCGGGTGGGTCACCTGAGGTCAGGAGTTCGAGACCAGCCTGACCAACATGGTGAAACCCCGTCTCTACTAAAAATACAAAATTAGTTGGCTGTGGTGGCGCATGCCTGTAATCCCAGCTACTTGGGAGGCTGAGGCAGGAGAATCACTTGAACCCAGGAGGGAGAGGTTGCAGTGAGCTGAGATCTCGCCATTGTACTCCAGCCTGGGCAACAAGAGTGAAACTCTGTCTCAAAAAAAAAAAAAAAAAATTAGCCAGACGTGGTGCACGTCTGTGGTCCCAACTACTCAGGAGGCTGAAGTGGGAGGATTGCTTGAGCCCAGGAATTCAAGGCTGCAGTGAGCTATGATTGCACCTGTGCACTCCAGTCTGGACAGCAGAATGAGATCCTGTCCCACACACAAAAATAAAGAAACCCCCCCCTGCAATGTAGCCTGACCAGCAGGCAGATGTTAGACATTAATGTGTAATAGGGAAGCATTTTCCTCAGGCTTTCAAAGATGGGAAATTATTGTGGATTGTTTTCTTACCCCCTACCAGAAAAGAGTGCTTCACCATTGAGGTGGCCTGCTGGAAAAATCACTCCACTAATTTGAGAGTCTTCCCTTGAACTTTTGTGGTTCTGGCTTTGTGTTTTTTAGCTCTTGAATGTCGTCTCTCAACTAGCCAAACGGAATCTGCGACTGCTGGTCCTAGGCCGGAAGCACATGCTAAGACGGAGTTCCCAGTGGAGTCGGGATGAGATGGAAGAGGTGCAAAAGCAAGCCAGCTGTTTTTTTGCTGATGACATGTAAGTGTTGGAGGTAATAGGTGAATTATACTGTGCTGCAGACATCTATCTGCTTGTTAGTTACCTACTTTAAACCTATCTTTTAAATGCATGTGTATGTGTATACTCACCCTCATTAAAAAAAAAAAAAGATTTGAGACAACTTACAAAACTACGGTTTCTTCTAAAAAAGAAAAACACTACAGTTTCTACGGCAGGATAAACTTAAACAGATGAGGAAATCAGGATAAAGGAGAAGTGGAGGGAAGTTAAGTCAGGAGTGAGATTAGTACACCGAATACATGCCATAAGATCCTAAGTAGATCATTTAGCAAATACTTGACAAACAGGAGCACCTTCTATGTTCTTGGAGAAAGAGCAGTGAAAAAGACAAAGTCCCTGCCCTCTTAGAATTTACAATAAACAGATAAACAAACAGGTAATGTCATTCCAGGCAGTGATTAGTACTATGGGGACAATAAAGCAAGGTAGATAGAATTTAGGTAAGGGATAGGTCAGAGGGTTGTGAATGGGGTGGTCAGGAACAGCCTTTCTGAGGGGGCAGATTCGATGAGGAGTGAGTTATTTGAGAAATGGGGAGAGGTGGTGGGAAGACCATCCCAAATAATACGAAATATTTAAAAAGCCCCGATGCAGGCCGGGCTCAGCCTGTAATCCCAACACTTTGGGAGGCCGAGGCGGGCAGATCACGAGGTCAGGAGATCAAGACCATCCTGGCTAACGGTGAAACCTCATCTCTACTAAAAATACAAAAAATTAACCGGGCATGGTGGCGGGCGCCTGTAGTCCCAGATACTGAGGAGGCTGAGGCAGGAGAATGGCGTGAACCCGGGAGGCGGAGCTTGCAGTGAGCCGAGATCGCGCCACTGCACTCCAGCCTGGGCAACAGTGCGAGGCTCCATCTCAAAAAAAAAAGGAGCCCAAAGGAGCCCTGAGGCAGGCATAAGCTTGGCATGTGTTTGAGGAAAGCAACACGGCCAGTTGGGCTATAATAGCAAGAGGGAAAGTAATAAGCTCTGAGATTAGAGAGAAGGCAGAAACCGCAATGCAGAGGACCTTGCAGATCCTGGTAGACAAGCAAGAGGCCTAGATTTTATTCTAAGTGTAGGGAGAAAATTGCTGTTGAGCTGCAGCTTCCCAGGAAGCCAAAGGAACCATGGTAAACATGGTCAGTAACAAAACCTACAGTAAGCCAGCCACAGTGGCTCATGTCTATAATCCCAGCACTTTGGGAAGCCAAGGCAGGCAGATCACTCAAGATCAGGAGTTTGAGACCAGCCTGGCCAACATAGTGAACCCCATCTCTACTAAAAATACGATTAGCCAGATGTGGTGGCACACGCCTTGTAGTCCCAGGTACTCGGGAGGCTGAGGCAGCAGAATCACTTGAACCTGGAAAGCCGAGGTTGCAGTGAGCCAAGATCGTGCCACTGCACTCCAGCCTGGGTTACGGAGTGAGACTGTCTCAAAAAAAAAAAAAAAAAAAAACAACCCACAAACCTACAGTAGCCATAAAGTAAGAAGAAAATAGCTAATTAGGAGGAGTACAGATCCGCAACAGCACATATGAACTCAATGCACTGTTGTGCATTGAGGTTTTCATATTGTTTGTGCTAACAAAAGTTTATTTCCAACTTTGCTTAATGAGTGTATATGCCTCAGCCCCAAATCTAGGTTTCATAGTCTGAATGTGATAACTTCAAGATTTGTCAGTATTCTCCAAATCATTTATTTTATTGAGACGGAGTCTCACTGGGTCACCCAGGCTGGAGTACAGTGGCACAATCTTTGCTCATGGCAACCTCCACCTCCCGGGTTCAAGCGATTCTCCTGCCTCAGCCTCCCAAGTAGTTGGGATTACAGGCACCCGCCACCATGCCCAACTAATTTTTGTATTTTTAGTGGAGATGGGGTTTCACCATGTTGGCCAGGCTGGTCTCGAACTCCTGACCTCATGATCCACCCACCTCAGCCTCCCAAAGTGCTAGGATTACAGGCATGAGCCACCTCGCCTGGCCCCCAAATCATTTATTATTTAAAAAGTACAGTAGCTCTCAATCATAAAGCAAGGGAGAAGCAAACCTCTCATCCAGTTCCCAAACCACATCCCTTCTTTTTTTAGCTGGAAGATGGTGCTTCCATTTCTCCAAGAGCAGAAGACCTAATGGCAACATTGGGTAGACAGTAAGATTGTAGGCTTGGGAATTAGTTTACCCAGGTTGAGATCATGGCCCTGCCACTCCCTGTCTGGGAAAGGTTTTTCCTTTCTCTCTGTCTTCCTTATCTCTTGTGTAACTTTTATGGGGTTGTTTTAAGGATTAAATAAGATAATATGTGTAAATAACTCATGTAAAACTCTTGGCATAGCACCAAGTACATGGAAAACATATATGTTAGTTGCTGTCATGATCATTATTATTTTCCTTATATGGAAAAATTAGATAAATTTGAAGTGTTATGACCAAGAAGCCTGTTGGAAAGTGGTCTCACTGCTTGGTTTGGGGTCTGTATTTATTGCATCAGCTGAAATTCCAAACTCAGTTGTAACGATCAATTCACTGACCTTCTTTGTCGCTTTGGATTTGAATATTTAAGTGTTTAACATTAAATCTGTTTTCCACTAATGTGCCAAAGAAGCTTTTCAAACATACACTAGAGAGAATAATATAGTGAATAGTGAGTCCTCATGTAACTGTCACCCGGCTCCAACAATTACCATCATTTTGCTAATTTTGTTCCATAAACCGAATACATTTTTTCTTTTTCTTTTTTTTCTGGAGAGTTATAAGGCAAATTTTGTCATTTTATCATTTCACTTGAAATACTTCAGGATAAAGAAAACTTTAAATGGTCCTATTTAGGGTCATTTGAATCAAGGCATAGGGCATATCACAAGTTGCTGTCTGAATCTCCTAAAGCAAGGTCGTTACTGCCATTTTTACAGCACATTTATTAAAATAATAAGTGCTAAGGTTGATGGTCTGTTGGAGGCTTTGAGTCACTGGCTCTTACCAAAGAAGATGTTTTGGGGTGCTGATCCAGGTGACTGTCTAGAAGCTGCTCTGAAATACCAGTTCAGCTTTAGGGGCAGCCAGTTATTTGGTGGCTTGCAAGAAAGTCTCATCCTGCCCTAGTAGTATTTTGGGTGTTTCTTGAATTTGGGTGAAGAGAGAGGGAAAAGGTGTGCTCTGTGATAGATAAGGCAAATAGGAAAAATGCCCAAAGAGAAGCAACTTTTAAGTGTGAAGAGAGCATTGTTAGAATTCATCGTTCTAGTGGAAGAGTCCAGTGAGCTGTGAGAATCCCAGGCATTAGCATTCTGTTCCCCTCAGCTTTCCATCTGTGTTCTAGATAGTATTGCTTACCAGCTAAGGACTTTGAGGTGGTTCTTAAGTATTACTAGCATCATGTTGGTCAAGAAATCAGAGGCACCTCCAAGGAAAGTAAGTAAAAAGTACGGTGAAAAACACTGTCCTCTGCCTCTTCAGCTGTGCTTGATTGTGTCCTTTCTTATGCCTGGTTCAGCTCGGAGGATGATCCATTCCTTCTGTATGCCACACTGCACTCCGGGAATCACTGCAGGTTTATCACAAGAGACCTGATGCGGGACCACAAGGCCTGTCTGCCTGATGCCAAGACCCAACGCCTGTTTTTTAAGTGGCAGCAGGGACATCAGCTGGCAATTGTAAATAGGTTTCCAGGATCAAAACTAACCTTTCAGGTAATGGTACCTGTTCTTTATGTAATATTAACAGAGTCAAGTATACAGTAAGAATGTGGCATAGAAAAAGAGTGTCACAACTAATTGAAGGTTGCAAATGCTTTATTTTTCTCAGTTTTAGGTTAGTATTTGGAACTAGCCAGGTCCTAGAAAGAGTCTGCTAGAGTTTTCATAGGCCAACCTCAAATTAATTAAAACACTTAGGGGCCAGGCGCAGTGGCTCACACCTGTAATCCCAGCACTTTGGGAGGCCGAGGTGGGCAAATCATGAGGTCAGGAGATCGAGACCATCCTGGCTAACACGGTGAAACCCCGTCTCTACTAAAAGTACAAAAAAAAAATTAGCCAGGCGTGGTGGCGGGTGCCTGTAATCCCAGCTACTTGGGAGGCTGAGGCAGGAGAATGTCATGAACCCTGGAGACAGAGCTTGCAGTGAGCCGAGATCACGCCACTGCACTCCAGCCTGGGCGACAGAGCAAGACTCCGTCTCAAAAACAAAAAACAACATTTAGGATATACCAGTTTTGACTTCAATTAATTATGTCACAAATTATGACTTCTTTTTTTTTTTTTTTTTTTTGAGACGGAATCTCACTCTGTCGCCCAGGCTGGAGTGCAGTGGTGCAATCTCAGCTCACTACAGCCTCCGCCTCCCAGGTTCAAGCGATCCTCCTGCCTCAGCCTCCCAAGTAGCTGGGACTATGGGCACATGCCACCACGCCGAGCTAATTTTTGTATTTTTAGTAGAGGTGGGGTTTCACCATGTTGGTCAGGCTGGTCTTGAACTCCTGAGCTCATAATCCACCCACCTCAGCCTCCCAAAGTGCTGGGATTACAGGCGTGAGCCACCATACCCGGCCATAAATTATAACTTCTTACATGTGTTTTTTATTTTTGTTTATTTGCAATAGCTCAAATTCTTTATTTCTTATAGTTTGTTATACTTCTGCTAAGTAATTTGTTTTCCCTGTTTAATTCATTTCTATGACAGTCTCAATTGAATTCTCCTTTGATTCTAGTTAAGATATCTATAATATAAGGACACATCTTGTGTGAAAGCAAAGGGAGAGAATCCAAAGTGAGTTATTACAGAAAAGTACACTGGCCCGTGGTATAATAAATAAGGTTCAATTATCAAAAAATATTGGCTGGGCGTGATGGCTCACACCTGTAATCTCAACACTTTGGGAGGCCAAGGCAGGTGGATCACTTGAGGGCAGGAGTTGAAGACCAGCCTAGCCAACATAGCGAAAACCTCATCTCTACTAAAAATACAAAAATTAGCCAGGCGTGGTGGCGTGTGCCTATAATCCCAGCTACGTGGGAGGCTAAGGTACAAGAATCGCTTGAACCTGGGAGGCAAAGGTTTCAGTGAGCCAAGATTGTGCCACTGCTATCCAGCCTGGGTGACAGAGCGAGACTCCGTCTCAAAAAAAACAAAAAAAAACAACAAAAAAAAAACGGAGATGTTGGTCAAAGGAGAAAAAATTTCAGTTAGATAAGAGGAATACGTTCCATGATGACTGTAGTTAATAATAACAATGTGTTGTATCATTGAAAATTGCTAAGAGTAGATTTTAAATGTTCTCACCACAAAAATTGTAAGTATATAAGGTAATGCTCATGTTAATGAGCTCAATTTAGCTATTCTACAATGTATGCATATTTCAAAAACATGCTATACATGATAAATATGTATAATTGTTATTCGTCAATTTAAAAATAAGTAAGAAAGGCTGGGTGCAGTGGCTCACTTGTGTAATCCCAGCACTTTGGGAGGCCGAAGCAGGAGGATTGCCTGAGCCTAGGAGTTTAAGACTAGCCTGGGCAACATGGTAAGACCATGTCTCTATAAAAGTAAGTAAATAAGAATATCCAAAACAATAAATTTATAGTAAATGTGGTATTAAATGATACCATAGTGATTCAAGATATAGTTGAAGAACTATTAATTCTTAAGTATAATAAAGGTATAAAGGTATTGATCTTACATTTATAAAATAAGACCTTATTTCTTAGAGATACATACTGAAGTATTACAGAAGAAATTACATATCTGAGATGGGAGGGCAGCGTATGGATGAAATAAGACTAGAGATGAATTGATAATGGCTGAAGCTAGGTGATGAGTACATGAGAGTTCATTATAGCATTTCTCTACTTTTGTTTACATTTGTCCCTTGGTATCCATGAGGAATTGGTTTCAGGACCTCTCACAGATACTAAAATCCTCAAATGCTCAAGTCCCTTATATAAAATGGCATAGTATTTGCATATAACCTACACACATCCTCCTGTGTACTTTGAATCATCTAGATTATTTATAATACCTAATACAATGTAAATGCTATATAAATAGTTGTTTCTGTATCTTTTAGGGAATAATGCCAAGAAGAAAAAAAGTCTGTACATGTTCAGAACACAGTTTTTTGTTGTTGTTGTTGTTTTGTTTTGTTTCGTTTTGTTTTCATATATTTTCAATCTGTGGTTGTTTGCCAGGGATACAGAACCTGCAGTTGTGGAAGGCTGACTGGATTTGAAATTTTTCACTCTCACACACAAAACTGATAGAGCCAACAAAAGAACGTCTGTATTACATAAATGTAATGCTTCTACAGAGAGTCTTTAGACTTAAAAATGAGACCCCTCAAAAAAAGGAACTCCTAATATTAGGGCTCATCTTCACAGAGTTTGCTGCTGTTTGAAAATCCATTATTAAGTGAGATAATCCATTATCAATACTCTTCTGGAGCAAACTTGAGAAGTGTCAGAAAGAGAAATGGCCAAGTAGCCCTTTAGTGTTGTTCTCAATGTTTTGTTCTCTTTTTAATTCAACAGCGTATTCTCAGCTATGACACAGTGGTGCAAACAACTGGAGACTCGTGGCACATACCATATGATGAAGACTTGGTAGAAAGATGTTCCTGTGAAGTACCAACCAAATGGCTTTGCCTCCACCAAAAGACATAGAGATTCTTACCTCTATGCTAAGTTTGTGTTTGGGTACCCTCTAGGTTGGCATCAGAGGCTCTTGAGCTGGTGTTTGTTTAGGGCATTGCCTCTGTCCTGAAGATAAAAGGATTCTATTAACAGCATTGACATTGATTTTTTAATGAAATGAGATATATCTTTTCATAACCAGCTGCGTTTTTTTCCCCTAACATTTGTTTTTGGAGGCTTATCAAGAGTTGGAGAACTTAGTGTAGAGCAAAACCTGCATTTCTCCTACTGGGCCAGCTATTCCACTTAGCTTGGGTGACTAATAGTGCTTTTGGTATCCATTTTTTGCTACTTCTGACCTTGCCTTCCAGGCCTACCAATAGCAGAATCAATCCATCTGTCCCTGAGATACTCATGTTGTTTCAAATGCCTCCTCCCATTTCTGGCATAGTCTCATTCTCTGTATGTTATGCCCTATCCACATGGAATCATTTATCGTCCTCTGTAATAAACTGGCCAAGATACTAAAGGCTTACTATTCATAGCAGTTTTTAATTACTTATCATCCAATTATTTGGATTGGAGAAGAGGGGGCATTCACTCCTCTTTTTCTTATTTTTTTTGGAAATAGAGTCTCAACTTACTCTGTCGCCAGGGCTGGAGTGCAGTGACGTGATCACAGTTCACTGCAGCCTCAAACTCCCAGGCTCAAGCAATCTTCCTACCTCAGCCCTCCTGAGTAATTGGGACTACAGGCATGTATCACCAGGCTTGGCTAATTTTTTTTTTTTTTTTTGTAGAGATGGCTGTCTCACTCTGTTGACAAGACTAGTCTCCAACCCCTGGCCTCAGTCGATCCCCAGCAATTTGGGAGATTGAAGCGAGAGAATCACTTGAGTCTAGGAGTTCAAGACCAGCCTAGGCAACATAGTAAGATCTCATTTCTACAAAAAATTTAAAAATTAGCCAGGCATGGTAGTTTGCACACATAGTCCCAGCTACTTTGGGGGCTGAGGTAGGAGGATTGCTTGAGCCTCAGAGGTCAAGGCTGCAATGAGCCAACGTTGCACCACTGCACTCTAGCCTGGGTGACAGAGCGAGACCTTGTCTCAAAACAAAACAAAGTGCTGGAATTGCAGACTTGAGCCACAGTGCCCAGCCTCACTTCTCTAGACTATGATGGTTTTTTCTTCATTCTATAATCTCTTTTCCAAATTGGTTCAACATTTTGTGAACACTATTAATTTCATCATTCAGTATATGTGGGCTTTCTAAAATATGCCAATTTTTTTCCACTTAATCAAGTTTGACTTAATTTAACAAAGTGATTATATTTTAATAGTTACATTTCTGTTTTTTCCACTCACTAGCCAGCTTACAGTTTATTAGCCCTTGATTTCAGCTGAAAATATTCATGTCTGCACCCCTTCATGATAGTTCTTTCTTTACGTATACATACTGTATTCAATATGCAAGAACAGGCAAAAACTACTCTATTGTGATAAAAATCAGAATAGTAATTGCCTGAGGAAAGGGATATGAGAGAACTTGAGAGAACTTTCTCGGGGTGATGGAAAGTTTCTTATATTGATTTGGGTAATAGTAACATAGCTATATGTATATATTAGTTAAAATTCCTCACACTAAACATTTTAAATTGATATATTTACATTTATGACAATATACCTCAAAGTAAGTTAGGGTAAGAAAAGATAATTACTTACATGAAATAAACAATGACCTCTTTTATATCAAACCATATACATGTGTATAATTAGGGTATGTATTATGCACAGAGAAACAATTTAGGAAAATCCAAGGAGGGGACGTTTTATCTTCTTACCTATTTACTGAATGCAACATTACTGCACACCAAGACAAAAGAGCTCTCCAGGAAAACATTGGATATATTGAGAGCATTAAAAGATACTGCAAAAGCTCTAATAAATTCAGTCTGCTTATTTTCCAAATTTCATAAACTACATACTTAGGAAACTGTGCTTTCAGTGAGCTAAACTTCTTTTTTTAAGTAACTATCATAGTTTTAAGAAAAACATTTTAAGAAGACAAAAAGTATTTATTAAGCCCATCTAAAAGGCTAATGCAAATTCCCAAAAAAGGAGCACATAGAGATAGAGGAGGAGGCCGAAGTGGTGGCTCATACCTGTTAATTCCAGCACTTTGGGAGGCCAAGACAGGAGGATCACTTTAGGCCCAGAGTTGGAGACCAACCTGGGCAACATAGCAAGACCCTGTCTCTTAAAAAAAAAAAAAAAAGACGGGAGAAGCTACAAGAAGAAAACTAGAACTTTAGAGCAGGAGTAACCTTAGAGCATGTAAAGTCCATTTTGGAGATGAGGAACAGACCCAGGAAGATGACCTGGCTTCCCTGAATCCCACGGCTAGTTAGTGCAGACATTTCAGCCATAACCCAGCTCTTCTAATTCCCAAATACTCTTTCTTCTACTGGCACATAGAGATGGGGGAGGAGTCAGGGCATGGTGGCCCACACCTACAGTTCCAGCACTTTGGGAGGCCAAATGGGAGAATTGCTTGAAGCCAGGAGTTGGAGACCAGCCTAGGCAACACAGGGAGACCCGTGTCGACAAAAAATTTAAAAATTAGCTGGGCATGGTAGCACATGCCTGTGGTCCCAGCTACTCAGAAGGCTGAGGTGGGAGGATCACTTGAGCCCCAGAGGTCAAGGCTACAGTGAGCTATGATCATGCTACTACACTCCAGCCTAGGTGACAGAGTGAGACCCTGTCTCAAAGGGAGGGAGGTAAGAATGAGAAGAAGGAACAGGGGTGTACCTCTTTTAAGGGCCCAAGTATCCTGAATGGCTCAGCAGTATAGAACATTGTGGTAGAGAAATTACATTTTAAAATAACTCTAATACTGTTTAGAAACAAAACCCTAACTTCTGCTTGAGATAAACTGAAGTGCATCTGTCCCTTGTCCAGGAGTGGGGAACCATTGTAGGGTTGCTCAGCATAAGTCATACTGCCACGGTGACCTTGAGGAGTGCAGGGATTCCCTGAAGGAAGCAGCTGGTACCAGACACTTAGGCTGCCCATTTGTGTTCTGATCATTTGAGTGAAAAAAAGGTACCTGTCAAGCAAGCTCCTGGACACCACAAGAAGGAGGAATTATTTTAAAAGCTGTACTCTTAAATTGTTAGTATCTTTAAAATCAGTTGTGAACAATGAAGGATTTGAAAGAGCATTGACTTTGCCACTTAAAAGTATTTCTAAAATACTTTGTGCTTCCCCCTTGCATTCTGAATTTATACACTTTTCCTCCTGCTGTTCTCAGACCCAGTGGAAAGAAAATCTCAAGGAAGAAGGCTGAGTTTATTCTCTCAGGGCTCTGTTGGGTCTACCTCATCTGAGGTGGCTTATTCTTCATAGGAAATTAATTTTTCTTCTCAAGTATGCACTTAAATATAATTACTGCTTCCTTGGTCCTCTAGCAGATTTCTCACTTTTATTTATTTTTTTTTTTGAGACAGAGTCTTGATCTTTTTTCATCTAGGCTGGAGTGCAATGGTTTGATCTCAGTTCACTGCAACCTCTGCCTCCTGGGTTCAAGCAATTCTCATG
Organism: Homo sapiens; assembly: GCF_000001405.40. Classification (NCBI taxonomy): domain Eukaryota; kingdom Metazoa; phylum Chordata; class Mammalia; order Primates; family Hominidae; genus Homo; species Homo sapiens. The sequence goes on from NC_000014.9 coordinate 35,277,139, forward strand.
CCTCTGCCTCTCGGGCAGCTGGAATTACAGGCATGCGCCATGACGCCTGGCTAATTTTTGCATTTTTAGTAGAGACGGGTTTTCACCATGTTGCCCCGGTTGCTCTCAAACTCCTGACCTCAGGTGATCCACCCACCTCAGCCTCCCAAAGTGCTGGGATTACAGGTGTGAGTCACCCCGCACAGCCTGAAATGAGGCATCTCTATCTATAGTCCAGCAGCCCTACAGGAGGCAGGAGGGGAGCAAGAATAAGAAAGGAAATTTGTAAAAGGCACTTAGGAGTGAGCAGAAAGGAAATAGGACCAGCTTTTACCTGCCCAGTCCTGGCCAGTGACAAGCAGTCTGCTTGAGTCTGTGCTAAATAAACAAAGGAAGTTCCATTTAGAGCTCTACAGAGGGGAAGCCATAGAAATTAACAGGATGAAAATACAAGAGACAGGAACACAGATGAATAAATGTAATAAAATTTGAGAAATAATCTTTACTTTTATCATCTCCATTTATGCTTTTTCATGATGTCCTGACGTTCCCTCTCCCCAAGTTTAGTTTTTTGTTTTTGTGGGTTTTTTTGGCATTATTTGATCTGACGAGTGCTTCCAGAGGTTCTACTACATACACAACTTGCTTTTAACTGGTAATGGAAATAAACAGGAAGACAATTATCTAGTCACTGATGGCAGCTAAAAATTATTTTGCTACCAGAGTGCCCTCAGAAGTATACTCTTATCTAATGGATCGAGTTATTATGATAACTGTGGTAATTTGTTGTTATAAATAGCAGTAACATAGGAAGGTTTTGGTAACTTCTGACAAGAAATTTGATGTAGAGAGTTAATTTCGAGCACATTAAAATGACTGTCCCACTCATCTCTTCAGTGCTATTTAAAAGCCAGCCCAAGAAGCAAATACTTGAGAAATCAATAGTAGGGGCTTTAATTTTGAATATGATAGACATTAATTCATTTTAATGAGACCAGGTCAGATTGCCTCATCACTCTCAGATGGACTAGAACATTATATAGATACCAAGTTCAGTTCACATCTAAATATTTAAAGTCTACTATTAAAAGAGGTTTCCTGGCCGGGTGCAGTGACTCATGTCTGTAATCCCAGCACTTTGGGAGGCCGAGGCGGGAGGATCACCTGAGGTCAAGAGATTGATTGAGACCATCCTGGCCAACATGGTGAAACCCCGTCTCTACTAAAAATACAAAAATTAGCTGGGCATGGTGGTGTGCGCCTGTAGTCCCAGCTACTCGGGAGGCTGAGGCAGGAGAATTGCTTGAACCCGGGAGGCGGAGGTTGCAGTGAGCTGAGATTGCACCACTGTACTCCAGCCTGATGACAGAGCGAGATTCCATCTCAAAAATAAATAAATAAATAAGGTTTCTTGTGCTTTCTATGACTGCATCAGAACAGAGAATGTCAGTATCCAATAGGATGCCAGTGGAATTCCCTGACGATTCCATCCATGCGGCTCTGCTGGAGCAGGGTAGTGTCCTAGGCTGGGAGAATGGGATGGAGCCTCCACCTCATGAAGTAGCTTCCTTTGGAGGTGGCTATGGCAGGTCTTCGGAGAGGTAAGTCCCTCACTCAGACTTGTTGCTTGAGATGTACTATATTACTGATTCTTTGAAAATAAATCATTCTTATATTTTATTCCTCTTTACAATGACCTTGCTCTAGAATCCCAAGTTGCTTTTTTTTCTATCCTGTGTTCCATGGCTGAGCAGTCTATTGCTATTAAGTTGTTGTACGTATATATTTTTCTATGCATATATACTCATTTTTTGTTTTTCTATACATATATACTTATTCTCTAGGAACTCTTTCGTAACATGTTTTTTTCACCTGACAGAAAATGAAAAATTTTCCCTGTTCTTACAGTCACTTCTTCCTCATGTATTCTTTTTTGTGTGTGTGTTTGAGATGGAGTTTCGCTCTTCTCGCCCAGGCTGGAGTGCAGTGGCGCGATCTCGGCTCACTGCAACCTCCGCCTCCCTGGTTCAAGCAATTCTCCTGCTTCAGCCTCCTGAGTAGCTGGGATTACAGGCATGTGCCACTATGCCCGGCTAATTTTGTATTTTTAGTAGAGACAGGGTTTCTCCATGTTGGTCAGGCTAGTCTCGAACTCCAGACCTCAGGTGATCCGCCCACCTCGACCTCCCAAAGTGCTGGGATTACAGGCATGAGCCACTGCACTCGGCCTCATGTATTCTAATAATTAATAATGTAAATTCATAAAAAGGGGCAGCCAGCTTAAACTACAGCATTGCTGGACACCATAAAATAGTATTTGCATAGCTGTATACTCACAAACTGCTACTCAAGGCTTGCTTTGTTCAGAAGGAAATCTGTGTTCACAGAAGCTGAACCCTGATAATAGCTGTTGGCTCAAATTAAGGGTCACGTCCTTTGGCACTTAGCGCTATTCTGGCAGGAGTGGTCAAATCCTTGATGTAATGGGTCTTTTCTAAGTCAGGCCCTCTGATCTCCAACTCCTAAAGAAATAAACTCTGGTCAGGCCATGTTTTTGAAGAGAACGTCTAAGGAACAATTGCTGCTTTACACAGATAAAGAGCTTTTTACTGCTTAAAGCAAATCATGTAACTCTTTGTTCATCAACACACCAAGGGAAGTTTCTGTGAGGAAATCAGTATTGAATAGTTTGTACTTTATACATGTTATAAGAATGTACTTTTCGGGCCGGGCGTGGTGGCTCACGCCTGTAATCCCAGCACTTTGGGAGGCCGAGGCGGGCGGATCACGAGGTCAGGAGATCGAGACCATCCTGGCTAACACGGTGAAACCCCGTCTCTACTAAAAACACAAAAAAATTAGCCAGGCGTGGTGGCAGGTGCCTGTAATCCCAGCTACTCGGGAGGCTGAGGCAGGAGAATGGCGTGAACCAGGGAGGCGGAGCTTGCAGTGAGCCGAGATCGCGCCACTACACTCCAGCTCCAGCCTGGGCGACAGAGCAAGACTCCGTCTCAAAAAAAAAAAAAAGAATGTATTTTTCGGCCTGGCGCAATGGCTCACGCCTGTAATCCCAGCACTTTGGGAGGCCGAGGCAGGTGGATCACCTGAGGTCAGGAGTTCGAGACCAGGCTGGCCAACATGGCAAAACCCTGTCTCTACTAAAAATACAACAACAACAAAAATGTATTTTTCTTCCACTCCCATTGCCAGTATCACCAGAGATTCCAACTCCATCCACATTTTGGTCTCATTGTTTCTTTTTTTTTTTTTTTTCTTTTTCTTGAGATGGAGTCTCACTCTATCACCCAGGCTGGAGCTCAGTGGCGTCAATTTGGCTCACTGCAACCTCCACCTCCCGGATTCAAGTGATTCTCATGCCTCAGCCTCCCAAGTAGCTGGGATTACAGGCACGTGCCACCATGCCCACCTAATTTTTGTATGTTTAGTAGAGACAGGGTTTCGTCATGTTGGCCAAGCTGGTCTTAAACTCCTGACCTCAAGTGATCAGCCCACCTTGGCCTCCCAAAGTGCTGGGATTACAGGCATGAGCCACCACACCCAGCCTGGTCTCATTGTTTCTTAACTCTGGTCTCATGATTTGTTGTTGTTGTTTGTTTTCGAAATGGGGTCTCACTGTGTTGCCCAGGCTGGAGTGCAGTAGCTATTCACAGTGGTCATAGCTCACTGCAGCCTCAAACTCCTGGGCTCAAGCGATCCTCCTGCCTCAGCCTCCCAAGTAGCCGGGATTACAGGCATGCACCACCACACATACCTGATTTTGTGACTTTTGGCTCCCTATGAGATGGCCAACCTTTTTGATTAGTTTCAGGATTTTAAACTTTCAAGTTCCTCATTTTGTCCACAACCTCCTTACCTGCCCCACTCCTTTAACCCAACCACCACTGGGTTAAACCACCATTGACCTGTTCTTAGACCTATCCCTTCCTCACCCAGGAAGCCTCTATTGACCTTTCCCATCTGACTTTGCTTGCCTTTCTCCCTACCCTGCCTCTCAAAGCATTCATGGGAGGGATGGCTTCAATAGCAGTGCAAATTCTTTCATACTTTTTACCTCCTTTGGTCTCCATCTTTTCAGTTCTAAACCTTATTTTGAGTAGCCACAAACCATTCCACTTTCTCCACTCCTGTATACCATAGTATTGCTAGAAAAGTCATGAAATTCCCATTAATTTCCTGAAAGAGCTCTCCCAACCTTTGCAGTCTTAACTCTGCAAAGGTAAGTTGCAAGCAGCTAATCTCCTGGAGCCTTCATTTCCTTTTCTGTTAAGTGGGGAAGATGGGCCATCACAGTGCTTCTCAAACTTAATAGGCATAGAATCACCTGGGGATCCCACTCAAAATGCCAGTTCTGATTCAGGTCTGACATACCCCGTGATGCCAATGCTGCAGACTGTAATTTGAGAAGTAAGGGCCTCAGTGAGCTCCACAATTATATAAAAAATAGTAACAAAACAACACCTGTGAGTCCAAGTCCTGAGTCAGTCTCATCATTCTCACACTCAGCAGACTTAACTGGAAACTAAAAGCCATCTGTTATGAACCTCTTCATCAATGTTTGCCTTTTCCAATAATTTTCCTCTCCTGAATCTTTTCTCCCTTTTCTTCCCTAGGTTACTTAAAAAGAAATTTTTTTTTAAATTATAAAATAGAGACAGGATCAGGTTGGTCTTGAACTCTTTGCCTCTATCAGTCCTCTTGCCTTGGCCTCTCAAGGTGCTAGGATTACAGGCATCAGCCACTACTCCTGGCCCTAGGTTACTTTTTCTACCTACATCCACGCTGTTCCTTCTTTCTGAATTGGGATCTTGTTCTCAGTTAATCCCTTTCCTCCAGCTCTTTCCCATTTACTTACAAATACCTTTAGGCTCTGACTGGACAAAACTGTGCTTTCCCAGGGATAGTTTCATAGCAACATTCTCAAAAGAAGGCACCATCTCTGCCATTGGTTTCTTTCCAATTCCACATTTGCAGCTGACCAACTTCACCTGAGACACTCAAACTGAACCACTTTGAAAACAGCTTATTCATAATAGTGTAATTGACAATAATGAAATTGGAAGTAACTATTCAAAATAAGGGAAGAAGTAAATAACTGTAATTTAATTTTTTATTTTTTGAGACAGGGTCCTGCTGTCACCCAGGCTGATGTGCAGCAGTGTGATCATGACTCACTGCAGCCTTGACCTCCTGGACTCAAGCAATCCTCCTGCCTCAGCCTCCTGAGTAGCTGGTACTACTGGCGCACTCTACCACCCCCAGATAATTTTCTAACTTATTTGTAAATTAAAAAAAAATTTTTTTTTTTACAGACAGGGTCTCACTATGTTTCCCAGGCTGGTCCTGAACTCCTGGCCTCAAGCAATCCACTTATCTCGGCCTTCCAAAGCGCTGGGATTACAGGATGAGCCATTGCACCTAACCTAAACGTAACTTTTAACGTTGCAATGATTAAAATGATACTTTGCACTTTGGGAGGTCAAGGCAGGAGGATTTCTTGCATCTAGGAGCTCAAGACCAGCCTGGGAAGCATGGTGAGATTCCCCCCATCTCTACAAAAAAGACAAAAATTAGCTGGGCACGGTGGCATGTGCCTGTCGTCTCAGCTACTCAGGAGGTTGAGGTAGGAGGATTGCTTGAGCCTGGGAGGCACAGGTTGCAGTGAGCCAAGATCGAGCCACTGCACTCCAGCCTGGGCAACAGAGTGAGACCCACACAGCCTGGGCAACAGAGTGAGACCCCACAGGGTCAGGCTGGAGTGCAAAGGAAAGATCTCAGCTCACTGCAACCTCTGCCTCCTGGGCTCAAGCGGTTCTCCTGCCTCAGCCTCCTGAGTAGCTGGGACTACAGGCGTGCACCACCACACCCAGCTAATTTTTTGTATTTTTTAGTGGAGTCAGGGTTTCACCATGTTGGCCAGGCTGGTGTCAAACTCCTGACCTCAGGTGTTCACTCACCTTGGCCTCCCAAAGTGCTGGGATTACAGGCGTGAGCCACCGTGCCCCACCGATACTTTGTACATTGGCATAGAATCAATGAAAAAGCAGCTCCAAAATAGTATGTCTAGTAAGATCCCATTTTTTAAATGAAGGAAAGAAAATACTTGGCTGGTCAGGTGTGGTGGCTCACACCTGTAATCCTAACACTTCGGGAGGCTGAGGTGGGAGAATCTTTTGAGCCCAGGAGTACGAGACCAGCCTGGGCAACACAGGGAGACCCTATCTCTACAAAAAAAAAAAAAAAGAGAGAGAAAGAGAAAAAATACTTGGAGGAAAATGTCTGGAAGGAATAACATTTCATTGATTCCACAATGTCAATAGGTATCTCTGGATGTTGGGTTGTGGATGATTTTTACTTCATCTTCTTCACAGTCTAAAATTTTTGCAATAGGTGTAATAGGATGTTAGACTAGAACTCTTTTTTTTTTTTTTTTTTTAGGAGATGGGGTCTCACTCTGTTGCCCAGGCTGGAGTGCCGTGATGCAATCATAGCTCACTGCAGCCTCGACCTCCTGGGCTCAAGCAATTATCCTGCCTCAGCCTCCCAAGTAACTGGGACCGCTGGCACACACCCTATAAGGTGGACACCACCACACCTGGTTAATTTATTTTTTGTAGATAAAGGGTTTTGCCATGTTGCCCAAGCTGGTCTCAAACTCCTGGGCTCAAGCAATCCTCCCAACTCGGCCTCCCAAAGTGCTAGGATTATAGATAGGCATGAGCCACCATGTCCAGCCTTTACAAATTTTTTGCAGATAATCTCTTCTTTCCATTCCTATTGCTGCTTACCCCAGTTCAGGCCTTCAAAAACTTTCACTTGGTCTATTATCAATAGCCTCCTGGCTGATGTCCCCAATGACAGTTCCTCATAAATACAGCTACAAGGTTTATCTTCCCAAAGCATAATTCTAGTCTTGCCACTCTCCTTGCTCAAAAACATTAAATGTCTCCCCGTAGCCTTCCAACTAGATAGAGCATAAATTCCTTAGCTTAGTATCCAAGGCCAGCTCCTTTCATTTGTACCCTAATCCAAAACATTTTTTGAGTCATACTTAGGTTAGGCTATTGCCTAGCTTGCCCTAAACACAGGATCTTTTTTCTTCCTCTGCTTGTTTATGCCACTCCCATTCCATGTTGCATTGTGGTGCCTCCCATATTGCTCCTAACATTGCTCTTAACACACCTGTTAAGAGTTCTCCCTGTTCTAAGCTGAGCTTGGACATGCATCTTCCAACAGGTAGTCTTACATTCCCTTTGGCCCGTGAGCATATAAGGTCATTTTCTCATCTGTGCTGCTCTGTTACACATTTCCTTGTGTATTACGGACTACCTCATGTTAGCTTTGCTTTCATTCATGTTTCATCTCCATGGAACTCTGGTGGGGACGCTGTCGGGTTCATCTGTGTGTCTCCCAGAGCAGCTAGCCCAGCTTCTTGCCCAAAGAGGGAGCTCAGTAAATGTTGAATTACTTTGGAGAATTTGTTTGAAAATATCTTCCTGATTTTTACCTCTAATGCCTACTTCTCCTTTAAGTGAATACCCCTCTTGCTCCTTGGTCTTTTGTGTGTGAGCTGGCTAAGTGGGAACTTAATCTGTGGTGTCTGATGCCTCACTGATCCTCAAAAAAACAGTAACTTCTCAGTGCCATCCTCTATAATCATATGATATCTTCAGTGAATTAAAGGTTTATTCATTAGACATCTACTCTGTACTTGGTACTGTGGTAACTGGGATAAAACTTGCTATGTACTTGTAAGACATCATCCCAGAGTTTTTAATCTTTGGAATGTTTCAGTGCCTAAATCTGCTGTCTGTGGTTGATTTTTGGAACTTGCCTTTGTTTCACCATTATGGATGAAATACATTTAGAGTGAAGTTTGAGGATCTCAGCTGAGGTTCATCAAGTCATTCAAAAGCAAGTAGAAAATAAAACTGGAGTCAGGTGCGATGACTGTAATCCCAGCACTTTGGGAGGCCGAGGCAGGAGGATCACTTAAGCCCAGGAGTTCAAGACCAGCCTGGGCAATATAGTGAGACATTATCTCTACAAAAAACTTAAAAATCAGCCAAGCATGGTGGTGCATGCCTGTAGTCCCAGCTACTTGGGAGGCTGAAGTGGGAGGATCGCCTGGGAGGCAGAGGTTGCAGTGAGCCAAGATCGTGCCACTGCACTCTAGCCAGAGTGACAGAGCAAAACTCTATCTCAAAAAAAACAAAAAACAAAAAAAAAAACCGTAGCACACTCTTGCTTTTCTATCAATAACTGGACTCTCAAGAACTGGTTTCTAAATTAGTGACTGAAAATATTGGTCAAAATGATCAGAAACCTCATTCATTTGCATTTTCTCTCTCCCTCTCTCCAATTACCCTCAAGAGAATTTGGTTCATTCTGAGCATCACAGATGACTTAATTTTGTGGTAAGAAAATAGGAATTAGAGTCAGCCAATTAGGAAACCTCAAGGAAGAGGAAGTGTCTCTAGGCTAAAGGGAAGGCTGTTGAGTCTTATTTCCTCTCTGTTCTTGACTCACTTTCTTAGTGACTGGCCAATCTCTGCACCTCCCTTTCCCCACCTTCAGGGAGCTGAGGGTGGGGGTGGGGAATAGAGTGAATAAAGTCTAAATAAAGTTCATAAAGATCCCAAGATGTAGGGAGGTACCATGAAATAATTGATCTTGCAGTTCCATCCCCCATCAACATTCATGGGTGAAGGCTGCATGTGTGTGTGACACGATAGGTAAGAATTAGCTGCTTTCCAAATTAAGACAGAGTGAGTTTCACTTCTGAATAATAGCAGTGTGCAGTGCAGGCCCATGCAGTACCTATTTGGTTTCATTCTTTACTAGGGATAGATCAAAGCGAAATAGCCAACAATTCAGGCCTTATTCATCAGTGCGCCCCCTCCTTTCACAAAGAAGCTGAGTTCCAGTCAAATAGTAGGTGGCTTAATTTCACCGTAGTGGACTTCTATGCCTTTTAAAGTGGGTACAGCATACTCACCTGTTTGAGAGAAGAAGAAACTGAGATTATGGTCACCAAGTAATCTGTGGCAAGGCTCAGATTCAAACCCAGTGCTGCTGACACTCAGAGCAGAACCTGACCATTTTCAAAGTTCACAATATGACCGTTCGCTTCTCCCACCCTTCCCCATCTTATTTTTCACTGGAACATTTGCTGTTCTCTCAAGCTATGAAGGGCTTCCTGTGTTAACATGCCTAAGGGGAAGCTGTATGTTAAAAACCACCAACGGTTAAGCCCAAGCCAGCTGGGGTCTTCCGTTGTTTCTTCCAGTATTGTGGGGAGACCCATGAGAATTCTCAGTGTTTTTCAAAGTCCTTGGCTTCCAGAAACAAGAAGCTGAGCATCGGGTTTTCATTTAAGACAGAGCTTGGAAAAACAAGAAATATCAAAAGCCGTAAGAGGATAATACTGAAGTTATTATAGCTAAAAAACAAGGGTGAACTGAAAAGCTAAAGGTTTTGGCTCTATAGAGGGGTTCATGTATAGTTGTATTTAAATGTCCTTTGGGTTGAAGTGATACAAGTTTATTCCCTCTCAAACCAAAGGACAGCATTTATTCTGGGGAATGGCTGAGATAATCCAGGCCCAGAACCACACTGACTGGTTAGTAAGGGGATGGCACAGAAGGGAAATGATAGTTGTGTGACTTCTATGTTGCTAAACACTGTATTGCATCCACCATTGGTTCCAGAGGGTAGAAGAACCACACTAGATGTTACAGACAAGGGGGCAGAGGAGGGTTGCTTTATTGGAATCTGGGGTTTGAAGGGCTTATGAGAAGCATAACCTCATGTAAGTTGCCTCATGTAAGTCACAGAAGTCACACCCCAAACCACATTTGGTGCTCCATTTGTCCGTTTCCTTTACCCATAAATTATAGAACTAGAGTAGAGAAAGTACCCTTTTCTCCTCCTCCAACACTCATCCAGAATGACTGAAGTCCTAGGTAGCCAACCATAGCTACTGGGGTGCAAGAAGAACTGAAGGATCTGAGAAAGACAAAAAAGGGAAAGATACAGAGCCAGGTTCTTGTCCTCAGGGAGGAAGCTCTGAATTAGTGAAAATCTGGCCAGAGAGCTGGGCAGAGTCCTACGTCCCTTTCTTTACCCAGAACTGCTACATCCCTAGCTCTGTCCTTATTACAGCTGTCCTTTGGGGCCCCTTAACATCAGGATACTCCTCTAAGATGCTGTATTGCAAGTGGCCAACTCACAGGGCACTGTGTTTCAACCCCTGCTAATATCATATGGAAACACAAATAGGCTTCTTTTTTTTTATTCCCTGGCTCACTGAAACTGCCGGCAGAGCACCTTAAGCTAAGGGCTACATTCTTATCTTGCCTTTAAACACCATGTGATTCAGCATGTCTGCAGTCTCTGGGAATCTACACTGCCACTTTCTACCTTTGCCTTGTGGGTAACCCTTACCTTCCACCTACCTCCACCCCCAGGGGAGAATGTGGGCCTTGCCAAACGGAGGCCCCCAGGAGATTTTCCAAGACTCACGAGATGTCAAGTCATCTCTAAATTTTTTCAAAAAACCAGAAAGTCATTTCAAAAAGTCTAACTTGATGGCCCCACAGAGAGGAAGATCAAACTTTCCACACAGACACAGCAAGTCTGCCACCCAGGCTTGTGTTAGAGCTGCAGTATTGGTACCCAGACATTTCTGAAAGCTCCCTGACCCAGGGGAAAGTCCACCTGAGTGAGTAGTTTAGCTGCTGCCCGGAGCCCGTTGGCACATATTCACGAAGTCGGCTTCCAGGGGATTTCCCTTTGAATGGAATTGGCAAACGTTTTGTCTTTCTGAAAGATTTCCCAGAGGAATTCATTTAGCTATGTGGAAAAATCTCAAATTCTAATATAAAATCTCTGACCTTTTAGGGTTTTGAAATTTGGATCTCTCATTTACTGACAAATCTTTTTGAATAAAGAAAAACAATTAACATAATAGAAAACCTAAACAGTGAGAATGCATATTCAACAAATGATTGGAGTGCTTACCTCAGGCTAGGCACTGTTTGGTATTGAGGATACACTGGTGAACAAAACAGATGTGGCTAGTTGGGCATGGTGGCTCACGCCTGTAATCCCAGCATTTTGGGAGGCCGAGGTAGGCGGATCACTTGAGGCCAGGAGTTTGAGACCAAACTGGCCAACATGGCAAAACCCTGTCTCTACTAAAAATGCAAAAATTAGCCAGGCGTGGTAGTGCACACCTGTAATTCCAGCTCCTTGGGAGGCTGAGGCACAAGAATCACTTGAACCCAGGAGACGGAAGTTGCAATGAGCCGAGATCGTGCCACTGCACTCCAGCCTAGGCGACAGAGCGAGGCTCCATCTCAAAAAATAAGCCAAAAACAACAACAACAACAACAAAAACAGATGTGGCCACCACCCTCAAGGAGCCTGATTTTTAATCCTAGCTTTCAATTTATGTTTGTGTTGAAAATGAGGTTGATTCCTTCCAGGAAGTATCCTTTAGAGTATTAAAATATATACACCATCCAAAATCCTATGCCCAGCTTAAATACCATACCACAAGAGGGGATGAAGATTTGTTTGAATGTGTGAAATAATTCTCATAGACTGCAGGGTGCGTAATATGTGTGATTTGAAATATCCCATCACAGGCCAGGCATGCTGGCTCACACCTGTAATCTCAGCACTTTGGGAGGGCAAGGCAGGAGGACTGCTTAAGCCAAGCTTGTCCAACCCATGACCTGCAGGCTGCATGTGGCCCAGGATGGCTTTCAGTGTGGCCCAACACAAATTTGTAAACATTCTTAAAACATTATGAGATTTTTTTGCAATTTTTTTTTTAGCCCATCACTTATCATTAGTGTTAGTGTAGTTTATGTGTGGCTCAAGACAATTCTTCTTCCAATGTGGCCAGGGAAGCCAAAAGATTGGACACTCCTGGCTTGAGCCTAGGAGTTTGATACCAACTAGTAACTGTCACAAATGAATTTAAATTCAGGTTTAAATAAAAAAGGATGAACTAACTCCCACACCATTAGGGATTCATTCATTCAACTAATATTTATTGAGCACTTAATATATGCTGGTTATTGTTCAAGTTGTCTGAGCTGTATCAGTGAACAAAACAAAAATCCTTGCCATCACAGAGGTTAAATTGTGGGTGGGCATGAGGGACAATAAACAGTGAACAAATTTATGATTTTTTTTTTTTTGAGACAAGGTCTCACTCTGTTGCCCAGACTGGAGTGCAGTGGCATGATCTCAGCTCACTGCAACCCCCACCTCCCAGGCTCAAGCGATTCTCCTGCCTCAACCTCTCCCGAGTAGCTGGGATTACAGGTGCACACCATTACTGCATGGCTTTTTTTGTTGTTGTTGTATTTTAATAGAGATGAGGTTTCACCATGTTCGCCAGGGTGGTCTTTAACTCCTGACCTCAAATGATCCACCCACCTCAGCCTCCCAAAGTGCTGGGATTACAGGTGTTGCACCACGCCCAGCCTAAATTTATGAATTATATAACAGAAAGAAAAAAGATACTCAGGAGGCTAAGGCCAAAGGATCCCTTGAGGCCAGGAGTTTGAGGCTGGCCTGGGCAATACAGTGAAACCTAGTCTCTAAAAAAAATTTTTTTTAAACTAGCCAGGACTGTTGGTGTGCAGCTGCAGTCCCAGCTCCTTGGGAGGCTGAGGCCAGAGGATCACTTGAGCGCAGGAGTTCAAGGCTGCAGTGATCATGCCACTGCACTCCAGTCTGGGTGACAGAGCAATACCGCATTTCAAAAAAAAAAAAAAAAAAAAAGGCAGAATAGCAGAGCAGGAACAAATGAAGGCAGAGGGGGAGAAGTATTAAGAAATTAAGACTGCTACAAAGTTTTGGCTCTGAAGACTTGGAAAATGTGGTACAAGGGGCAGGAATTCGCTTGAGAGGGAATAGATGAGATAAGGAGTTCTCTTTCAAACGTGGGGTTTTGAGGTGCCATATGTCTCAATGTGAAAAATATCCCATTGGCAATTAGAGAAGATCCAGTTCCAGAGAAGGGTCCAGCTAGAGACCTAAATTCAGGAGACATCAGTATAGAGCCAGCTGTTGAGGCTGTGAGACTAAGTTCATCCTCCTAGCAGCCTTACCGAGAACTCTGACTATGCAGGCAAACAGTAGGAATTACAGTATACCAGGCTCTTTCAGAGTCTGAGAAGACAAAAGTCTTCAAAAGGTCAAGAGGAGTTGGTCCTGAGAGTAGGGACCTGAACCAGAAGCAAGGGAAAACTTTTATCAGTCCACTTGGGAACTAGCCAGTGCTGGAAAGTACCCTTTGTGCCAGAGATGCTGTATGCATTTACCGTTTTCTTAACCATGTTTCAGTTTGGGATTTTTTAGATTAATAAAATAGAAATTAATTTTTAAAAACACTTGAGAAATTGGAATTCCCTTATGAAGGTCTTAGAACATTTTTTCTTTAAAATAGAAAGTTAGTTTAGGAAATACATTAAAGGAGTAAGAATCCCTACTTCAGTATTACAGCAGGCATTACAGTGCCACAAACATTAGTGTATCTTGCCTTCCTTGTACACAAACCATCTTTATCTGGGGAGAAAAACAACTATCCTAACATTATGTTTTGCATTTTGTATTCATTAAATGGGAGTGTGCCTTGGGGAAAGTCAAAATAGGCACAAATTTGCGATTTGAAAAGCCACCTGCTCTTCTCCCGGAGCTACCTCGCCAGCTTGGAATTACTCTCATTAATCCATGCAACACTAGCTGCTCTAAGCCCCATCCCCTCAGCTCTAGTTCATTATTAATCAAGGGTGCTTAACCTCATTCCCCATTACTCGTATTTCAACCTCAGTTCCACATTTTTTTTTTTTTATTTAGATAGATCTTCCTCTGTCGCCCAGGCTGGAGTGCAGTGGCGTGATCATAGCTCACTGCAACCTGGATCTCCTGGGCTCAAGCCATCCTCCCACCTTAGCCCCCCGAGTAGCTGGGACTACTGGCGCGCGCCACCACGCACAGCTAATTTTATTTTTTGTAGAGACGGGGCCTTCCTATGTTGGCCAGGCTGGAGTTAGGCTTTCTTTCTTTTTTTTTTTTTTTGAGACGGAGTCTCGCTCTGTCGCCCAGGCTGGAGTGCAGTGGCATGATCTCGGCTCACTGCAAGCTCCGCCTCTCCGGTTCACGCCGTTCTCCTGCCTCAGCCTCCCAAGTATATGGGACTACAGGCGCCCGCCACCACGCCTGGCTAATTTTTTTTGTATTTTTTAGTAGAGACGGGGTTTCACCGTGTTAGCCAGGATGGTCTCAATCTCCTGACCTCGTGATCCGCCCGCCTTGGTCTCCCAAAGTGCTGGGATTACAGGCGTGAGCCACCGCGCCCGGCCTCCGCTTTCAAGACTAAAAATTGCCTGGGCACTGTGGCTCAAGCCTGTAATCCCAGCACTCTGGGAGGCCGAGGAAGGTGGATCACTTGGGCTCAGGAGTTCGAGAGCTGCCTGACCAACATGGCGAAACCCCGCCTCTACTAAAAATACAAAATTAGCCGGTCCTGGTGGCACACGCCTATAATCCCAGCTACTCGGGAGGATGAGGCAGGAGAATCGCTTGAACTCAGGAGGGGGAGGTTGCAGTCAGCCGAGATCGCGCCATTGCACTCCAGCCTGGGCAACAAGGGCGAAACTCTGTCTCAAAAAAAAAAAAAAAAAAAAAAAAGACTAAAAATTGTCGGGGCTGCTGGCCAAAAGAAGATCTTGCCTGGCTGTCAGAAAATAATGTTCTTTCCAGCGGCTGCTTGAACCCGCTTCCTTCAGTGCCTAAATTTAACGGCTGCAGCTGCAGCTGCAACCTGTTTCCCCCGTAATAGGAATGAAAGTGGAGGATAAAAGAGGTTAGGAAGAAGGCAAGCCAGCAGTCTGACCAGACACAGGATGCATGTAAGAGACTTGTTAATTACACGTTCTATTTAGGTCACACTGATAGGCAAATCGCTATTCTGGGCCCCCAGGAAGCCTTTTCGTCCTTGCTATAGTCAATTCATTCTCCAGATGAAAGCCTGAAAGCGCCACGACCCAAGTTTCACGTCTATCCACTCAAGAGGCCTGCTTGGCGCAGGCGCATACCTTCAAAGGCCTCCCGCCCTCACTCCACCACCCCCTTAGGGGGCGGGGCCTCAGAGCTCAGTGCTCGAACTGGCTCCAGAGCCGTGAGTTCGGCATGCAAGAGCGGAAGAAACGCGGCTGGTACCCCGGAAGCAGTCGCTGCAACTTCCGGGAGGTGCTTGTGTGCCTGGTGCGGGAGCTACGGGGCCCAGGGATTGTGTTTAAAGTAGTGCTTCTACCAACATGTCCCGTGGTTCCAGCGCCGGTTTTGACCGCCACATTACCATTTTTTCACCCGAGGGTCGGCTCTACCAAGTAGGTGAGTGAACCAGGTTCGCCTGTGGGCCACCTGAATTGCCCTGTCATGGTACGTGCCTGGAGCGAGCAGACGCGGCCCGGGTTTAGTCTGGGGCCGAAGCTGGGCTGGAGCTGGGAAGGGAGAACGGCTGAAGCTGGATTGAGCTCTGTGGTGTTTGCACCCCCGTCTGGACGCAGGGATCGGGGGCCTGAAGGCCTGTCTCTGCAGGGCGAGCGGCCACACTGCGTAGACCCAATGGAGAGTTAAGGAAGATAGGGCTGTAATGCCTGACTCCGGCTTCGTGAGGCCCCTTCAGTTATTGTATTCTGTCCTGGCCAGGCACAAGGTCTGTTTCTAAAGGGTAATTGATTCCTTAACGTCTCAACTAAAATGCCTCCTCTCCGTTTTCCTTTGTTTGCAGCATGGACTTCTGTGGTTAATTCCACACAGGCACTCGAAGCCTGCTATATACCAGACACTGCTAGTCCTAGGAGATACAAATGTGAATGTTACACCCTCTTCTATACTGAAGCTCACAGCTTAGAGTGACAGATACGTTAAACAAACGGATAAAAAAAATTAAAAGTGCCAATTTACAAATATCTACAGAGTTCAAGACATCTTTGGGAATCTGATAGAATGAGTGACTCAATTCTAGAGCTGCTCTTGAGATTGGCATCCCCTTTTTACCCACATCTGTTTGAATGCTCCTGTAATTTAAATGCCGATTCTGAGTTGTAGATGAGGTACTGTGTACTAGTTTACTGAAGAACACCTGTAGTGGAAAGAAACTATCAGTTACTCGGAATAGTAATGTATTGCGCTGAAACGGTGTCAAGGTTTAGGTTATGATTATAAGCCAGACCCTTGATCTCTTACCATAGAGAATTTAGTGTCAGGAGGGCTTGATTTACATCTGGTCCGTGATGGTTTTATTTTTGAATGAGTTTAGTGGCTCCGTGTCTTGCACAGTAATATAATCATCTGTGCTTGGAATCATAAGGAGAGAGTTGGTCTGTAAATGAGGTTCTCTTCACCTGTAAATTTTAGAAATAGAGTTAAAGATAACTTGGAATGAAACTGCTCAGTGTATTACTGCATAGTGTATATAATGTAGCAAGAAACATCTTGTTGGATAATTCAGTAGCCCTTTTAATTTATCCCCAATTGAAAAACATGATTAAAGATAGAACAAAGAGATAACTGTATCCTCAAAGAATTTTCATTTATTGTATTAAATTCCTGAGTTTTAAATAATTTTCGTATATTAGACTACTGCTTTCAGCGTTCCATTCGTGATTTTTAATATGTGAACAGGAAAAGTCACTCTGAGACCTTTACTTTGTTTCTATATACTGTATTGTGAAGTCCAGCCATAAAGCATAATCGTTAATGCTTCCCAGATTTGGTGAGTGGAAAGGCTGAACACAGTGTCATTGTGATGGTTTTAAAAGATTTGGAAGAGAACATCTATCTGAAAACAAGTTCATTATCTAGACAGAATGATTTTTTATTTATTTTTATTTTTTTGAGACAGAGCTTCACTCTTGTTGCCTAGGCTGGAGTGCAATGGCGCGATCTCGGCTCCCCGCAATCTCCGCCTCCCGGGTTCAAGCAATTCTGCCTCAGCCTCCCAAGTACTGGGATTACAGGCATGCGCCACCACGCCTGGCTAATTTTGTATTTTTAGTAGAGACGAGGTTTCTCCATGTTGATCTCGAACTCCCAACCTCAGGTGATCCACCCACCTCGGCCTCCCAAAGTGCTGGGATTACAGGCGTGAGCACCGGGCCTAGCACCAGCCTAGACAGAATGATTTTAATCTCTGTGAATAACACACTCCCTCTGCTATTCAGGGCATTAATTAGACATTGTTAGGAAAATGAAAGTGAAAGAGTAGTATGAGCAAGCAGTATAGTGAAGAGTTCAGGCCCTGGAGTCATACATGGATTCAAATCTCTGCCCTGCTCCATACTACCTGATCTGGGCACTTGCCAGGTATGTAACCTTAGCCTTAGTTTCTCTTTCCAAAGTTGGGCTCATAATAATTCTTCCTTAAATGGTGGTTTTGAGAATTAAATAAGGCAATGTATGTAGAGTGCTTAACGTGTGCCTGCCACATAGTAAATGCTCAGTGAATGTTATTAGATGCTTGTTTGATTCTTTGGCCCCCCCTTTTTTTTTTGGTCTATTAGATTAGTAGCTCTGTATGGAATATTTCCCTTTTTATGGGTCCTTCCATGCTTAGTTCTCCAGTAAAATATATACATAATCATAATATTCTAAATACTGTCTGTTTGTAAACTTTAGAATCCTCCAAAGACAAAGCATGGAAGGATTATAGGATGCAAGTTGTTAACATTGACAGTAGGAAAATAATATTTTAAAAATGGGATGATGATGAGGGGAGATTAATGGAAGGTAACTATGCTCTTTATCTTCCATACTTGGGACTCAAAAGATAAATGTCGTCTAAAGTTGATATATCAAAAAATAGAGGTAGACATTTAAAGTTATAATGCTTGGCCAGGTGCAGTGCCTCACACCTGTAATCCCAGCACTTTGGGAGGGCGAGGTGGGCAGATTACCTGAGGTCAGGAGTTGAAGACCAGCCTGACCAACATGGTGAAACTCTGTCTCTACTAAAAATACAAAAAACTAGCTGCTTGTGCTGGCGTGCCTGTAGTCCTACCTCCTCAGGAAGCTGAGGCACAAGAATCGCTTGAACCTAGGAGGCAGAGGTTGCAGTGAGCCAAGACCGTGCCATTGCACCTCCAGACTGGGTGACAGAGCTAGACTCCATCTAAAAAAAAAAAAAAGTTGTAATGCCAATCATAATTATAAACATACTTTATAATTATTAATAACATATTATTGGCAGTGTTTGCTCCCAGGGAGTGGAGAGAAAGACTTTTTCTTTTTTTTTTTTTTCCCTTTGAGACAGAGTTGCGCTCTTGTTGCCCAGGCTGGAGTGCAATGGCCGTGATCTCAGCTCACTGAAACCTCCACCTCCCAGGTTCAAGCGATTCTCCTGCCTCAGCCTCCCAAGTAGCTGGGATTACAGACATGTGCCACCACTCCTGGCTAATTTTGCAGTTTTAATAGAGATGGGGTTTCACCATGTTGGTCTGGCTGGTCTTGAACTCCTGACTTCAGGTGATCCACCCACCTCGGCCTCCCAAAGTGCTGGGATTACAGGCATGAGCCATTGCGCTCGGCCTGAAATATTTCTCTTAATGTACATATGCAGGTTGTATGTGTGTGCATGTATTCATTTGTTAAAAATTGTAGAACACCTAGCTTTGTAATCTATTTTCAGGAATTGCCCAAGTTACTAGAGGGAGGAGGTGCATTGTAGGGGGAATGGGACTGAGGCCCTAGTTGGCCAAATTCAGCCTGGCTACTTGTAGGCCCTTCTCTTCTGTTTGCTGATCCTTTGCTGGATAGGTCTGGCAAAGGAGAAGAGGAGTGGTCATTTGGATTTGCTTGACAGGTGTATGTGAGCACTGCCTGGTTGCTACAAAGAAGGGAGCGTGCTGATAGGGAACTAGAAAGAAATGGACTGGTGGAGACATACTGAAAATAAAATGTAGAAGTGTCATTGTGTATTGAAGCCAGAATTCCTGAGTTCAAGTCCTTACTGCATACCAACTCTAAGAACTTTTTATCTGTAAAATAAAGATAATAACCACCTACCTTATAGGGCTTTAAGGATTTAATTAGTTAATAAATGTAAAGCATTTAAAACATTGCCCGGTATATATAGTAAGCACTCAATGTTTTCTGGGTGTTTGTTTGTTTGTTTGTTTGTTTGTTTTTGAGACAGTCTCACTTGGTCGCCCAGGCTAGAGTGCAATGGCGTGATCTCAGCTCACTGCAACCTCTGCCTTCTGGGTTCAAGTGATTCTCCTGCCTCAGCCTCCCGAGTAGCTGGGATTACAGGCGCCTGCCACCATGCCCGGCTAGTTTTTGTATTTTTTGTAGAAACAGGGTTTCACTATGTTGGCCAGGTTGGTCTTGAACTCCTGACCTCATGATCTGCCCACCTCGGCCTCCCAAAGTTCTGGGATTACAAGCGTGAGCCACCATGCCCCGCCTTCAATTAGTATTTTCTGTAGGGGATACTGTCAAGAAGAAACAAATGGCTGATGTAAATGGAGTCAGAAATTTCACAAATGACTGAGAAGTACTTACCATTTGCCTCTTTTGCAATTTAAAAAATATTCTTATTTCAAAGCAGTATTTCTCAACCCAGGCTTCTCATGCCCTCTTTGAATCTGATTTGAAATTCAATGCATGTGTGTGCATGCATACACATACATACATGTGCATATCTACATAAATACATATATAACTACACAGAAAAAGTGATGGGATCAAATACTGCTGTATTTTCAAACCTCATATTCCCCCTCTCTTTCCCCCTCCCCCAGTGCCAAGATTTCTAATGACCCCACCCCCTTGAGGAATCACTGTTCTAAAGAGTAAAAGGTTAGGAGGCACTTTATAGTGAACCACACATCTCAATTATGTAGCCTACAAGTTTAGGGAAAAGCAAATAAGTAGCTTCAAAAAAATCTTAACAAAGTTTTTTTTTTTTTTTTTTTTTTTTTTTGCCACACAGCATTGAAATTGAATATGAATATACTTTCTTTGTCCCAGTAGAACATCCCGTTTTATTTTTATTTTTATTTTTTTGGGGGGGATTGAGTCTCGCTCTGTCACCCAGGCTGGAGTGCAGTGTTGCAATCTCTGCTCACTGCAAACTCCGCCTCCTGGGTTCACGCCGTTCTCCTGCCTCAGCCTCCTGAGTAGCTGGGACTGTAGGCGCCTGCCTCCGAGCCCAGCTAATTTTTTATATTTTTAGTAGAGACGGGGTTTCACCGTGTTAGCCAGGATGGTCTCAGTCTCCTGACCTCGTGATCCGCCTGCCTCGGCCTCCCAAAGTGCTGGGATTACAGGCGTGAGCCACCGTGAGGCCTGTTTTTTAATAACTCATAGAATATGTATCTCTCAATTCATTTTTATTTTTCAAGCCCACGTTTATATGGGA
This sequence comes from Homo sapiens, assembly GCF_000001405.40. Taxonomy (NCBI): domain Eukaryota; kingdom Metazoa; phylum Chordata; class Mammalia; order Primates; family Hominidae; genus Homo; species Homo sapiens. Next base: position 35,297,585 of record NC_000014.9, read on the forward strand.
GAAAATCATATTTACATCCCGAAACTCTACAGCATTCTAAACAAAATTATGGGTGGAAAAAGTCTTGAGTTACATTTCTAATAATTGGTAGGACCTCAGAATCACCTGTAAATGCTTTGCAACACCTGATGAGTGACATAAAGGGAATATATATCTCTGCTGTTGTTCTCACAGCCTGAGCTGTGTACAGTGTGAGCCATTGTCTTGCATCGTGTGCCTGTCCTGAACATTTTGCCACCGTGCCTTTTATGTTTAGCCACTGTATTTTTCTAGTATACAAATGAATCCCAGAGAAATTGAGGAAGTGTTGGGGAAAATGGTAGGGAAGGAAACAAAGCAAATAAGATATTACTATGGAAATGACATTTCTACATACAAAATAACTGTTGATACCATTTTGTTTGAGCAAGGAAGCAATTTACTTCCTAACCTAATGGTTTGTTGTTGGGTTCAACCATGAAACTGCTGGTCTTTGACTAATTTTTAACCTGTAAAAATGGCAGTTTCGTGTGGTTCAATCTAATACTTAGGTATTTTACTGTGTATTTAAGATTTAGAAAATTGGGGGCTTGGAGTCGAGTTTAATGCATTATAATTTTTCCCATTTAAAAACTGGAAAATGGGGCCGGACACAGTGGCTCACACCTGTAATCCCAGCACTTTGGGAGGCCGAGGCAGGTGGATAACCTAAGTTTAGGTGTTCAAGACCAGCCTGGCCCACATGGTGAAACCCTATCTGTACTAAAAATACAAAAATTAGCTGGGTGTGGTGGCGTGCCCCTGTAGACCCAGCTACTAGGGAGGCTGAGACAGGAGAATTGCTTGAGCCCGGGAGGTGGAGGTTGTAGTGAGCTGAGATCGCACTGCTGCACTCTAGCCTGGGCAACAAAGTGAGACTCCATCTCAAAAAAAGAAAAAAAAAAGGAAAAGGAACTATGACTTATTATTTTCTTGCATAATCTTGGACATTCAAGAATAGTTTACTCAGTTTTAGAGTTCTGTAAGTTTCCAAAATTTTAGCCCAAACCAAAGTCTTTGATCATGTAGTGTTTAAGTACTGTTGCCAACGTTTGAATCCTGACTTTAAAAAATAAATATCATTTTAAAATGCTGCCCATAAACTATTATTTTTATCTTTATTTCTTTATTATTATTATTATTATTTTGGAGACAGAGTTTCACTCGGTTGCCCAGGCTGGAGTACAGTGGTGCAATCTCAGATCACTATAACTTCCGCCTCCCAGGTTAACTCAATTATCCTGCCTCAGTCTCCTGAGTAGCTGGGATTACAGGCGCGCACCACCATACCTGGCTAATTTTTGCATTTTTAGTACAGACAGAGTTTCACCATGTTGGCCAGGCTGGTCTCAAACTCCTGACCTCAAGTGATCCACCTGCCTCGGCCTCCCGAAGTACTGGTATTATAGGCGTGAGTCACTGCGTCCAGCTATTTATTTTTTGAGACAGGGTCTCACTCTGTCGCCCAGGCTGGAGTGCAGTGGTGTAATCATAGCTCACTGTAGCCTCAAACTCTTGCACTCAAGAAATTCTCCTGCCTCAGCTTCTCAAGTAGCTGGGAGTACAGGTATACACCACCATGCTCAGATAACTTTTTATTTTTAGTAGAGATGACATCTTGGTGTTTCCCAGGCTGGTCTTGAACTCCTGGGCTCAACTGATCCTCCTGCCTCCATTCCCAAAGTGCTGGGATTATAGGTGTGAGCCGCCGCAGTGCCCAGCCTCTTTTTTTTTTTTTGAGATGGAGTCTCACCCTGTCACCCAGACTGGAGTGTAGTGGTGCAATCTCGGCTTGCTGCGACCTCTGTCTCCTGGGTTCAAGCGATTCTCCTGCCTCAGCACCCCAATAGCTGGGATTACAGGCGCCTGCCACCACACCTGGCTAATTTTTGTATTTTTAATAGAGGCAGTGTTTCACTATGTTGGTTAGGCTGGTCTTGAACTCCTGACCTCAAGTGATCCACCCGCCTCGGCCTCCCAAAGTGCTGGGATTACAGGCGTGAGCCACCATGCCCAGCCTCTTTTTTCTTAATTGGCCTTCATATACCATAGGTTGTCCGTATCTGCTCTAAACCATGATACTACTGTTTACCCTGCCAGTGTTTCTTTAAAAGATACTCTTTAGGTGTTGAGTTGTCTAAATTCTTTGCTCTGGCAGTTTCCATTTTTCTGGAAATTATTATAAAACATTTCATGGTGGTAGTGTTAAAATGGGGATTCATTTATACAAGCCTTTACTGAAATTACAGTGCAGCTTGATGAGTACTAAATAGTATAAAAAAGGTATTACAGGAAGTGACTAACTGCCTAGGAGAGCCGGGAAAGGCTTCTCAGAGATGAATTGGCCCAGATGAAGATTAAATAAGGAAATTTGGGGGACCAGTGCATAGATCAGTCAGTGTGAATGCAGTATAGACAGTAACAACTGAAAGAGTAAATTATAGCAATATTTTGAAGGGGCTTGAGTACCATGCTAGAGTTTGGACTTTTTTCCATGTGTTTTGAACAGAGCTAGCAGGGGTCTTTAAGAATGGCGAGGTAATTAAGTAAAATAATAGGAGAGTTGAGTGTAGAAATGGGATTAGAAAGGGACTGATGGTTCACACCTGGAATTCCAACACTTTGGGAGGCTAAGGCAGGAGGATTGCTTGAGGCCAGGAGTTCGAAACTAGCCTGGACAAAATAACAAGACCTTGTCTCTGCAGAATATATAAAATGAAATTAGCCAGGTGTGGTAGTACACACCTGTTGTCCCACATACTCTGGAGGCTGAGGTAGGAGGATTGCTTGAGCCGAAAGTTTCAGGTTGCAGTGAGCTACGATCACACCACTGCACTCCAGCCTAGACAACAGAGTGAGACCTTGTCTCAGAAAAGAAAATAAAAAGGGGACTGGTGGCAGGAAGAACAATTAGAAGAGGTTTGCTCAGTATCAGTAATTCATATAAACCCTAATGAGTGAATTAAGGTAATAAGAGAGAAAGGGTGGAGGGGTCTCTTGAGCTTATTTTTCACATTTTTATTATAGAATACTTTAGACAAATGTAGATAGACTAGTACAGTGACCTTCATGTACCCATCACACAGCTTCATCTGATGTCAATATTTTGTCAGTCTTGTTTTCTCCCTTTCCCACGCACTTTCCCCGCTCTTCTAGAGTACGTTAAAGCAAATCCTAGGTATAAGAATGGACATTTCTTGGGAAAGGGCAGGAGGTTAGAGTCAAGAGTGATAACCCAGGTTTGTAGCTTGAAAAATTGAGTGGTTAGTAATACAATTATGAAATAAGGACTGTAAGAAAAGCAGGTTTATAAAGAGGAAGAGTTTATTTTTAGACATGTCTGTGGCTAATAGGCATAGGTATTTGAAGAAATAGACATTTGTAATTATAAGTCCAGAGCTAGAGATGACAGATTAGTAGTGATTATCTAGGTTATAGCTAAATCTCTGGTTTAGGGTAAAATCATCCAGGGATGGAGAAAATAATAGAATTCTGGGAAATACCAGTATTTCAGGAGCTGGCTGAAGAGATGAAAGCAGTGAAGAAGATTGAGAAGGGAAGTTCAGAGAAGTAGGAGAGGAAGAGTAGGAATGATATTCTTAACAAAGAACTTTAAATTTGGCTGAGCGCAGTGGTTCACACCTATAATCCCAGCACTTTGGGAGGCCGAGGCGGGTGGATCACTTGAGGTCAGGAGTTTGAGACCAGCCTGGCCAACATGGTAAAACCCCGTCTCTACTAAAAATACAGAAAAACTAGCTGGGTGTGGTGGTGTGTGCCTGTAATCCCAGCTACTCAGGAAGCTGAGGCAGGAGAATCGCTTGAACCTGGGAGGCAGAGGTTGCGGCGAGCCAAGATTGCTCCACTGCACACCAGCCTGAGTGACAGAGTGAGACTCCATCTCAAAAAAAAAAAAACTTTAAAATCCAGTTGCTCAGTTACACTAGCCACATTTTATGTGCTCAATAGCCACATATGACTAGTGACTATCATATTGGACATTGCAAATATAGAACATTGCCAGCATCACAGAAATTTCTGTTGGACAGCACTGGTCTATATAAAGAACGAGGGCCCCCTTAATGAATCCTGGCAAATTCACAGGTGCATTCTCTGTTGAGAAGCATTTTTTATATGTAAAATGTTTTTTATTTTGTGAGACAAAAGTTTATGTGGTAGGGAAGATACTCTTTTGTGGCTTTTACCTTTTGCATTATTTAAGCAATAAGCATGTATTCATTTATTTAGTTCAGGGATGACAGACACAAATGCTTACACAGACCAGATAAGTAATGCCAGTGAGTAAAACAGGCTGAGTGAAAGATAACAGGAAATGGTGGGACCTGTGGAAAACTGCAAAACACCTGCTCAGCTTAGGTGATTTTTTTTTTCTTTGTGGCCAGTTGCTATGTGGGATTGAAGATCAAGTGTTACTAGAATTTTTTTTTTTCTAGGAAAAAATCACATCTCTAAAGACCCTCTGCCTGCTTTTGCCATATAAGGTAACATTCACAGGTTCCAGGGACTAGGACATAGATATATTTTGGGGATGCATTTACCAACCTACCAGAGGGTTAATGATTTTATTGGCTCAAAGAACCAGTTTTTGACTTAGCTGGTTTTTCTCTTGTTGTCTGTTACTGTTTCTTGATTTCTGGCCATGTTGTCCAGGCTGGTCTTAAACTTCTGGGCTCAAGCGATCCTCCCCATTCAGCCTCCCAAAGCAGTGGGATTACAAGCATGAGCCATCACACACAGCCAGAATCACTACAAATTTAGTGGTGTTTAAACAACACACACTTATTATGTCATAGTTTCTTTATGTTTTTCATTTGTTTTTCTCTGTTTTCAAAATTTTTTCTATTTTTGGTTTTCAGACATTGGACCATAATGAATCTATATGTGATTTTCTGTTTTCATTTTGCTTGGAGTTTTCTGAGGTTCTTTAATCTGAAATTTTTTTGTCTTTTGCCATATTTTTAACATTTTTAGCCATTATTTCTTCAGATTTTGTTTTCCGATTCTTTGCTCTCCATATAGGACTCCAGTTGTACATATCTTACACATTTTGATGTAGACCCACAGATTCGTTGTTTTTTTCAACTATTTTTTCTGCCTTTTTAAGATTGGATCATTTGATACATTTTCATATTCACTCACTCTTTCCTTTCTCATCTCCATTCTACAGTTACGTCCATTTGGTGAATTTTTAAATTTTACGTATTATATTTTTCAGTTCTACAATTTCCTTTTGCTTCTTTCATTTTTTCTTTGCTGAGATTTCCTATCATTTTTCATTTTGAGAACATTTTCCATCATGTCATTGAGCATAGTTATAATGGTTGTTTTTAATTCTTTGCTAATACAGCAACATCTGGGTCGTCTCAGGATTGTTCTTTTTGAGAATTAAACACAATATTCCTGGTTTTTGTTGTTTGGTTTTGGTTTTGGTTTTTTAGTTTGACTTGATTTGTTTTTTGGTATATTGAGAGTTCCGGATTGTATCCTGGACATTTATGAATGTTATTTTATGAAGACTGTGGATTCTGTTATATTTCTCCAAAGAGTATTGACTTGTTTTGTTCTAATAGGCAGTTAATTTGGTTATTCTCAAGCTACAAAGTCTGTCTCTTGGGTGGCATCTTAAATCTCACTCGGTTTCTTTTATCCTTAACTAGGCCGCTTGGAGTCTGCCTTGTGTGTGTTGTTATGGAATCTGCTAGAGATTTGGGCAGTGTTTATATATAGAAGTTGGGACTCTCACTCTCTAGTGCTCTGGTTTCTCTCCCTTGTTTTCTGGCAGCTATTGTTACCCCAAACTGTTCTCTAGTTCTTCAGGCCAAAAAGACTGAGTTTTCTGTGGGAGTTCAGCCTTTACTGCTCTCAGATTATGAGCCACAAAAATGGGAAACTCAACTCATGCCATTCCTTTCTCCCAACTGTTGACTTCCCCTCTAGAATCTGACTTTGTGGTGTCTTTAGGTAGTTGTTGTTTTGTTTAGAGTTAGTACTTTTTATTTGTGGAGGGCTGATCTGATAGAAGCTTTATTAGCCATATCAGGATCAGAATCAAGAAGCACTTTGAAAGTTGTACAGCTAGTCCTCCATATTCAACCCATATTCATGGGTTCATCATCCATGGATTCAACCAGCTGCAGATCATAAATATTCAGGGAAAAAATTGCTCCTGTACTGAACATGTACAGATTTTTTTCTTGTCATTATTCGCTAAACAATGTAGTATAACAACTATTTAGCATTTACATTGTATTAGCTAGTGTAGTGTAAGCTAGAGATAATTTCTTTCTTTTTTTTTTTTTAAACGGAGTCTCACTCATTGTATTAGCTCGTGTAGTGTAAGCTAGAGATAATTTCTTTCTTTTTTTTTTAGACGGAGTCTCGCTCTGTAGCCCAGGCTGGAGTGTAGTGGTGCAATCTCAGCTCACTGCAACCTCCACCTCCCAGGTTCCAGCGATTTTCCTGCCTCAGCCTCCTGAGTAGCTGGGATTACAGGCACCTGCCACCATGTCTGGCTAATTTTTGTATTTTTAATAGAGATGCGGTTTCACCATGTCGGCCAGGATGGTCTTGAACTCCTGACTTCAGGTGATCTGCCTGTCTCTGCCTCCCAAAGTGCTGGGATTACAGGTGTCAGCCACCACGCCTGGCCAAGCTAGGGATAATTTCAAGTATACAGGAGGATATACATAGGCGATGTGCAAATACTGTGCCATTTTATATCAGAGACTTGAGTTTCTGTGGATTTTGGAATCCATGGGAGGTCCTAGAACCAATCCCCACAAATAGCGAGGCACCAGCTACATTTTAGAAGTTATTTGTAGTGTAGGCTGAGCGCGGTCGCTCACACCTGTAATCCCAGCATCTGGGAGGCCGAGGTGGGTGTACTACCTGAGGTCAGGAGTTCAAGACCAGCCTGGCCAACATGGCGAAACCTCGTCTCTACTAAAAATACAAAAATTAGCTGGGCGTGGTTGTGCACACCTGTAATCCCAGCTACTCGGGAGGCTCAGGCAGAATTGCTCCAACCCAGGAGGCAGGGGTTGCAGTAAGCCAAGATTGCACCACTGCACTCCAACCTGGGCGACAGAGTGAAACTCCATCTCAAAAAAAAAAAAAAAAGTTATTTGTAGTGTAATGGGATGGTAAAATTTTGCTATTATAATTAACCAATTAAATTGGGGGTTATGGCTCATACCTGCTGTAATCCCAGCTACTCCAGAAGCCGAGGCAAGAGGATCATTTGAGGCCAAGAGTTTGAGACCAGCCTGAGCAATGTAGTGAGACCCCATCTCTAAAAAATTGTTTTAAATTAGGCATGGTGATACCCACCTGTAGTCTCAGCTGCTCAGGAGACTGAAGTGGGAGGGTCTGAATCAGAAGTTTGAGGCTGTGGTGAGCTATGATTGTGCCACTGCACTCAGCCTGGGTGACAGAGCAAGATGCTGTCTCTTGCTCAATAATGATAATAATGATAAAACCAGTTAAATCCAAGCCATATTTGAAGATTTCTTTTCTTTTGTTTCTTTTTTTTTTTTTTGAAATGGGGTCTTGCTCTGTTGCCCAGGCTGGAGTACGGTGGTGTGAGCACGGCTCACTGCAGCCTCGACCTCCTGGGCTCAAGTGATCCTCTTGCCTCAGCCTCCCAAGGAACTGGGACCACAGGTGTACCACCATGCCTAGCTAACATTTTTTTGTAGAGACAGGGTCTTGCCATGTTGCCCAGGCTGGCCTGGGACTCCGGGGCTCAAGCAGTCCTCCCACCTTGGCTTCCCAAATTGCTAGGATTACAGATGTGAGCCACTGCACCCAGCTGAGGATTTCCTTTAAGGTGATTTTTCTAGAATCATTTTTGCTCTGTTCTTTTGTTCTCTCTTAAATAGTTAGCCATTTAGAAATATTTGATGATTTATTACAGTTTCTATTAAAAGAGATTCTTTAGCCTGATAGGCAGTAGCTTTCTTAGCTGGTCGTCATCACCTGTGGCTTTTTGAACAGATGAGGCCTTGGCTCAGACTCAGTGCCCAGAGTGACACTCGAAGACAGAATTTTGAAATAATCTGTTATATGTCAAAATGTAAATAATGATTGGGATTATGAATAATTATTTAAAAGTTATCTTCTGTGTTTTCATATTTTCTACCATGAGCATGTATTGATTTTTGTTGCTTTTCCCCTGATTACAAAATATGTGCCCAGGCCAGGAACAGTGGCTCATGCCTGTAATCCTAAGGTGGGAGGATCACTTGAGCCAGAGTTTGAGACCAGCCTGGGCGACATAGCAAGACCCCATATCTATTTTTAACTAAAAATAAAATAAACAGGCCAGGCATGGTGGCTCATCCCTGTAATCCCATCACTTTGGGAGTCTGAGGTGGGAGGATCGCTTGAGTCCAGGAGTTTGAGACCAGCCTGGGCAACATGGGAAGACTCCATCTCTACAGGAAAAAAATTGAAAATTAGCTGGGTGTGGTGGTATACACCTGTGGTCCCAGCTACTCAGGAGGCTGAGGCTGGAAGATCACTTGGGCCCGGGAGGTCGAGGCTGCAGTGAGCTATGATCATGCCCTGGTGCTCCAGCCTAGGCAACAGAGCAAGACCCTATCTCAAAACCCACCAAAATATGTGTCTATTATTAAATTTAAATATTGCAGAGGCTGTCCTGGTGGCTCACGCCTGTAATCTCAGCACTTTGGAATGCTGATATGGGAGGATCGCTTGAGCTCAGAAGTTCAAGACCAGCCTGGGCAAGATAGTGAGACGTCATCTCTACTAAAAATTTTTTAAAAAAGAAAAATTTGGGCCAGGTGCAGTGGCTCATGCCTGTAATCCCAGCACTTCAGGAGGCTGAGGCAGGCAGATCACCTGAGGTCAGGAGTTCAAGACCAGCCTAGTCAACATGGTGAAACCCTGTCTTTACTGAAAATACAAAAACTAGCTGGGTGTTGTGGCGGGCAGCTGTAATCCCAACTACTCAGGACGAGGCCGAGGCAGGAGAATCGCTTGAGCCCGGGAGGCAGAGGTTGTAGTGAGCCAAGATCATGCCACTGCACTCCAGCCTGGGTGACAGAGCAAGATCTGTAATCTTACTGTCGAAAGACAGCCATTATCAATTATGCTACATGGTGCCAAAGCAGTTTTTTTGTAAGCTACTATTTTGATCCTAGTGTTTTAACCAATAGAATGGATTGACAGCAGCTAGAAGTGCATAAGCTGAGGTTTGTTATAGATGGAGTCATATGTTGGCCTGGCATGGTGGCTCACGCCTGTAATCCTAACACTTTGGGAGGCCGAGGTGGGTGGATCACCTGAGGTCAGGAGTTCGGCACCAGCCTGGCCAACGTGGTGAAACCCCATCTTTACTAAAAATACAAAAACTTAGCTGGGCATGGTGGTGTGCACCTGTAATCCCAGCTACTCAGGAGGCTGAGGCAGGAGAATCACTTGAACCTGGGAAGCGGAGGTTGTAGTAAGCCAAGATCGTGCCACCTCACTCCAACCTGGGCGACAGAGCGAGACTCCATCTCAAAAAAGAAAAGAGTCATATGTTGTAGGTAACATAAAAATTGCAAAAAGCATGATCCAGAAATATTCAACTTGGTAGACAAAAATTAATGCAAAATAATCAAACAGCAATTAAAACTTCATGTGGTCAAATTAGTTACTGACCAAAAGTTAACAAAAGTATTAAGTCTAGAAAAAATTTAAAGCAGCTAAATTTGACCTGGGAAAACCAGACTTAGAAATAATGGCCACAAAAAACCTTTTAAAATGACAAAACATCATTGATAAAGATGCAGTATGATAAAAATTAAATTAAACCATTATTGGGGCGGGGAGTGGTGGCTCACACCTGTAATCCCTGCACTTTGGGATGCCAAGGCAGGTGGATCACCTGAGGTCAGGAGTTCAAGACTAGCCTGGCCAACACAGCGAAACCCCGTCTCTAGTAAAAATACAAATATTAGCCAGATGTGGTGGCACGCGCCTATAATCCCAGCTACTTAGGAGGCTGAGGCAGGAGACTAGCGTTAACCTGGCAGGCAGAGGTTGCAGTGAGCTCAGGTCGCACCACTGCACTCCAGCCTGGGTGACAGAGCGAGACTCTGTTTAAAAAAAGAAAAAAACTTTATTGGAAATTGGGTGCATCAGCTTAATGAAAATAATTTCAGTAAAATGAAAATGGAAGAAATGGAGTTGGTTTAACTGTGACTTGTGGTCATTATTATTATTTTGACTTTGCACATCCTGGAATGCTATATGAGCATTCTGTGTTCATGTAGCTCTTTCTCATTCTTTTTAATGACTATTATTTCATTGCAAGAATCTACAGTAATTTATTCCAACTTAAAAAAAACTGTTCTGTTTTCCAGAATATGCTTTTAAGGCTATTAACCAGGGTGGCCTTACATCAGTAGCTGTCAGAGGGAAAGACTGTGCAGTAATTGTCACACAGAAGAAAGTACCTGTAAGTAATACTGCCCAAATAGTTAATAATTGCAGAATATAAGAATTTTTCAGCCAAGTGCAGTGGCTCACACCTGTAATCCCAGCACTTTGGGAGGCTGAGGTGGGCAGATCACCTTAGATCGGGAGTTCTAGACCAGCGTGACCAACATGGAGAAACCCTGTCTCTATTAAAAATACAAAATTAGTCAGGCGTGGTGGCACATGCCTGTAATTCCAGCTACTCGGGAGGCTGAGGCAGGAGAATCACTTGAACCTGGGAGGTGGAGGTTACGGTGAGCCAGGATCACACCATTGCACTCCAGCCTGGGCAACAACAGTGCAACTCCGTCTCAAAAAAAAAAAGAAAAAAGAAAAGAAAAAAGAATTTTTCATGGGTTTGTAGAAAAGTGTATTTTTATATACAAATATTAACATAATCTTGCTTTGACCCTGCTTTCCTGTCATCCAAGAAGTGTCTATTGAACGTCTATATACAGTTCAGCTGTGTGGACAGAATTAACTTATTAAACTTCATGGCGTGATTATAAGCATAACGGTGTTTCTAAGTCTTTTGTCTTTGGGGACCTTGAGACAAATTTTTATTAAGCTATTGCTTGTCCACAGGAAAAGTATCATCTAGAAAAGGTAAATAGAGCCCCTCGAAACTAAAATTGATTTTAACTATAAAATGATCAGAAGACATTTATTATACAGTTTATTTTTATGGTTCCATAGTATTGTTTTCTCCAAGAAGCAGGGCAAATTAAAAACATAATTTTTTTTATAACTACACAGAAACCTGTATGTTTTTTAAAAAATTATCTTTGTTTATTTTGTTTATTAGGACAAATTATTGGATTCCAGCACAGTGACTCACTTATTCAAGATAACTGAAAACATTGGTTGTGTGATGACCGGAATGACAGGTAATTAATCTGTAGATATACAAGACATCTGTAGATATACAAGCCTTTTGTTATTTTCTTCAAATTATTTTGAGTTTTGTATTAATTTTAAACTTATTGCCTGATTTTCAAGTGCCATGAGTGGATTTGCAGTCTTCTAAGACTAGTATCAATATTTTAAGAGTATTGTGAGCTTTTTTGAAATTATACCTATAATAGAATTAGATGCTTATGCTGCTGTCGGAGAAACTGGGCTGAGGGCCCTTTCATAGATGATTTTATCTTATTTCAGCTATAGTTAGTAGTTTAAGGGGACCTAACTCAGTATATCTCAAACCTGGTAATAATGGCATCGGTTAGAAGTGAGTGAGAATTATTATGAAAATTATTTTAGGTTGGGCACAGTGGCTCACAGTTGTAATCCCAGCACTTTGGGAGGCCAAGGTGAGAGGATTGTTTAAGACCAAGAGTTCAAAACCAGCCTGGGCAACATGGTGAGACTCCATCTCTATAACAAATTTAGAAATTAGCTAGGGGCTGGTCACGGTGGCTCACACCTGTAATCCCAGCACTTTGGGAGGCCGAGGCAGGCGGATCACTTGAGGTCAGGAATTCGAGATCAGCCTGGCCAGCGTGGTGAAACTCCATCTCTACCAAAAATACAAAAATTAGCTGGGCATGGTGGCGCACGCACACCTGTAATCCCAGCTATTCAGGAGGGTGAGGCAGGAGAATTGCTTGAACTCGGGAGGCAGAGGTTGCAGTGAGCTGAGATTGTACTACTGCACTCCAGCCTCGGCAACAGAGTGAGACTGTCTCAAAAAATAAAAACAAAAATACCAAAAAACTTAACCAGCTATGGTGGCAGGTGCCTGTAATCCCAACTACTCAGGAGGCTGAGGCAGGAGAATCGCTTGAACCCGGGAGGTAGAGGTTGCAGTGAGCCAAGATCATGAGACTGTACTGCAGCCTGGGCAACGGAGCAAGACTCCATTTGAAGAAGAAAAAAAAATTAGCTGGTATGGTGGCACATACCTGTAGTCCTAGCTACTCAGGAGGCTGAGGTAGGAGGATCACTTGAGCCAAGGAATTCAAGGCTGCAGTGAGCTATGATGGCTCACTGGGTGCCAGTCCAAGACCCCATCTCTAAAAAAAAAATGAAAAACTAATTTAAGCCTAAAAACAAAGATTAAGAAAGATTATTCTCTCTCAAGGCCTTTTTTTTTTTTTTTGGAGACAGAGTCTCACTTTGTCGCCCAGGCTGCTCCGCCTCCTGGGTTCAAGCAATTCTCGTGCCTCAACCTCCCAGGTAGCTGGGACTACAGGCATGCACCACCACGTGCAGCTAATTTTATGTTTTTAGTAGAGACAGGATTTAGCCATGTTGGCCAGGCTGGTCTCAAACTCCTGGCCTCAAGTGATCCGCCTCTCTTGGCCTCCCAAAGTGTTGAGCCACCATGCCCTGCCTCCTTAATGCTTTTTCTTTTGGGAGTTACTGGATACTTGCAGAAACTATTTTGACTGCTGATGAAAGGCTCAGTATAAAAGGGGAGTACTGTGTAGAGAGCTTCATGTTTTTAAATTTTTTTCATATACTTGTTGATGAGTTATTTAGTATTCATTGGGGGAGAAAAAGCCGTAGCGGACCCTTTCTCTTTAACTCATGTATGTCTATATGGTGGGAAAATTGCCTGGCTAAATTGCCTGGCTTTCAGGTTTGTTCTTTCCTTCTAACCAGGTAAATCTTTGTTTTTTATGCTATAAGCTGACAGCAGATCCCAGGTACAGAGGGCACGCTATGAGGCAGCTAACTGGAAATACAAGTATGGCTATGAGATTCCTGTGGACATGCTGTGTAAAAGAATTGCCGATATTTCTCAGGTCTACACACAGAATGCTGAAATGAGGCCTCTTGGTTGTTGTAAGTATGCTAAGAGGTCTCCCAAATAATTGATGAATTGAAACTTTTTACAGAACATGTATACAGAATTATTTAAATAACACTTGAGTTCTGAACATGTGGTTTGGAAAATACATAGAGTGGGAAAATCTTTATAATAAATCAGAACTAAAGGATAGGTTTCACAACAGTATGTCGGGCATTATCTTTAAGCTTTAGATGCTGTTAGACTTTTTATCAAAGTATTTCCATTTGGTGTATGTGATTTGAAAGATGCAAGTCCTCATTATTAGGATGTTGTAATGAGGTTCTACTGCAATTCGAGATTACTAATTCCATAGAAATACCTGCATCAGGCATCTTAATAATGTAGCTGTTTGTTTTGACCACCCTAAAGAATTAGGGTCACACACAGGTGTGTAATTCACATTTTTAGAATAAATTTCTATTTTTGAAAACAAGTAAAATTGTATTGGGAGAGGGATGAGATTTACTGATTTTTAGATGTGATGTAATAAATTAGCCTGAAAAATTCAGTGCATGTTTGTTTCTGACATTGTGTCATTCATTTATGAGCATTAAAGCAGTCAGTGTAATGATTTCTGTTTAGCATCTGACCCTCTTGACTTCTCACTTAAAAATTACTTAAATCATATTCATCTTGCAAGACCTTGAAGGAAAGAAGTATTTGTTGTTTCCCCAAGCAGTAAGTGGGTACTTTTTTGTGTTGCCCTTATATTTTGTATATATCAAATATAAGAAAGCAGTCAAACCATTAAGTACTTTGTTACCTGTTCTACTGAGTAGAAAGAAATTTAATGATGGTGTTTATTTTAATTGTATTCCTATAATATGGTAACATTAGAATTGTAGTAACAAAGTTACATGTATAGAATTTAGAGCTTGGTTTGTGTGACTTACTAGAGGAGTATATACCAACAGTAATGAAGATGGGCAGTGTAAAGGTGAGCAGGTAGCCTGTAAGTGTATTTCAGTTTGTGCCAGCATTCCCAAAGTGTGTCCCATACACTGTTCCCTGGAACCTTAATAGGTATTTCTATTTTAAAAAAAAAGTATTTCTTGGTCAAACAAACAGAAGAACTACTGAGTTAAAGTTAAATAGGTCAATCTACAACAGAATATTTCACAGCATTTAATATGCTATTATTTATTATCTGTTTCCAGAAAAGGTATATGAAAGTGTTTTTGGGCCAGGCACAGTGGTGCACACTTATAATCCCAGCACTTTGGGAGGCCGAGGCAGGAGGATCACTTGAACCCAGGAGTTCAAGACCACCCTGGGCAACAGCGAGTCCTCGTCTCCTAAAAAAAAAAAAAAAAAAAAAGGTTGGCCAGATGCAGTGGCTCACGCCTGTAATCCCAGCACTTTGGGAGGACGAGGCAGGTGGATCACAAGGTCAGGAGATCAAGACCAGTCCTGGCTAACACGGCGAAACCCGGTCTCTACTAAAAACACAAAAAATTAGCTGGGCGTGGTGGTGGGCACCTGTAGTCCCAGCTACTCGGGAGGCTGAGGCAGGAGAATGGCGTGAACCCGGGAGGAGGAGCTTGCAGTGAGCCGAGATCGTGCCACTGCACTCCAGCCTGGGAGACAGAGCGAGAGTCTGTCTCAAAAAAAAAAAAAAAAAAAAAAAAAAGTGTTTTTGAAGTTTATTTGACCAGGCAACATCTTGAAGGATTAGGGTTCAAATAAACATGCTTGGATAACAGCAAGGATTGGAAACACTATTTTTAAATTGTATTTGTAATTATTCAAACTATTTTTTTTAATCTGTGATAAATCCTTTTGTGAAATGGGAATTTACCTGTTACCTAATTTACCTGTGGTGATAACCTGTATTTTATCAGTTTTCTTAAAGGAAAATACATATCCTAAAATTGATGGCCAAAGTCATGATTAGCAGCAGCTATGTGACACCACCAAGAAAGAGGAGATGTCATTGTATAAAGCTAAAACATTTAATTAGGGTCTTTTCTCTTTTTAGGTATGATTTTAATTGGTATAGATGAAGAGCAAGGCCCTCAGGTATATAAGTGTGATCCTGCAGGTTACTACTGTGGGTTTAAAGCCACTGCAGCGGGAGTTAAACAAACTGAGTCAACCAGCTTCCTTGAAAAAAAAGTGAAGAAGAAATTTGATTGGACATTTGAACAGACAGTGGAAGTAAGTCAACCAAAAGGAGCTGACTTTTTTTATGCTATATAGAACAGTGAGGATCTTTGTATAATTTCTATACAAAGCTATTCCTGAATTACATCCCAGGATTCAAGTTGTCAACTTAATAATGAAATTGATATCATACAGCTGACATAGGAAAATTTGAGTTGCTTTTATTCACTTAATTCCTTATTTCGTAATGTATTTGAGGTGGCTTTCAACAAAACGCATATAATAGGAAAATATAAATAAAAATAGGAACCAGCTGGGCATGGTGGCACACACCTGTAGTCCCAGCTACTTGAGAGGCTGAAGCTGGAGGACTGCTTGAGTCTAGGTGTTCGAGGCCAGTCCTATTTACTGCCAAGAAATTAAAAACAAAAATTTTAGTAGATTTTGGGTGTAAGTCTGGAATTAAAGCCATTCTGAAGATGCTAACAACATGCTTCTGATAAGTGACCAAAAAAAAATTACCATCTAATGCTTTTACGTTTGGTTTGGAAGTATGCTTAAAGGAGATAAAAAGCTAGTTCATGTTCAGGAAGTACTGGGCCCTGTCTAAATATTTCTTAAAGGTTTCTTTTATTGCAATTCATAATTAATTACATAAATAACCACATCCGGTAAAAAAACACTTAAGGTGGCTCACACCTGTAATCCCAGCACTTTGGGAGGCAGACAGATCACCTGAGGTCAGGAGTTTGAGACCATCCTGGCCAACATGGCGAAACCCTGTCTCTATGAAAAATACAAAAATTAGCCGGGCATGGTGGCAGGCGCCTGTAATTCCAGCTACTCAGGAGACTGAGTCAGGAGACTCGCTTGAATCCACGAGCCTGAGGTTGCAGTGAGCCAGGCTGGCGCCACTGCACTCCAGACTGAGCGACAGAGTGAGACTCTGCCTCAAAAAACAGAAACAAAACAAACAAACAACACTTAAAACATTCTTAAATCGTTTTTACTGTAAATTCCTTGAAGATGCAGAGAGTATCATTCATCTTTATCCTTTTCCCATTTCACCCCAAGTGCTAAGTGAAGTGTAGTGCCTGGGTCATGAAGCCAATAAACCTTTTTGTATAAATCATCCTATTTTAATTAATGGACCCCTTTATTATTTGACTTGGTAGAAAAAAATTTCTCATCATTGGGAGGCAATACATTAGAGTTAAGCAGTCTGTTAGTAACATTGAACTACCTCATTGAAACATGGAGCTCCTGATTGACTCATGATTTGAATAAGCTAGGAATGAGAAAACCTTGGAATCTCTAAAAAATACTATATTTTAACATTAAATACTTTTTTTCAGACTGCAATTACATGCCTGTCTACTGTTCTATCAATTGATTTCAAACCTTCAGAAATAGAAGTTGGAGTAGTGACAGTTGAAAATCCTAAATTCAGGTGAGTGATATTGTGGGCCACATGCAGACTAGAAAGGTGGAGGCGTGTGAGTCCATGTGTCCTATAACTTGTGGGGGAAATCTTTTTTCTTTAACTGTCATTATAGTTTTTGTTTGTGTGTTTGTTTTTTTCCCCAGCACCTGAGATCTGTTTTTAAAACTTTGGACTCTATTTAAGAGTCAGATATGAAAGCTTTTCTCCTTATTTCAGAGTGATTTTATATCTAACACCAGAGATGACATAAAGTTACCTTCCTTATGTAAGGAAAAAAATTAGCATAAGTGTTTTCTTTTTTTTAGTTTAAGGCCAATACAAATTCAATTCCCAAAGTAGTAGTTTGCAAGTTTTTCAGATAGAACTTTGGTTATTTAGTGGTTATTTAAGTAGAACTTTGAGGAGCAATATGAGTTACTGATATATGTCAGACCCTTATCTAGAGATCTTTGGAAAGCCCAAATTTTGAATACAGCTAATTGACTTGCAGTTGCTGGATGTGTGTGTGTGTGTGTGTGTGTGTGTGTGTGTGTGTTCTTACTCACTAAGTGACTAACTCCCACACATCAGCCTTATAGCTTCCATGATTCAAATCCATACTGAGTGCTTCGTATAATCAGCTCATTTAATCCTCCCAGCAGCCCTGTGAGGCAGTTGATATACCATGGACCAGGATGCTCTTATCTTTAATGAAAATACTGCAGTTAAATCGACAGATACAAGGAACTACTGGGAGGCATTTTAACTATTATGTGTATCTATTCTTAGATCACAACCATAAAGACACATGGTCTTGGTTGTGGTGTGGGGTACGGGAGTGGTAAACTAAGCTTAACTAGACCTTGAAGAGGTTTTTCGTTTGTTCTTTTTTTTCCTAATTTGTTCTTTTGGTTGCCCACAGATAAGTCATATAAACATGACAGATTCAGAAAAATTCATAGGACTTTAAAAAAAAAAAAACAGCTGGGTGCTGTGGCATGCATCTGTAGTCTCAGCTCCTCAGGAGGCTGAGGCAAGAGGATGGCTTGAGCCTTGGAGTTGAAAGCTGTAGTGCGCAATGATAGTGCCTGTGAATAGCCACTGCACTCTAGCCTGGGTAACATAGTGAGACCTCATCTGTTAAAAAAACAACCGACAACACCAAAAGCGAATCTATCCTAGCTTTTCTTCCCGTAGGAAGAAGTCTTGTAACTTGGGTTGGGGTAGGGGTGAGGGGTGGGGGCAGGGATCAAGTTGCTTTTGAAAAAGGTGCCTTTTTTTTTTTTAAGTAAAAATTTCAGCAAGAATAATCTTAAAATCTCTCTAAGGAACCTACAATTAGTTCTTGTTTTCTTTTCTGTTTGGAGACCTTCCTGCCACCTTTAAAATTGTATTTGTTATTTTTTAAATTGGTAAGGAATCAAAAATCTTGTCTTCAAAAAACTTTGTATCATTTATAAATTCTGTGATAGTAAATATATGTAAATAATTACAGTACATAGCATAAGCATCAACAACTATTTAAACTGCTTGATATTGCCTTCAGTTGCACTAAAAAATGTCCTTTTGACAAATTTCACTTTTTAGAAGTCTAGTAGTAATAGGTCACATTAACAAGGTTGCCAAACAATTGCTTCCTTTCGAGGCAAACATCATTTAGAAAATACATGTTCAGGGCCACACATGGTGGCTCACACCTGTAATCCCAGCACTTTGGGAGGCCAAAGTGGACAGATCACTTGAGGTCAGGAGTTTGAGACCAGCCTGGCCAACATGGTGAAACCCCATCTCTACTAAAAATACAAAAATTAGCCAGATGTGGTGGTGGACGCCTGTAATCCCAGCTGCTTGGGAGGCTGAGGCAGGAGAATTGCTTGAGCCTGGGAGGCGGAGGTTGCAGTGAGCCAAGATTGTGCCACTGCACTCCAGCCTGGGCGACAGGGTCAGACTCCATCTCAAAAAAAAAAAAAAAAAAGAGAAAGGAAATATATGTTCAACATGGAGCACTCTCTGGCTGGTAGACTATTCATAGAATTATAACTTTATTTTCATGAACTTCTGAATCTGAACACTTTAATATGCTTAAAATTTCTTCATGAATTTTTATCTTTGAGCTGACATAAATTTCAGTTATACTACATATAAATGTATTTTGACGGCTGGGCAAGGTGGCTCACGCCTGTAATCCCAGCACTTTGGGAGGCTGAGGCAGGCGGGTCACGAGGTCAGGAGTTCCAGACCAGCCTGTCCAATATGGTGAAACCCCATCTCTACTAAAAATAGAAAAATTAGCTGGGCATAGTGGCACATGCCTGTAGTCCCAGCTACTCAGGAGGCTGAGGCAGAAGAATCGTTTGAACCTGGGAGGCAGAGCTTGCAGTGAGCCGAGATCACGCCACTGCACTCCAGCCTGGGTGACAGAGCAAGACTCTGTCTCAAAAAAAATAAAAAATAAATGCATTTTGACATAGAAGCTAAATAGAATACTTTATAGTTTAGCTTTATTTATGTTATTCAATTGAAATATTTTCTATCTTAGCTGCAACTAAAGAATTTTATTTTCAAGATACAATTCTAAATCTGATGTCAAAGTAAACATTTTTGTGTATAGGTGAAGGTGGTATAATATCTGGGAATTCCTTCAAAATAATCTGAGGGAAGATAAGTGTGTGTATAGATTTTTTAAAGATTGGTTTATAAATTGATAATTGTTAAAGTAGGTTGATAGGTATATGGGAGTTTATTATACTATCCCACTTTTACGTGTGTTTGAAAAAATTTTTTTTAAATCGTTGTTTTTTTCCCCCTTTTGCCTTCTAGGATTCTTACAGAAGCAGAGATTGATGCTCACCTTGTTGCTCTAGCAGAGAGAGACTAAACATTGTCGTTAGTTTACCAGATCCGTGATGCCACTTACCTGTGTGTTTGGTAACAACAAACCAACATCATGGAGGTCCCTGGATTGAAAAAGGAGCCTCTCCCACTCCTCCTACCACCGAAGTGGTTAGGACTCTATATAAATAAAAACAAGGCTTTTGGAAAATAATTGCATCCTGTTGTTTTCACCTCCTATTTTAAAATTTATTTTTGACACCTAATGTACATATTTATGGGGTGCAATGTGATGTTTCGATACATGTATACATTATAATGATCAAATTAGGGTGATTAGCATATCCATCACCTGAAACACGGTGTTTTTGTGGTGAGAACATTTAAAATCCTCTCCTCTAGCTATTTTGAGGTACACAATACCTTATTAGTTTTTTGTTTTTTAAAACAAGATCTTGCTCTATTGCCCAAGCTAGAGTGCAGTGCCATGATTATGGCTCACTGCAGCCTTGAACTCCCTTGTTAAGTAATCCTCTCACCTCAGCCTCCTTAGTAGCTGGTACTACAGGTGTACACCATTGTACCCAGCTAATTTTATTATTTTTTTGTAGAGTTGGGGTCTTACTATGTTGCGTGGGCTGGTCTCAGACTCCTGGCTAGCATTAAGCGATCCTTCTGCCTCAGTCTCCCAACATGCTGGGGTTACAGGCATGAGCCACAGTGCCTGGGTCCACAGTACCTTACTGTTGACTGTAGTCACTCTGCTGTGCAATAGGATACCAAATCTTACTCCTTTTTTCTCTTTTTTGAGACAGGTACTTGATCTCACCCAGGCTGGAGTGCAGTGGCAGGCGTGCTCATAGCTCACTGCAACCTTAAATACCTGGGGTTAAGCAGTCCTCCCACCTTAGCCTCCCAAGTAGCTAAGACTACAGACATGCATCACCAGGCCTGGCTAATTTTTTATCTTTTAAAATATTGACATAGGGGTCTCCCTATGTCACCCAGGCTAGTCTTAAACTCCTGGCCTCGAACAGTCCTATCTCAGGCTCCCAAAGTGCTGGGATTACAGGTGTAAGTCACTGCACTGGGCCCCTCCTGTCTAATTGTAACTTTTTAGCTGTTCACCACCTTCTCCCCATCCCTCCCACTACCACCTCCAGTCCCTGGTAACCACTGTTCTATGTACTATTCACTACTTATAGATCAACGTTTTTAGACTTGGCATGTAAGTGAAAATGTGGCATTTGTCTTTCTGTATCTGGCTTATTTTCACTTAATGTATTGTCCTCTAGGTTCATTCATGTTATAAATAACAGGATTTCATTCTTTTTAATAGCTGAATAGTGTTCCTTTGTGTATATATATCACATTTTCTTTATCCATTCATTCACTTTGAACACTTAAGTCAGTTATATCTTGGCTATTGTGTATAGTCCTGCAATAAACATGGGATTGCAGATACCTCTTCAACATACGGATTTCACTTCCTTTGAATACATACCAAGGAGTGCAGTTGTTGGGTCATAGAGTAATTCTGTTTAATTTTTTTAGGAACGTTCATACTGTTTTCCATAATGGCTGTACTCATGTACATTTCCCTTAATTGTAAGGGTTCCCTTTTCTCTGCATCCTCAACACTTCTTATGTTTTGTCTTTTTGATAATAGTTATTCTAACTAGTGAGGTGATGTCTCATTGTGGTTTGCCTCCAATTTTAAGTATTAAGCCTTTGGTATATGCAGACAAATATTCACCATCTTCACATTGTAGCTTTAGTCATTTTGTTGACACTGGTACAAGTTTACTTGGCTTAAGACATTTCATAGCCAGCACCAGGCGTGCTGGCTCACACCTGTAACCCCAACACTTCGGGAGGCTTAGCCGGGCAGATCACTTGAGCTCAGGAGTTCAAGACCAGCCTGGGCAACAAGGTGAAACCCTGTCTCTACCAAAAATATAAAAACTTAGCATGCACATCTGTGGTCCCAGCTACTTAGGACACTGAGGAGGGAGAATTGCTTGAGCTCGGGGGATAGAGGTTGCAGTAAGCAGAGATTGTGCCACTGCACTCCAGCCTGGGTGACAGAAATGCCATCTTAAAAAAAAAAAAAAAAGCCAGAAATGTAAACTAGCTATATGGTATAATTAAATAACAAACTACAACTTTGGTTTTGAAACCCACTCTGGCCGGGCGCTGTGGCTCACACCTATAATCCCAGCACTTTGGGAGGCTGAAGTGAGAGGATTGCTTGAGGCCGGGAGTTTGTGATGAGCCTGGACTACATAGCAAGACCTCGTCTCTACAAAAAATTTTTAATTAGCTGGGCATGGTAGCCTGCACCTGTAGTCCCAGCTACTCAGGAGGCTAAGGCAAGAGGATCACTTGAGCCCAGGAGTCTGATGCTGCAGTGAGTTGTGATTGTGCCACTGCACTTAAGCTTGGGTGACAGAGTAAGACCCGGTCTCCAAAAAGAAATCCACCCTGACCGTAAGTTGGCATGTGAGGAAAGGCCTTTATTTTACAATTTCTCATTCAAACAAGATACTACTGAATGTGGACTCCAAGTCCCACTGAATGCTTTAACTATAATAAAAGGATTAGTATGATCTTCCATAGTTTTGAGAAAAGCATTTATACTCATTAAGAACCAGTATTTTCAAGGGTAGAAATTTTAGTTACCTTCAGGAAACAGGGCTAGAAAAGTCATAGAATGTGTGTAGTTTCTGTGCCTCCTTAATAATAAGTACTTGAAGATAACATTAAGGAATTGGTTTATATTAAAGTTTAGAGACCCAGCATCACAATGTTCAGGAAGAAAGAACAAACTGTATATTCATGGTAACTTTTTTTTTTTTTTGAGACAGAGTCTTGCTCTATCGTCCAGGCTAGAGTGCAGTGGCGTGATCTTGGCTCACTGCAACTTCCACCTCCCGGGATCAAGTGACTCTACTGCCTCAGCCTCCTGAGTAGCTGGGATTACAGGCACCTGGCACCATGCCCGGCTAATTATTATTATTATTATTATTATTTTTGTATTTTTAGTAGAGACGGGGTTTCACCATGTTGGCCAGGCTGGTCTCGAACTCCTGACCTCGTGATCCACCTGGCTCGGCCTCCCAAAGTGCTGGGATTACAGCTGTAAGCCACCGCACTCAGCTGTAGCCTATGTTTTTTTTAATGTACAGGATTTTTTAAAGTCCCTAGACTGGTGACCTGAACCACTAATTAGAGATGATTAAAAAATCTTGGAAAGTCTAAGGGTAATACATTTTGTGTCCTCTTTTGCACAGAGGAAGTCTGGTGCTGTTGACCTCATGCAGGTGAGTGTGGCTGCTGGTCTCATGCCAGTCCCTGAAATTAGAGTTGCCCCTGTTTCTGCAGCCACCAGGGCCACACAAGGGGAGGCCACATAAACATATGACCAGTAGAAGCAGGAAACTTCACCAACCACATCCTCTTCAGAGCTGTCAGGAATAGTAAAATTTCCTAACAAGGAAGCAGGGTTCTTCCTTGTTCTTCCAGGTTGTTCTAGGATTACCCATCCTAATCCACTAGGCTCTTTGAAAGTGCTGCCATCGTTTCGAAAGTGGGGTCTATGTAAAAGGGCTAATCCTCTAAAGACAAGCTGAATTTCCACACCCTTAGAGCCTTGACTGATGTCACCCTCCTAGAATCAGTGGATGAGAGACTAGCAACTAATTCAGTTTTACTGTTAGGGGCTCCTTTTCAGAGGTGAAAAACTAAAATTCTGTAATTTGTTAGAAAGTAAGTTTTTACATTATAAGGCAAAATCTAGATGAATTAGGATTAAATATAGAATAGTTTTAAATATTGGTTGTTTATGCTTAATTAAAAGAATGAGAAGAAATAGATCATTTTAAATAGGTGAACATTAGGCTGGGTACAGTAGCTCATGCCTATAGTCCCCAATACACTGGGAGCCCAAGACCAGTGTGGCAACATTTTGTCTCTACAGAAAAATTTAAAATTAGGTCAATTGTGGTGGTGCACACACACCTGGAGTCCTAGCTACTTGGGAGGCTTAAGTGGGAGGGTCACTTGAGCCCAGGAATTCAAGGCTGTAGTAAACTATGATCACAACACTGTACTCCAGGCTGGGTGGCAAAGCAAGACCCTTTCTCTAATAATGAAAATAAAAGGGTGGACATTAAATACTCTAATTCTGGCTGGGCGCAGTGGCTCATGCCTGTAATCCCAGCACTTTGGGAGGCTGAGGCAGGCAGATCACCTGAGATCGGGAGTTCAAAAGCAGCCTGACCAACATGGCGAAACCCTGTCTATACTAAAAAAAAATTAGCCGGGCATGGTGGCACATGCCTGTAATCCCAGCTACTCGGGAGGCTGAGGCAGGAGAATCGCTTGAACCTGGGAGGTGGAGGTTGCAGTGAGCCAAGATCATGCCATTGCACCCCAGCCTGGGCAACAAGAGTGAAACTCTGTCTCAATCAATCTGTTTCTTGTTTTGTTTTCTAAACAAACTACCTGGAATGGATAACAAAGGGTTAATGCAGAAAGGTTATACAAAATGCCAAGAAAAATGCCTGAAATCTTTAAATATCTTTACTCAAAGAACATTTTGATTAGTAAGAAATACACATACCAGGCACAGTGGCTCACGCCTGTAATCCCAGCACTTTGGGAGGCCCAGGCAGGCGGATCACTTCAGGTCAGGAGTTCAAGACCAGCCTGGCCAACATGGCGAAACCCAGTATCTACAAAAATACAAAAATTAGCCAGATGTGGTGGCGTGCACCTGTAATTCCAGCTACTCAGGAGGCTGCGGCAGGAGAATCACTTGAACCCGGGAGGCCAAGGTTGCAGTGAGCTGAGATCGGACCACTGTACTCCAGCCTGGGCAACAGAGTGAGACTCCATCTAAAAATCAATCAATAAATATAAGAATACAGATATGAGGCCAAACACAGTGGCTTATGCCTGTAATCCTGGCACTGGGAGGCCAAGGGGGGTGGATCACTTGAGGTCAGAAGCTCGAGACCAGCCTGGCCAACTTGGTAAAACCCCATCTCTACTAAAAAATACAAAAATTAGCTGGGCATGGGGGCGCACACCTGTAGTCCCAGCTACTTAGGGGGCTGAGGCAGGAGAATCGTTTGAACCCGGGAGGCAGAGGTTGCAGTGAGCCGAGATCCCGCCACTGCACTTCAGCCTAGGCAAGAGAGCTAGACTGTCTCAAAAAAAAATACAGATATGATTTTTTAAATATGAGAAATATAATAATTCTGACACTCAGAGGATATGTCCAGACATTCATGAACGTGAAGCTATTTGGGTAGACATGAGGCTTTCCTTCTCTTGATACCTCATTTTTCATAAGCAGTTACTGTACCATTTAGGTTACAAGTCAGCAACAAACCAGGTACTCAGCTCCCTCACTAGCCTCCAAATCCAAGATCCAGATTTGTGACACAACCAAATTATTACATTAAGGATCTTCACGTAGGGGCACACACCTGTAGTCTAGCTACTCAGGAGGCTGAGGTGAGAGGATCACTTGAGCCCAAGAGGTCGAGGCTATAGTAAGCTGTGGTCACGCCACTGCACTCCAGTCTGGGGGACAGAATGAGACACCTGTCTCAAAAAAACAAACAAAAATCTAAAATGACAGCTAAGCTAATTAACATCATAATGGTGAATTAGTTTAAATTTTTTTATTTTTATTTATTTTTATTCTTTGAGACGGAGTCTCCTTCTGTCACCCAGGTTGGAGTGGAGGGGCACGATCTCGGCTCGCTGCAACCTCCGCTCCCAGGTTCAAGTGATTCTCTTGCCTCAGCCTCCTGAGTAGCTGGGATTACAGGCGCGTGCCACCACGCCCAGCTAATTTTTGTATTTTTAATAGAGACGAGGTTTCACCATGTTGGTCAGGCTGGTCTCCAACTCCTAACCTCGTGATCCACCTGCCTCGGCCTCCCAAAGTTCTGGGATTACAGGCGTGAGCCACCACGCCAAGCCTGTTTTATTTTTGTAGAGGCAGGGTCTCGCCATGTTGCCCAGACTGGTGTCCAACTCCTGGGCTCAAGCCATCCTCCTGCCTCAGCTTCCCAGTGTTGGAATTACAGGCGGGATTACAGCCACCATACCTGGCTCCAAGATGGCTTCTAACTCCATTTATTTTACATTCTGGAAATTCCAGCTGATACAATAAGAAATGAAATTAAGAGGTATTGGAATGGAGATAGAATTATAATCTACTATTTAGATTATTTACCTAAAAAAATAAGAAAGTGACCTAATAAAGTATTAGTCTTTATTGGGACAGGCCCTGTTTTAGATACAATATCCTTTAAACTGGTTTAAGTTGAACATTTATAATTTGCTTGTCTACAGTTCCAAAATTCAGGAAGTTCTTAAAACTCAACTGGCTTTTTATATCTCACTTTATTTCTGCAGAAATATGAATGTGCTTAATTATAGGGTGCTGCCCCAGACTCCAGTGGTAGAGTTATGGAATATATGGTTTAGACATCATATTACCACTCTAAAATCCAAAATACATTATATTCCGAACGCATCTGTGCCAGGCGTGGTGGCTCATGCTTATAATCCTCGCTGGGGAGGCCGAGGTGGGCAGATTGCCTGAGCTCAGGAGTTCGAGACCAGCTTGGGTAACATAGCAAAACCCCGTCTCTATTAAAAATACAAAAAAAAATTAGGCGTGGTGGCGCACGCCTGTAGTCCCAGGTACTCGGGAGGCTGAGGCACAAGAATCGCTTGAACCTGGGAGGCAGAGGTTGCAGTGAGCCAAGATTGCACCACTGCACTCCAGCCTGGGCCACAGAGTGAGACTCTGTTTAAAAAGAAAGAAAGAAAGAAAAGAACCTGGCCCCATGCCTTTTGGATAAAGAATAATAGACTTATACTATTATTATTCCCCTGTTGCGGGTAAAAACAAACAAACAAAAACGAAAACAAAAACTGAGTCCAAGTTAAGTAATTTGGCCAGGATCACACAACTACAATGTGTCAATGACAGGACTAGAACACACAATAGTCTGACTTCAAGATGCATCTTTGTCAGGATGTTAGACGAAATCTACAGTCACTTTTTCTCAGATTGCCCCCTTCCCAACCATCCCAAAAATGTATAAAAAGTAAATACCTTTCCTATATACCAGGAATAAATGTTTAGAAAATTATGTAAGTACAGCACAATAGCAACAAAAATATAGATAGGAATCGTTCTAACTGGAAATATTGACCCATGTGAAGGAAAGTAAAAAACTTGACTGCGAGACCTCCTGCTGCTAGATGGAAGTGCTGACTATTGTAAAGTCAGTTCTTTTCCAAACTAATGTGTAGACTTAAAGTCATTCTAGTCAAAATACTAAAAAAAAAAAAATGTGTTTTTAAAACTTAGAATTGCCAAGCAACAGACCTTAGCATATATAAGAATTTAATATATGATAAAATTAGCACCACGTATCAATGGGAAAATAATTCTAGGGAGAAAATAACTATGTAGGAAAAAATATTCTTTGTCTTACATCTTACAACAAAATAAAATCTAAGAGGCTTCACAAGGTAATTAAAAATATATATATATTTAAAAAGAGCTAGAAGAAGGAAAAAGAGACAGAAAATAAAATAGTTTAGTTGAAAAACAGATCTCCACATGGAGATCCACTTTCTAAAGAACAACAATGCACTTTGGGAGGCCGAGGTGGGCAGATCAGCTGAGAACAGGAGTTCGAGACCAGCCTTGAAACCCCGTCTCTACTAAAAATACAAAAAATTAGCCAGGCCTTATGGTGGACACCTGTAATCCCAGCTACTCAAAAGGCTGAGGGAGGAGAATCGCTTGAATCTGGGAGGAAGAGGTTGCAGTGAGCCAAGATTGCACCATTGCACTCCAATCTGGGTGACAACAGCAAAACTCCATCTCAAAAAATAAATAAATGATAAAAAATAAAATAACAATGGATAAAAATCATGAAGGGAAAACATCTATATATTTCACTACTTAAAAATGTAAAATTTTGTTAATAAGACCCCATAAACAAAGTTCAAATAGGAGAAAATATTAACACATAAATAGAAAAATATAACAACAACAGACAAGTCACGAAAATTTTCTAGTCTAAACCTAAAAACTCAATAATTTTAAAATGAAAATTACAAGATAACATATTTTCTATCAAATTACTAAGACTTTTACATTAATAGCACATAATATACTTGGTATATTGCAAGTGTTTCATAAGTATTTGTTGTATGAAGGAGTGATGAAGTATATTAAAAGTTAGCTACTCCAGGCCATGCTCAGTGGCTCACGCTTGTAATCCCAGCACTTTGGGAGGCCAAGGCGAGCAGATCACTAGATCAGGAGTTCAAGACCAGCCTGGCCAATATGATGAAATCCCCATCTCTACTAAAAAATAAAAAATAGCTGGGTGTGGTGGCATGTGCCTGTAGTCCCAGCTACTCAGGAGGCTGAGGTAGGAGAATTACTTGAACCCGGGAGGCGGAGTTTGCAGTGAGCTGAGATTGCGCTATTGCACTCCAGCCTGTGCCAGAGCAAGACTCCACCTCAAAAAAACAATTAAAGTTAGCTACTCCTTTTGCTGGTGGAAGTACAAACATCTTTCTGGAGGGCAACATGGAAATATGCATCGAGAACCAAAAAAAAAAAAAAAAGAAAGAAAGAAAAGTTACCCATTTGTAAGAATGTGTCTAAGAGAAGTAATTAGAGATGAGGAATTGTGTCAGAGTAATTTTTATATACAACAATATAATTTTATATACAATGATAAATTCCATTGCATTCAATACTGTGGAATATTATGCGGCCACTAAAACCTCTGTTTTGAAGAATATTTAATGATATGGAAAACATTTACAAATGTAATATTATGTTTAAAAAAATGGAATAAAATATGCAGTGTGATCCCTGCAGCAGACATTTTGGTACTCTGCCTTCCTCATTTCTGCCATACCATGGTGGATAGTCCTGACTCCTGCCAACGGCATCCCACCCAGAAAGTACTTTGTGCAGTTCTCTGCTTCCCTGCCTCAGGGCTTTCTCTGAAATCAGGAAAACCTGCTCAGGCTGTGCAAGCCTAATACAGCCTGAAACTTTGGGGTAAATAATGCCAACTGGAGCTGATGGATCAATGTCCCAGCTTCTTGTTGGGGGGCATTTCTGGGATGGGCTATAGATGTCCCTAGAACTCTGAAGCTGTATGCAAAATTTGGTGCATGTCCTAATTTCCTGGGAGAAGCCCATAGCTTTTATCAGATATTCAAATAAGTCTATTTGCCAATAAAGGAGAACCACTGGCATAAGGGAAACAGTAGAAGGAAGAGGATCGAATGGCAACAGTGGTTATTCTGGTGAAATTACAAGGGCATTTTTTCCCTTATATTCTTCTGCATTTTCCATATTTAAAATAAGAAACATGTATGAAGAAATTGAAAATACCCCAGATATACAGCAAAAGGAAACTGATTAAGAAATTACAGATCAATAAAATACTTTGCTGCCAAAATTGTTGTTTTTTTTTTTTTTTTTTTTTTGAGACAGAGTTTTGCTCTTGTCGCCCAGGCTGGAGTGCAATGGCGTGATCTCGGCTCACCACAACCTCTGCCTCCCGGGTTCAAGCGATTCTCCTGCCTCAGCCTCCCGAGTAGCTGGGATTACAGGCATGCGCCACCGTGCCCGGCTAATTTTGTATTTTTAGTAGAGATGGGGTTTCTCCATGTTGGTCAGGCTGGTCTTGAACTCCCGACCTGAGGTGATCCGCCTGCCTCGGCCTCCCAAAGTGCTGGGATTACAGGCGTGAGCCACTGCGCCCCACCACCAAAAATCTTTTAAAAGAATAAAATGATACTGAGTCTGGGTGTGGTGGCTCACACTTGTAATCCCAGCACTTTGGGAGGCCAAGGCAGGGAGAATCGCTTGAGACCAGGAGCTTGAGACCAGGAGTTTGAGACCAAGCTTGGGCAACATCTCTACAAAAAAACAAAAAATTAACCAGGCATGGTGGTGTGTGCCTGAGGGCTCAGTAACTTGGGAGGCTGAGGTGGGAGGATAGCATGACTCCAGGAGGTTGAGGCTGCACTGACCTATAATCACACCATTGCACTTCAGCCTGGGTGACAGAGTGAATCCCTGTCTCTAAAAAAACAAATAAAACGGCATCAAAAACATTTATGACACAATTGGGGGAAATCAGGATATAAGATTGTTTACAAAGTCTAAGATGTCAACAATGTAAACAAGGTGGGGGGAAAAGCTCCTGGAACTACTAAGCATTTATAGGACGGTTGCAAGATATAAAGGTAATATATAAAAGTTAATTGCTTTCCTATATAACAGCAATGAACAATTTGAATTTGAAATTAAAACACGACACCATTTACATTAGCACTAACAAAATAAAAGACTTAGGCATATATCAAAATATACACAGGATCTTTATGAGAAAAACTACAAAATTCTGATGAAAGAAATCAAAGATCTAAATAAATGGAGAGATACTCCATATTCATAGATAGGAAAACTCAATATTGTCAAGATGTTATTTCTTCCCAACTTGATCTATAGATTCAACAAATTCCAGTCAAAACTCAGCAAGTTATTTTGTGGATATTGACAAACTGATTCTAAAGTTTATCTAGAAGTGCCAAAAACCCAGAATAACCAACATGATAATGAAAACACTCAAGAAGAACAAAGTCCCCCCGGAAGACTGACACTATCTGACTATCAATACTTAATATAAAGCAACAGTAATCAAGACAACATGATATTGATGAAAGAAAAGACAAATAGATTAATAAAACAGAATAAAGATCCCAGAAATAGACCCACAAACATATAATCAACTGAACTTTGACAAAGGAACAATGGTAATTCAATGGAGAAAGAATCGTATTTTTGATAAATAGTGCTGTAACAATTGGACAGCCACATGGAAAAACATGAATCTAGACACAGGCCTTACACTTTTCACAAAAATTAACTCGAAGTGGATTATAGACTTAATGTAAAAGTTTCACATTATGAAACTTTCAGATAATAATACGAGAGGAAATGTAGGTGACTTGGGTTTGGCAATGAGTTTTCAGATACAATATCAGCAGCACAATCCATGAAAGAAAAAAATTGATGAATTGGACTTTAGTAAATT
Source organism: Homo sapiens (assembly GCF_000001405.40). Taxonomy (NCBI): domain Eukaryota; kingdom Metazoa; phylum Chordata; class Mammalia; order Primates; family Hominidae; genus Homo; species Homo sapiens. Next base: position 35,328,435 of record NC_000014.9, read on the forward strand.
AAAAACTTGTGCTCTGTGAAAAAAACATTAAGAGAATGAAAAGACGAGCTATAGATTGGGATAAAATATTTGCAAAACACATATATGATAACTGATATCCAAAATACACGAAGGATTCCTAAAATTCAACAATGAGAAAACAATTTAAAAATTGGCAAAGGATCTAAACAGACACCTCACCAAAGAAGATAAGCAGATGGAAATTAAGTATATGAAAAGATGCTCATTGGCTGGGTGCGGTGGCTCATGCCTGTATCCCAGCACTTTGGGAGGCTGAGGCAGGCAGATCACGAGGTCAAGAGATTGAGACCATCCTGGCCAACATGGTGAAAACCTGTCTCTACTAGAAATACAAAAATTAGCTGGGCGTGGTGGCATGTGCCTATAACCCTCACTACTGGGGAGGCTGAGGCACTAGAATCACTTGAATCTGGGAGGTGGAGTTTGCAGTGAGCCAAGATCGTGCCACTGCACTCCATCCTGGCAACAGAGCCAGACTCCGTCTCAAAAAAAAAAAAAGAAAAAATGCTAAACATCATAGGCCATCAGGAATTGCAAATTAAAACAACACTGAGATGCCACTACATATCTATTAGAATGGCGAATTTTTTTTTTTTGAGATGAGTCTTGCTCTGTTGCCCAGGCTGTAGTGCAGTGGCGGGATCTCAGCTCACTGCAACCTCCGCCTCCCAGGTTCAAGCGATTCTCCTGCCTCAGCCTCCTGAGTAGCTGGGATTACAGGTGTGAGCCACTGCACCCAGCTAACTTTTTGTATTTTTGGTAGAGACAGAGTTTCACTATGTTGGCTAGGCTCGTCTTGAACTCCTGACCTCAGGTAATCTGCCTGCCTAGGCCTCCCAAAGTGCTAGGATTAAAGGCGTAAGCCAACTCACCAGTCCAAAAAAAAAAAAAGTTTTTTTAATAACAGTACCAAATACTACTAGCAAGGGTGCAGAGCAGCAGTAACTGGTGGGAATGCGAAATGGTACAGCCACCTGGAAGACAGCTGAGCAGTTCTTACAAAGCTAAACACTATTAGTGTAAAATCCAGCTTATAGCCACACAAAAACCTCACAAACAAATGTTTATAAAGCAGCTTTCTTCATAATTGCAAAAAAACAGGCTGGGCAAGGTGGCTCATGCCTGTAATCCCAGCTCTTTGGGAGGCCGAGGCGGGTGGATCACTTCTGGCCAGGAGCTCGAGACTAGCCTGGCCAACATAGTGAAACCCCATCTCTACTAAAAATACAAAAATTTTTCGGGCATGGTGGCGCATGCCTATAATCCCAGCTACTCAGGAGGCTGAGGCAGGAGAATCACTTGAACCCGGGAGGTGGAAGTTGCAGTGAGCTGAGATCGCATCACTGCACTCCAGCCTGGGTGACAGAGTGAGACCTTGTCTCAAAACAAAACAAAACAGAATAATAATAACAATTGCCAAAAACCAGAAGCAAGCAAGATGACCTTCAATAGGTGAGTGGAAAACAAACTGTTGTGCATCTATACCATGAAATATTATTCGGCACTAAAATAAAATGAGCTATCAAGCCACAAAAAGACATGGAAAAATCTTAAGTGCATATTGCAGGTGAAAGAAGCCCATCTGAAAAGGTTACTTACTGTATGAATCCAACTATATGACTTTCTGGAAAAGTAAAAACTATAGAGACAGTAAAAAAAGAATGGTTGGTGGGGTGTGGTGGCTCACACCTGTAATCCCAGCACTTTGGGAGGCCAAGGCGAGCGGATCACCTGAGGTTGGGAGTTTGAGACCAGACTGACCAACATGGAGAAACCCCATCTCTACTAAAAATACAAAATTAGCTGGACATGGTGGCGCATGCCTGTAATCCCAGCTACTTGGGAGGCTGAGGCAGGAGAATCGCTTGAACCTGGGAGGCGGAGGTTGCAGTGAGCCGAGATTGCGCCACTGCACTCCAGCCTGGGCAACAAGAGCAAAAGTCCGTCTCAAGAAAAAAAAAAAAAAGATAACGGTTGCTGGGAGTTCAGAGTGGGGTGGGAAGAAATGGGAAGTGGAGAGGGATGAATAGGTGAAACACCAGTTCAGGGCAGTGAAACCTGGGTTTGGTATGGTAATCATGGATGCATGACATTTGCCTTTATCAAACCCCATAGAAATGTACAATACAAAAAGTAAGCCTTAATATAAAATATGGACTTTAATAATAATGTGTCAGTATTAGTTCATGAATTGTAACAAATGTGCCACACCAAAGCAAGATACTGATAATAGGGAAAGTTGATGTGGGGTGGTGAACTCTCCACACAATCTGCTCAGTTTGGATGGGCGCGGTGGCTCATGCCTGTAATCCCAGCACTTTGGGAGGCGGAGGCGGGAGGATCACTTGAGCCCAGGAGCTCCAGACTAGCGTGGGCAACACAGGGAGACCCTGTTTCTACAAAAAATTAAAATATTGGCCAGGCAAGGTGGTTCATGCCTGTAATCCCAGCACTCTGGGAGGCCGAGGTGGGCGGATCATGAGGTCAGGAGTTCAAGACCAGCCTGCCCAACATAATGAAACCCCGTCTCTACTAAAAACACAAAAAATGGACAGACGCAGTGGCTCACGCCTGTAATCCCAGCAATTTGGAAGGCCAAGGTGAACGGATCACGAGGTCAGGAGATCAAGACCAGCCTGGCCAACATGGTAAAACCCCATCTCTACTAAAATACAAAAAATTAGCCATGCATGGTGGCACGCACCTGTAATCCCAGCTACTTGGGAGGCTGAGGCAGGAGAATCACTTAAACCCAGGAGGCAAAGGTTGCAGTGAACTGAGACAGTGCCACTGCACTCCAGCCTGGTGACAGAGCAAGACTCTGTCTCAAAAAAAAAAAAAAAAAAAATTAGCCAGCCATGGTGGTGTACGTCTGTAGTCCCAGCTACTTGGGAGACTGAGGCAGGAGAATTGCTTGAATCCGGGAGACGGAGGTTGCGGTGAGCCGAGATCACGCCACTGCCCTCCAGCCTGGGCAACAGAGCGAGACTCCGTCTCAAAAAAAAAAATTAAAATATTAGCTGGGCCCGGTGGCACATGCCTGTAACCCCAGCTAATTGGGAGGCTGAGGTGGGAGAATTGCTTGAGCCCAGGAGTTCCAGGCTATAAAGTTCTAGGCCCTCAGCCCTGGTCTATCAAGTCCAAGTCTCGCAGGACACTGCTGTGGGCATGAGTCTTTCGAGAGTGTGGCCCAGTCAGGCCTGGAGTATGCTACTGCTTGGGAAGCACTGTGGGCAGCGGCTGCAGGTGACAAGATCACAGTCAAGTGTATTTGGGGCTCATCCGCCTGTGCTGCTCTCTTGGTCAGTGGGCAGCTTACTGGTGTGCTGAGTCAAATGCATTTTCAGAAGGTGACCTTGTGCCTTAGGCTTATGTCATCTGTGCCTTTGCTGACGTCATCCTCGACTCCAGCAGCCAGACCAGGGGATAACAAATGCAAATGTCTAACAGTAATTAACTCTTAGCAGCAACCTCAGCCTGGGGCTCCCCTTTCCAGGGCTTGTGGCAGCTCCACCGGGCCCTGCTGCAGCCCCTTGTCATTGAGAGGCCTCTCCCACATCCAGAGATACGAGGGGAATGTAGGGAAATGTGCATTTAGACGAAGGAAATGCATTGTCCCAAATGGCAAGTGGAGTGGCATAAACTTTGGTGAAGCTGCTGACACCCCTTTATCACAAGAAGATCGTTTGGATTAGGGGTGTGCTTTCCACAGAAATCAGGCTCTGGCCTTACTGCAGGGGGGTGACCTGTAAACCTCAGAGTTAACACAGTGGTTTAGGTTTCACCGAGTGCACTACGGTGATTAAGTCTCCACTGAGGACTGGAATGAGGAAGAAAAGGAGAAGCAGAAGAAGAACAGGAAAGACCTGTTCCCTGGGCAGAAGAGGGATGATCTGGGGAGAGCCCCAGCGAACAGCCCCAGAGTGCCGGGCCTAGCTGGGGTTTTCCAGGGATAGAGGCCGTGAGCAGCAGTGCGGATGTTGGCCGCGTCTAGCCGTCTGCTTAATAACTACCTCAGAGACCTGTTTGCCCCGCTCGGTAAAACTGGGGCCACGCTGCTTGGGCAGCCTCCAGGCGCCTGGCTGCCACTTTTTCTAGGAACTTATACAAGTCCTCATCAAGAGGGAGGGCAAAAAATTGTCGGTGAAGATGGCTGTGCTGGCATTTTGTAAGTGACAGTGGTCAAGCTCTAAGTTGTGGATGGACACGGCAGGGGGCAAAATCACCTCCTCTAAAAAACGGCCTAGCGATCCTAATGGATTGGCCGTAGAGACCCATCATTGCAGGGAGACCTGGGAAGGCCACCTGCTTCCCTGTGCCTCTGTGTCCTCAGCCACCTGAGAAAGTGTACTTCAAGAGGGAACCCAGGGAAGAAGGCTGTACAGGGTCCATGTTATTGCACCATCTCCTGTCAATTTAGGAGACATTTTCTTAATACTTCTTATTGATCAACGAATATTTTTGAGCCCCTCCTGTAAGTCAGACCCTGCTCCGGGGCACAGGGTGATGACCAAGACGGACTAAGTCTCCCCAGGGGCTAAGAATTTAGGCCCTTGCAGAGTATCTCCTCCAAGTTATTGAGCTGCCACTGAGATATCTGTGGCCACTTTGCATCCTGTCTGCATCCAGCAGGGTGGCAGTCCAGGCCTTTACAGAAGCAGACTGGGCATGAAGACATTTCTTGTGAAAAACCAGCTTCCAGGCCTCCTTCCTGGGAGGGACTCTGTGAGTGCCACGCCCAGGGCCCTGCAGCAGGTCGTGAGCAGATGCCTCTAATGATTCAAAGCTACCAACAATACTGTAAGAGGCCCCTTTCCTGCCAAAGACTACGTGGAGATCCCTTCTGGGTTTTTCTTTTTCTTTTTCTTTCTCTGTGAAGTGTACTTAAAAAAACAAAAGGTCATTGTAAAACAGGGTATTATGCTGTTTCTTCTAAAGCAGGAGGGGCTGCAGGTGCTCACAGCTGATTTCTCATTTCTGAAAAACCCTAGTTCCAGGCCTACCTTGAAGGGAGGGGCTCCTGGGAGGGAGATAAATAGTCGTATGAGGCCCTGTCCAGACACTGACACACCAGACAATCCAGCAACACTGCGGGTCGGAGGACCCTGCTGAACAGGTCGTAGCCAACAGCTCCAGGTGGCTGCATCCTAGCACCAAAGCCAGGAGACAAGAGCCCTGACTACAGGGGTGCGGAAAGGGGCACTCGCAGCCCCAGGCTTCCAGCCGCCAGAATCAAGTGCTGGGACTTCCAGCTTCCCCACAGTCAGAGCCTGACTGAATTCTCAGTCCACAGCTGAGTTATTTACAGCCTCAGTTTTTCTCTTCTGAAAAAAAGGGGTATAAACCACAGGATCCATCTCAAAGAAGTGCTATGAGGAAAAAATGACACAATGCATTTAAAGTGCAGAGAAGACACCAGCTACGCTGTGGCAGCAGAGTATGGCAGCGCCCTTCCAGAACGGCTCTCTAGTGCTGTTAAGTTTCCCCAGCATCCTGACCAGTCACTACCAAAATGTGATTTCCTGCGAACATTGTCACCCAAGCAGTGTGGTCAGGCAGGCAGAAGCCAGCCTGAAGTTTACAAATGTCTCTCTTCAGCCAGGGCAGAGCAGGTGAGGCCCTGCGTCACCCGCGCAAGGCTTGTGGTTCAGCCAGGGAGACAACGTCCTACTTCTTTCAGGGTGACCATGTTCTTCCTGGGCGCTCATTTCCTCGTGACACCCATAGGCGGCAGCTTTTCCCTATGGGGGTCCCTGGCCTTTAGGGCAAGTCCTGCCCTGTCTAGAGCCTTCTCCTCCTGGAGGAGCACACACGATGGCACCAAGCTGCTCTGACCCTGCCAGGAGCCAAAACAGCCTCTGGGAGCTCCAAGGGGCGCCCCGGGCTCAGGGTCATCTCCCACACCTTCCCTTCCCATCCCGAGGCCTGCAGAGCCCTCAAGGGCTCAGTGGCCCTGGCTCAGCTGGACCCCAGCACAGACAGGGAGGCCTCTGACCTGCACCCAGAGCCTGCCTCCCAGGGCTTCCTCACCCCAGTGTCCTAGGAGGGGGTGGCACAGATGGAGAGAGGCCAGAGGCTGCCACTCAGGAGTATGTGAGTCAAGGCTTGCTTGGGAGGTAGGGGCAGAGGTGGAGATGCCCAGGGGGCCAGGAGAAAGGGGAGGAGAGATTGGGAAATGAAGCCCTTCTGGGGCTGCCAGCTCCCCTCTACAGCTTTAGGCCATGCCAGGGGGCCCTGAAGTGAGTCAGCCCCTACAGAAAGCCCAGGCTTTCTGTAGAAAAGAGTTTCGCTTTTTTTTTTTTTGAGACAGAGTCTTGCTCTGTCACCCAGGCTGGAGTGCAGTGGCACGATCTCGGCTCACTGCAAGCTCCGCCTCCCGGGTTCACACCATTCTCCTGCCTCAGCCTCCTGAGTAACTGGGACTACAGGCGCCCGCCACCACGCCCGGCTAATTTTTTTGTATTTTTAGTAGAGACACAGGGTTTCACCGTGTTAGCCAGGATGGCCTCGATCTCCTGACCTCGTGATCCACCTGCCTTGGCCTCCCAAAGTGCTGGGATTACAGGTGTGAGCCACCACACCTGGCCAGAGTTTTGCTCTTGCCCAGACTGGCCAGGCTGGAGTGCAGTGGCGCCATCTCGGCTCACTACAACCTCTGCCTCCCGGGTTCAAGCAATTCTCCTGCCTTGGCCTCCTGAGTAGCTGGGACTACAGGCACGCGCCAGCACACCCAGCTAAGTTTTGTATTTTTTTTAGTAGAGATGGGGTTTCACCATGTTGGCCAGGATGGTCTCAATCTCTTGACCTCGTGATCTGCCCGCCTCAGCCTCCCAAAGTGCTAGGATTACAAGCGTGAGCCACCCGGCCCACTATTCCAGTTATTTTAAGATGTACATAAATTATTATGTTATCATACACTAGATTTTATTGAATCTACCATTTCACATTCTTATTGAGAGTGTAACCTCTTGAAGCCTACTGGTGCAGGAGGGATTTTGCAACCTTCCTTTGGCTTTTGTCACCTATGGAAAACTACAAACCAGCTTGCCTATCCGGTGATTGGAACCAGGAGGATTGCCGGCCTTGGGTCTGGAAATCCTATCCCATGTGTCTTCCTTCCTCCCTCCCTCCCTTCCTTGGTTCCTTCCTTCCCCTGACTAGGCCCCAGAGGGGTGGGGAGGCCTTCCTGGGCCTGGCATCAGGGCTCCTGGGCTCCCAGCCAAGTGTCCAGAGGTCACTCCTCCTGGCATCTGGATCCTTCTTATCTTCCTGAGACATAGGAGGCTCCTGCTCTGGAGATGACTGAAGGGAAAACACCTGTATTTCCAGGGCCTTGGAAATAGCCTGCTCCAGCCGGCCTTCCCGGGAGAAACTGAGAAAGGACATTGGTCCGAAGCATTTCTCTTTCGGTTTGTGCTGCGCTGAGCCTGTCCTGTGATGCGGCCCTCACCAACCAAGGACTGAACGAGAGGGACTCCATGCGAACCTGCTCAGCATACAGCAGGTGCCTCGTGGATATTCTTCCCTAAGGCTCCAGGCCAGCCAAGCACTGCATTAACCAGGTTCGGATGAACTTTAGAATGTACGCATCTGAGCTGTCATAGTTTTTTGTTTTCTTGTTTTTTTGAGATGGAGTTTCGCTCTTTCACCCAGGCTGGAGTGAAATGCCGCGATCTCAGCTCACTGCAACCTCTGCCTCCTGGGTTCAAGCCATTCTCCTGCCTCAGCCTCCCAAGTATCTGCGATTACAGGCTCCTGCCACCATGTCCAGCTAATTTTTTGTATTTTTAGTAGAGACAGGGTTTCACCATGTTGGCCAGGCTGGTCTTGAATTCCTGACCTCAGGTGATCCACCCACCTCGGCCTCCCAAAATGCTGGGATTACAGGCATGAACCACTCTACCTGACCCATAGTTCTTAAATTTAAAATCTTGATATGCTGGTGGATATGCAGCTTGATTTCTTTAAGCCGACATGGCCTGACTTTTTCAGATTCTCAGCCTGTGTTGGAGGGCTGTTGAGTGTTCTTTCTATGCAGAAAGTACGCCTGCCGTCCTCTGTTTTGTAATCGCCACCCCATCCCTGCCCAACACACACACCCACACAGCCGCAGTTACGCCGGGTCCAGCAACGCACGAACCAAGTGGAAGGTCAAGGGCTGGGGCTCCGTTTCCCTCCCCTTGAAGCTGTTTGGTTTGCTCTTGTCCCAGCCCCTGACTGAGCCGCCAGCCCAGAACGGGGGCAGCCCTCCCCCATGCAGTCAGGGCCAGAGGAGCATAATATTGCCCCCCCGGGTGCAGCCTTAGGTGCAGGAGCGTTGGGAATTTTCCATCTTGCTCTGCAGCCTGGCTTCTTAGGTCATCGTCCTGCTGCTGACATAGGCCTGGGTTGGGCGAGTTTCCTGCAGGTCAGCGAGGGCGCGGAGGCAGCGCCTGAGCCTGCTCAGGGCCTGGCTTCCTGCCTGCTGTGAGGAAGGGTGGAGGAGGGGTTCGAGGCCTCAACCATCCCTTGGCCCAGAGCCTCAGGCCAAGCAGCCTCCGCCTCTGCCCAGGCCTGTCTCCTCCCGGCCTCCTGCTCTCCTGTTTCCTAAAGCTTTCCCGCTGGGTGGCTCCCAGTTCTTCCAGAAATCCCCTCCAGGAAATTTGCTTGTTGCCACAAAATAATGCAAATCTGTTCCTGGGGCCGCCCAGGCAACCTGCAGTCTCTGTCTCCCCAAGACCTGAGGAGGGAGGGCGAGGCAGGCCCTGTGCCCGTCAGGGTCCCTTTTCCAGCCATGAGGACAAAGGATAAGCCGCACCCTCGTCACCCTCTCATAAGCTGCAAGAGAAAGTTCCTGGTTTTACCTCTAAGGGAACCAGCTCCACCTAGGGAAAGGCCACACAGGACCCTCAAAGGCACCAAGGTCTTTTTTCTATTTAATATCTAAAACAGTCTGAATATATTAAAGTTTATGCTCATGTTTGGCATTTGTTTATCTGTTTCTCGAACTTCAACTCCCTGCCGTGTCTGGAGCAGAAAGTGAAGGCCCATGGATAACACTTCTGCGTGCCACAGTCCTAGGTGGTGACCAATGCAGGGATGCACAGGTGCCGTGTGGCCTTCTGCAGGCCAGGCCCCACAGAGACCCACAGTCAAGGTGGCCTGAGACCCTTGAACAAGGAGCTTGTGGCCAGAGAAAGGCTAAATGCAGCACCCCCACCCCTGTGGCTAGTGCCAGGGCCCCACCTGAATGCTCTGCAGTTGGGTCCCCCCAGGCCATCTCCAGAGGAGAACGCAAGTGGGCTAGGGAGGGAACAGACCAGCCTGATGCAAAACCCTCTCAGCCCAGCACAGCCCTCGTGTCCCTGGGCTGAGGGTCTGGGGAGAACATCACTTGCTCTTGCCTCCCTTCCTTTCTTGCTGCTGCTGCCTCCTGAGGTCAGGCCGTGACTACTCAGGAGAGGAATGGAATTCCAGGGCTCCTGCTCCTAATGAAGGAGAGGTGGGAGGGGCACACACCAAGCTGCTACCAGGTACCAGGCCCTCGGAGGTGCTTGAACACTACCTCCTTGACTCTCAATAGCAATCCTATGAGGTGGATGTTTTCTTGCCCAACAGATGGGATTCTGAGACTCAGAGATATTGGTGACTTGCCCGAGGTCACACCAATGGTAGGTGGTGATTCAAAACCAGGTCTGTGTGCAGTTCAATGACCATGGAGTCTTGCCCTGTTGCACAGGGCTTCTTGTGTCATACACAGCCTTCGCTTTGTGAAATCCAGCACAGTTGACCCACATTCTCACCCAAATCCAAACTCCAAGTTTCAGAGCTTCTTTGCACCCATAAAAGGGGGGCTCAGAAGTCCCCTTGAGGCCTCAGAAAGGACATAGACCAAACAAAGGTTATGGCCTAATAAGAAGCAAATCAAAGTAACATTGCCTTATGATTTAAAAGTAGTATGTGGGCCAGGTGCAGTGGCTCATGCCTGTAATCCCAGCACTTTGGGAGGCTGAGGCAGGTGGATCACCTGAGGTCAGGAGTTTGAGACCAGCCTGGCCAATATGGCAAAACCTTGTCTCTGCTAAAAATGCAAAAATTAGCCGGGCGTGGTGGCTCGCACCTGTAATCCCAGCTACTCAGGAGGCTGAGGCAGGAGAATGGCGTGAACCCGGGAGGCAGAGGTTGCAGTGAGCTGAGATCGTGCCACTGCACTCCAGCCTGGGCGACAGAATAAGACTGTCTCAAAAAAATAAAAAATAAAAATAAAAAAACAGTAAATAAATAAAAGTAGTATTTGCCTCCTGGTGGATGGCATTATCCAACTAATTTATTCACTGTGGTTGGCTATGTGGGTCTTACAGGGAGGGTTTAGGGCTCTGGGGCTGGGCCTGTGGACCTGTCTCCCACCAGGCAGCGCAGCCCCTTCTAACCTTGTCCCATAGAAACTTTCATGGGATGCAAGGCCACAGGCCAGAGCTAGGATTGGGCTGGGCGGGGGAGGGGATTATCAAGGGTAAACCCCTGCCTCCCACAAAGGATACCGAGCTACAGCGCAGGTGCAGTTCGGCAAGTCCCGACACAGGCCTCATTGTACCCAGCCCCTCAGCGAGGGCCTTGGGACGGCCCCACAGATAGGGCACCTCCACCCCATCCCCGGGCTGCAGTTCAGGACCTAGGAGACAGAAGGCTGCGGGTGACTAAGACCCTTAATTGAGCCCTGCAAGCTTGCACGATGAGCCTGTCTACCCGCTAACAAGCACCTTGTGCCTCTGCTCGGTCGGCCTCTGACCCTGGAGAGGGTGTCTTGTTGAGGGCAATGTCCTTGACCTGCCTGAGCTCCTCCTTGGGCCCTGCATTTCATGCTGCCCTTCCTCAGCAACCAGGTGCGCACCCCTTCCTTGGCATCTGCAGCCTAATATTAATAGCTGTGGGATGGGCAAAGAACGTGTGCCTTACTGCCTCCAGGTTCTTAGCAGCTATAAGCTCTCTCTGTTGCCTGGTTGGTTTTAAGGGTTTCTTCTGGAATATTCATCTTTGTCCACTGACTGCATCGCCATAAGCTATAACTGCTTAGAGGCCAAGGACTTAGGCACAGGTGAAATGCATTTCAGCCTTGGAGACCCAGACCGACCCAAAGCGATCCTCATGTCTGCTCTGTTTAGGGTATTTTCCTGGTGGAAAGAATATGATTGCTGATTTGGGGAAGAGGGCCCTCAAGCCTCTAGCACTGCCTTTGCTTCAGCTGTGGGAGCACAGGGAGAGCAGGTGGGATACAGGGGAAGACCCCTTTTGAGGTTTTGTGGTGGGGAAGGAGGAGGCCGATACTCACCAGAGGAACAGATATGGGGTCTCTGGAGCTGCCATGCCCCACAGTGGGCCACCAGCTCCCAGCCTTCCCAGTGGTTCTGCACCAGCTTCCAGGGCTCTCAGCCCACCAGGCACCTGCATCACAGCATCGCCTGGGTCATAGCCTGAGTTTGAGAACCATCGCCCTGCATGGCCTGACCAGCCGAGGCTAGTGGCAGCTCTGTGCAACGTGTCTACTTCCTCTTCCCTAAACAGCTCCTTCCCCACCACATTTCTGTGTTTATGGCTAGAAATTCTGCAGCAGCTGCATTTCTCAGTATCCGGTGGATCTCTGCAGAAGAACAAACCTCTAGGTCTGAGGAGCAGCAGCCTCCTTCCAGGGGTCCCTCTCAGAGCCTGCCCCCCCCGCCAAAACCTCAGCAGGACCTTGCTCTGTGGGACTCTGGCCAGGTTGACAGCATAGGAAGACCCTAAGGAAGCCCCAGAAGCAGCTGCAGAGGCGGTGGGGAGGAGGTGCCACAGAAGGCTGGCATTTGCCCCTTGTGCTGTCCGGCTGCCTCCCACCACCACCCGGGTACAGGCCCTGGGTCTACTCCTCGGCACAGACTCAGGCCTCTCCCCTCGGGTGCCCACTGTACCTCATCGCAGTCACCCACTTCCTTCTGGTTCCCAGATCAGCCCCTCCTCAGCACCTCTGTGCCAGGTGGGCCTCCCCAGCCTGCATATTTGGATTTATCTTCAAAACCAGCCTCAGTTCCTTCATATTTCCAGGAATCCTTCCTGCCACCCTGACAGAGAATTTTTTTTTTTTTTTGAAATGGAGTCTGGTTCTGTTGCCCAGGCTGGAGTGCAGTGGGCGATCTCAGCTCATTGCAAGCTCCACCTCCCGGGTTCAAGCTATTCTCCTACCTCAGCCTCCTGAGTAGCTGGGATTACAGGCACCCACCATCACGCCTGGCTAATTTTTGCATTTTTAGTAAAGACGGGATTTCACCATGTTGGCCAGGATGGTCTCAAACTCCTGACCTCAAGTGATTCACCTGCCTCGGCCTCCCCAGGTGCTGGGAATACAGGCGTGAGCCACCGCGGCGGCCATGAAAAGGGCTTGGAGATTCCTTTCTGGAAATCTAAAATCCATGTGAATTATGTTAGGGCAGGTATGAAATTCAATAATTGGTCCTGCTCCAACGTACTCATTTGACAGGTCATTTGCCCTCACAGTCTGTATTTTTTCAGGTCAAATGCAGGTGCCACACTGACTTATGGCCTTGACTTCCGTAGACTCATTCCACTCAGGATGAAACGTGATTGGTTCCTGAGGTGACCCTGCCTCAGTGATAGAAGTGAGTCCTCAGGCAGGGAAGGGTGTGGAGGCAAACAGCCTGGGGAGGGAAGGACGCCTGGGTTTTCCCAGCCAGTGGCTCAGGGCACCCTGCAGACCTGCCAGTCCCCTCTGGGATGAGCCTTCATCCCTGTGACCCCTTCTCTGAGAAAGGGCACCCCAGGCCCAAAGCCTCCCCAGTGCACAGGGCTGGTTTCTGATGAGCTGCCCCCTGAGGCTGGCCTGGCAAAACCAGGTACTGACCTGCACAGGGCCTTGGCATGATTTGGAAAAAGGCAACTCATTGTCCAGATGGACACAGCCCGACCCCCACGCCTCAGCCCACACCTGCATGCTGTACACAGCAGCCCTGACCCCAGGAAAGTCCCTAAGATTTGTAGGAAAAAGGAAAGACACACAGTACATGCTCCACCAGGCTCCTTCTCCAGGGCCTCCCCAGCGCATCCCGTCTCTGCCTGGCTCCATCAGAACCCAGCTGGGTGAACCTTGGGCCCCTCATTCCCCTTGGTGAGACCCTGAATCCTGGAGGGGGCTGGACTTGTCCTTCATCCTGGGATTCTAGGTCAAGTTCTTAGCTCCTGGCTCCTCTTCAAGGCCCGGCTGGGTCTCCTCCTCCCACTCCGCCCCTCTGTCCCCTCCCACAGAGTTCACCACACAGGAGGCAAGGCCAGCGGGCTGGGAGGTACCAGTGGTGGCTGGCAGCTTAGAGTAATCAGCCCCGCCTGCTCCCACAGAGGCAAGGCTGCCTGCCAAGGCCCTGCCTTCTACTGCTGTTGGCAGCTCCTAGGGCAACAACAGAACCTCCCAGCCTCCCTTCACTGGGGGAGAAGCATGAGCTGAAAACAAAAGAAGGGATTAGAGCCCAGATGGAGCGGCCTGAGCTCGGGGCGGGGTCCCCAGGGGCACCCCCCTCGTCCTCGGCCCTTCAGCTCCTTGCCCTCGGCCGTCTCTGGGCGTCACCAGCCAGCAGCTGCCTTGCTGGCCAGCGGTTTCTGTTGCAGGAGCCTCTTGTGCTCGGGGGCTGGCCACAGGGCCTCCGCTGTCCCTCATAATGTGTTTCAAGTGATTTTGCTTTTGAGGAACCTGCCCGCCCAGGACTTCAAGGGCCTCTGCTGACCCATGCACGTCCCAAGGCCTCCGCCGCAGCCCCATTCGCCACACGGCCCCTGGCTCCTGCCCACTTATGGCTGGTCCTGGGCTCCCGTGGCCAAGGAGAGTTGGGCAGACGTTGGCAGATGTGTCTCCTTTGTCCCTGGAGTGATTCCAGGCTCGGCTGAAACTCTGAAAGGCGAGCCCAGCCAGAGGTGCCTCGGAGGCCCAAGTGTGCAGCCTGTCATTCCCCAGCAGTGACTCCACAGGCCTCCAGTGCACATCATCTCCTCATACGTCCCCCAAGGACCCTGGGCTACCGAGGGAACACTAGCTCATAGCTTGTGACTTCAGCACTGTATGGAAGAGAACAGGAGCAGACCCGTCTCACTGTTGGGGCAGCTGTGGACAGTCACGCGTCTATCTTGGTTCCAGCCAGGCTCTCAGCTTGCACAGCCAGGGTGCCAGAAACTGCCCGGGCCAGATTTTCAAACCCCTGAGGTAGGAGGAGCCACCATCATCCTGTTTCTCCTCTGGCCCTCACAACCTCCCCCTACTTCCAGCCTGAGAGTTCTGGTCCACTGGGGAATGTGACCTTTGAAAGTCTTGGCCCTGTGAGCATCTTAACCTCAGCAGCACGTTGTTTTGTTTTGTTCACATCATTTTCCCCCACCCAGCACAGGGCACGGCACATAGTAGGTGCTCAATAAACATTTGTTGGGCCAGGTGTGGTAGCTCATGCCTGTAATTCCATCACTGTAGGGGGCTAAGACAGGAGGATCTCTTGAGCCTAGAAGTTCAAGACCAGCCTGGCCAACATGCCGAAACCCTGTCTCTACTAAAAATACAAAACATTAGCTGGGCATGGTGGTGGGCGCCTATAATCTCAGCTACTCAGGAGGCTGAGGCAGAAGAATTGCTTGAACCCAGAAGGCGGCGGAGGTTGCAGTGAGCCAAGATCACGCCACTGCACTCCAGCCTGGGCGACACAGCGAGACTCTGCCTCAAAATAATAAAGTAAAATAAAGTAAAAAATAAATAAGGCCGGGCGCAGTGGCTCACTCCTGTAATCGCAGCACTTTGGGAGGCTGAGGCGGGCGGATCACGAGGTCAGGAGATCGAGATCATCCCGGCTAACATGATGAAACCCCATCTCTACTAAAAATACAAAAAAAAAAATTAGCCGGGCGTCGTGGTGGGCGCCTGTAGTCCTAGCTACTCGGGAGGCTGAGGCAGGAGAATGGCGTGAACCCGGGAGGCGGAGGTTGCAATGAGCCGAGATTGTGCCACTGCACTCCAGCCTGGGTGACTGAGCAAGACTCCGTCTAAAAAAATAAATAAAGAAAATAAAATAATAAATAAATAAACGTTTGCTGAATGAATTAAGTGCCAATGCGTTTTTGAGCCCATGGCCCAGCCCTATCCCATCAGCCAGAAGCAGGCTTGGATCACTTGGTCCTCAGGAGATTCATTTGAAAATAGCCACTTGATTCTAGAGAGGGTCTTCTTACTACTGAGGCTGCTGTAGGCAAGGGACTTGCCCTCTGTTTTTCTTAGAGGTCTGACTTTAACAAGGAGCAGTATGGGGCTCCCAGGTGTTGTATGTCATCCGCGGGACACTGGAAGGGGCTGCTGACCATTCAGCCCGCCTTCCTGCTGAGAAATATCCCATCTGCCCAGCACTGGTCTTGCGGTCAAGAATCAAGCTTCCCGTCGGCAGCCCCTCTCCTCTCTCCCAGCCTTTCTGTGTGCATGAATGGGAAGGGCAGCTACTTCCTTTATGGTTTGTCTGACTTCTCCCCGAGTTCCAGTTCAACTTGAACTTTGGCATTCAAGGCAAGACTGGAGAGAGCAAGGGAGTGCTGATCTAGAATGTTCTGTTCTAGGGCTGGTCTCAGGTGGTGAGAAGTTATCCACTGGGCATCCTGAAAATACACTAAGGGTTACAAACACATGTCTGAAGAATGTTCTGGCCAGGGTCTGCCCGTGTGCAAGAAGTCTCGGGGACTGGAAGGAAGGACCTCATCCCTCCCATTCTGGGGTACAGAATCTCCCCTGGAAACAGAACCAGAGGAGGCAGCATGCTGGGCTCTTGGTGCTGCCCTCTGTTCTGGTTCTGGGGCGATGCCCAGCCTGAGACACGGGTCCTGACCTTACAATGGACTCAACTCATCACCCCCATTGCCTCGGGAGGCAGGTGGCATCATCGAAATGCAGAAAGAAAAGATTTCCTATCGTGAACTTCCTCCCTGGGGCCAGACTTTCCTGTCACTGCCAGAGGGACTGGTTAACCCCCAACCAACCCAGGCTCCCACAAGATCCTACCAGTTTTCTCCTCGCCCCTCCATTAGATAAATCTTCCTTAGAACTCAAGTTGTGTCACATCATTCTCTTGTTCAAAACCCCAGTGCCCCAGTGAGCACAGTGCTGCCTCGTACGTAAAACCTCAACTCTTCAGTCTTACGTCAAAGCCTCTCCTTAGCTGGGCACGTTGACTCATGCCTGTAATCCCAGCACTTTGGGAGTCTGAGGCAGGAGGATCACTTGAGCCCAGGAGTTCAAGACCAGCCTGGCCAACATGGTGAAACCTCGTCTCTACTAAAAACACAAAAATTAGCCGGGCACGGTGGCATGCACGTGTAGTCCCAGGTACTCTGGAGGCTGAAGTGGGAGGATCACTTGAGCCTTGGGAGTTCCAGCCTGCAGTGAGCTGTGAATGTGCCACTGCACTCCAGCCTGGGTGACAAAGGCAGGCGACCCTGTCTAAAAAAAAAAAAAAGAAAGAAAAAAGAAAAAAGAAAAGCCTTTCCTGTGTAGCCCAAACCAAACTGTCTTTCCCGTCTTGTCATCAGCTCCCCTGTACATTGGCCAATTTGTCCTTCAATGTTTTGTTTGTCCATCCACTCATTCATCTGTATTTATCACAGATTGAGGCTGATAGGGATGAAAATCATCTTTCCTTTGGTGAAGCTGCAGGGACAAGGAACAAGGAGGTGACCCACATACCCCTTGATAGATGCTGACACAGGCAATGGCCTTGGACTTAAAACATTTGTAAGTATTTATTTTCTAAGATATTAGTTTTATTATATTGATGAACTTATAAAATAACATAGTTAAAAACTATTTTCAAAAATAAAATTATTTAAAATAATTATATGTGCATTAGAACAAATAAAATGTATTTATATTGTTATCTCAATATTTAAAAACAAAAAAGAAAAACATTATTCTTGGTACATATATTCCTGTGCTTGAATCATTTTTGTTTGTTTGTTTGTTTGTTTTTGAGATGGAGTCTTGCTCTTGTTGCCCAGGCCGGAGTGCAGTGGCGCAATCTTGTCTCACTGCAATCTCCTCCTCCCAGGTTCAAGCGATTCTCTTGCCTCAGCCTTCCCAGTAGCTAGGATTACAGAAGCCCGCCACCACACACAGCTAATTTTTGTATTTTTAGTAGAGACAGGGTTTTGCAATGTTGGCCAGCTGGTCTCGAACTCCTGACCTCAGGTAATCCACCTGCCTTGGCCCCCCAAAGTGCTGGGATTACAGGCGTGAGCCACCGCACCCGGCCTACTTGAATCACTTTCTTTCTTTCTTTTTTTCTTTTTTGAGATGACGTTTTGCTCTTGTTACCCAGGCTGGAGTGCAATAGCATGATCTCGGCTCACTGTAACCTCTGCCCACCGAGTTCAAGCAATTCTCCTGCCTCGGCCTCCCTAGTAGCTGGGATTACAGGCGCCGGCCACCATGCCCAGCTAATTTTTTGTATTTTTAGTAGAGATGGGGTTTCACCATGTTGGCCAGGCTGATCTTGAACTCCAGACCTCAGGTGATTCACCCGCCTTGGCCTCCCAAAGTGCTGGGATTATAGGCGTGAGCCACCTCGCCCGGCCTAATCACTTTCTTAACCATATCTGACTCTAAATACCATGGCACTGATATTTTTCTGAAAAATGCATTACTTTTAAACATAGATTTATTATTTTTAATTTTTTATAAAATTGCCTGCAATCCTCTTTAAAGTTGCATTTTAAAGTTAATGGATTTGACATTTTTGACACTTAAAGACTCTTCTCCATAGAACATAATCTGAAATGAGAATTTACCCTCTGTGTAAGTGCTAAGATATCTGATAAGAAGCTTGGAGAAAATTCTGCTAAATAGAGGATAGTCTCAATTCTAATTTTTAAATTAAATTAAATTTTTATTTTTTGAGACAGAGTCTTGCTCTGTCGCTCAGGCTGGAGTGCAGTGGCTTAATTTGGCTCACTGCAACCTCTGCCTCCTGGGTTCAAGAGATTCTCATGCCTCAGCCTCTGGAGTAGCTGGGATTGCAGGCACGTGCCACCATGCCTGGCTAATTTTTGTATTTTTGTAGAGATGTGGTTTCACCATGTTGGCCAGGCTGGTCTCGAACTCCTGACCTTAAGTGATCTGCCCGCCTTGGCTTCCCAAAGTGCTGGTATTACAGGAGTGAGCCACCATGCCCAGCCTCAATTCTAATTTTTTATATTGCAACTTATAAATCTTTCATGGGCTCTGAGTTTCTTGTTTTTATTTTATTTTTGTAGACACAGGGTTTCACTATGTTGCCTAGGCTGGTCTCAAACTCGTGGCCTCAAGCTAATCCTCCCACTTTAGCCTCCCAAAGCGCTGGGGTTCCAGGCATGAGCCACCTCGCCCAACATGCTCTGAGTTTCTAAAAGAACATTTAGCAGCTGGGAGGGGTGCAGCAGTGAGAGTGCGGGGCTTGGAGTCCAGCTTTGTTGGCTGTGTGGCCTTGGGCAGGGAGCTTCACCCCTCTGAGCTTTAGTCCCCTCCTCTGTTAGACAGGGTCGACTGCCCCCAGCCTGCTTGCATGATGAGGGTTTAAGGACAATGGACACAGCAGATCCCACACAGTCTTGATACTTACAGATTCTCAATGCCTCGGTGTTACTGTTGTTCCCACGTGCCAGCCTGAACTTAGCACCCACTGCTGGCTTCCTCCTCCCCTCTCTCGGAATGGACCCAATGGGCCCTGCCTCCGCAGAAGCCATAGAAAGCTTTTAGGTTTCACACAGTCAGTCACAATTCATGTGTCTGGGGTTTATCATGTGCGGGGCGCTGTCCTAAACACTTCACATGAATTAACAAATTTCATTCTCATAACAGCCTCTAGGATCAATATGATTATTGCTGGGTGTTCCAGATCTTGATGCCTAAGGATACCCAGGTAGTCAATGGTAGACCTGGGCTGTGCACCCAGGCAGGCTGGCCCCTCAGCCCACAGGCGTGACCAGAGGTCATCCCTCCTCTCCTCCAGCTTTGTGCCCTGGAGGAGCTGCTGTGTGCACTGCATGGACGCCACCCTTGCCCTCTGGCCGCCTTTTGGTCATGGCCAGTGAAGAGCCTAGTGGGAGATCAAAGGGAGGAGGGGGTGGGGAGTCTGCATTCATTCCCCTGCAGTCCTCCCCGCAGGGTCGCCCAGGCTGGGTTGGACCTAAAAGGAAGGTCACGGCCCCACTCAGGCAGCCTCTGTCCCACAGGGTTCTGGTGCGGGTTTCTGGTGCAGGTGCTGGTGCGCAGTGTTCCTCTTGCTCGCATCCGCCCCGCATTGCTGCACAATCCCTACTTCTACGCCCCTCGTGGTTTTGTAAATAGTGTCATTGTAAATGAGCCAGCCACTCCCCCATGCTGCCTCTCAGCTGCAGGCTGAGCAAAGCTTAGCTTGTCCTTGAGCCTTACCTGCTTACTGTGTAATGCCCAACCTCATTTTTACCAATCCTGTTTTTAGACTCTCCCTTTCCTTTAATCACCCAGCCTTGTTTCCACCTGAATTGACTCTCCCTTAGCTAAGAGAGCCAGACAGACTCCATCTTGGCTTTTTCACTGGCAGCCCCTTCCTCGAGGACTTAACTTGTGCAAGCTGACTCCCAGCACATCCAAGAATGCAATTAACTGATAAGATACTGTGGCGAGCAATATCCGCAATTCTCAGGAATTCGTCTGATTGATAATGCCCAAAGCCCCAAGTCTATCACCTTGTAATGGTCTTAACGCCCCTGCACCTGGAACTGTTTACTTTCCTGTAACCATTTATCCTTTTAACTTCTTGCCTACTTTATTTCTGTAAAATTGTTTTAACTAGACCCCCCCTCCCTTTTCTAAACCAAAGTATAAAAGAAAATCTAGCCCCTTCTTCAGGCCGAGAGAATTTTGAGTGTTAGCTGTCTCTTGGCCACCAACTAAATAAACGGACTCTTAATTCGTCTCAAAGTGTGGCGTTTTCTCTAACTCGCTCAGGTACAACAACTGCTTCTTGTATGTTTAATTTCATTTACTTATTTTTTGAAAATATTTCAATGTGTACAAAAGGATATGCAGTGAAAAGCCTCTTTCCCTCTCTCAACCATCCAGTTCTCCCCACAGGCAACTGTCAAAATAGTTTTTGGTGGGTTTTTAAAAATTGTGGTTAAATGTATATAGCATAAAATTTACCATTTTAGCCATTTTTCTTTTTTCTTTTTTTTTAGACGGAGTTTCGCTCCTGATGCCCAGGCTGGAGTGCCATGGTGCAATCTCGCCTCACTGCATCCTCCGCCTCCTGGGTTCAAGCGATTCTCCTGCCTCAGCCTCCCAAGTAGCTGGGATTACAGGCATGTGCCACCATGCCTGGCTAATTTTGTAATTTTTTTTTTAGTAGAGACAGGGTTTCTCCATGTTGGTCAGGCTGGTCTCGAACTCCCGACCTCAGGTGATCTGCCTGCTTTGGCCTCCCAAAGTTCTGGGTCTACAGGCTTGAGCCACTGCACCGGCTTTTTTTTTTTTTTTTTTTTGAGATGGAGTCTCTGTCGCACAGGCTGGGGTGCAGTGGCATGATGTCGGCTCACTGCACCTTCCGCCTCCCAGGTTCAAGTTCTGTCTCAGCCTCCCAAGTAGCTGGGACTACAGGCGCCTGCCACCATGCCTGGCTAATTTTTTGTATTTTTAGTAGAGAGGGGGGTTCCACCTTGTTGGTCAGGCTGGTCTCTAAATCCTGACCTCAGGTGATCCACCCTCCTCGGCCTCCCAAAGTGCTGGGATTACAGGCGTGAGCCACTGCGCCCAGCCCATTTTAGCCATTTTTAAGTGTACAGTCCAGGGGCATTAAGTCTATTCGCATTGTGTGCAACCATCGCCAACATCCATGTCCAGAACTTTCTCATCTTCCCCAGTTGAGTCTACCCATTAAATAAACACTCTCTGAAATGGGTTTTTGTGAATCCTTCCAAAGGCATTTTATGCACATTCAAGCAAATACGTAAATATTCTTCCTTTAAAAAACATGCAAATTATTATTTAAAAAAATATTGGGGGGATGGGGGCCAGGCCTAGTGCCTGCTGCCTGTAATCCCAGCACTTTGGGAGGCTGAGGCAGAAGGATCACTTGAGCCCAGGAGTTCAAGACCTGCCTGGGCAACATAAGGAGAGCTCGTCTCTATAAAAAATTAAAAAATTAGCCAGGTGTAGTTCCAGCTACTTGGGAGGCTAAGATGGGAGGATAGCTTGAGCCCAGGAGGTCAAGGCTGCAGTGAGCCATGAACATGCCACTGCACTGCAGCTTTGGTGACAAAGGGAGACCTTGTCTCAAAAAAAAAGAAAATTCGAAGCAACCCTACCAACAAGAAAATTATTTTATTTAACTTGGATATCGTTTCACATCAATACATAATACAAATTCTCATCTTTCTGTTCAGCCTCCTCATCGTGTGGATACTCGTATGTATTTAGCCTTTTCCACATTGATGGAAAGTGAGGGCATTTGCAATGTTTTGCTATGCTGATAGCCCCACAGTCAATGTGGTTTACTTCTAACCTCCTGCTTCCTCTCCAGGCTCACGGCCCGCTCTCCTTGAGTTTCCTCCACTCAGCCTCCCTGCAAGGTAGACCCCCAGCCCATGACTTCAGGGCCTTGGGCCCTCAGGCTTTCCTGACCCTCTGCTGCCGGACTTGCTGTCTCCTCTCAGGAGACTCCCTGACCCTTCATTTCTGGCTCTGCAGGCGGCCCAGCACGTGTTTCCTTGGGGCCCTGCCTCCTGGGCTATTGGCCTGTTTTCCAGGTGTGACAAACCAGAGCAACACAGACAAGTGAAGAGGACACCAATTGCCCGTGTATCCTTGGGTGCGGTCAGAGGCTCCTGGGAGCACCCACAGGGCATCTGCAGGGGCAGGGCTGGTCTCTTGTCCATAGAGACGAGGAGTCCAGCACTAGGTTTCCAAGCTTTATTCCTTCAGAGCTGAATTTGCTGGCACCTACCCTGGGAGTCGAGGTTGCTGATAGCCTATTTATCTTTCCTTCCCCACATTATTCTGTTTTCCTCTCCAACAATGCAACCATCATCCTCACCTTCTAATTAAAAAAAGAATTACATTCCTTCTGGTAAGAGACAGAAAAAGAAGAATTACATTAAAAAGAGAGAGAAAATGGGCTGGGCGTGGTGGCTCATGCCTGTAATCCTAGCACTTTGGGAGGCCGAGTCAGGCAGATCATGAGGTCAGGAGTTCAAGACCATCCTGGCCAACATGGTGAAACCCCGTCTCTACTAAAAATACAAAAAAAAAAGAAAAAAAAGAAAAAAATTAGTTGGGCGTGGTGGCGGGCGCCTGTAATCCCATCTACTCGGGAGGCTGAGGCGGGAGAATCGCTTCAACCCGGGAGACGGAGGTTGCAGTGAGCTGAGATCAAGCCACTGCACACCAGCCTAGGCGACAGAGCAAGACTTTGTCTCAGAAAAAAATTAAAAATAAAAATAAATAAAGGGAGAAACTTGTAGAGAAAACCCCCATCTCCTCAAGAAATATTAGACTCAAGATTTATGCTAGATGAGGCAGGATCAATGACAATGAATAATGCTTTTCATGTAATACTAACAATAATTAATAGCCCATATGCTTTATTTTTTATTTTTATGTTTTTTGAGACGGAGCTTCACTCTCGTTGCCCAGGCTGGAGTGCAATGGCGCGATCTCAGCTCACTGCAACCTCCAACTCTTGGGTTCAAGAGATTCTCCTGCCTCAGCCTCCTGAGTAGCTGGGATTACAGGCATGTGCCACCATGCCCGGCTAATTTTGTAATTTTAGTAGAGATGGGGTTTCTCCATGTTGGTCAGGCTGGTCTCGAACTCCCGACCTCAGGTGATCCATCCGCCTCGGCCTCCCAAAGTGCTGGGATTACAGGCGTGAGCCATCGCGCCTGGCCACACATATGCTTTTTTTCTGGAGAGAGAAAAAAATCTTGCTCTGTCATCCAGGCTGGAGTTCAGTGGTGCGATCATAGCTCACTGCAGACTCAAACTCTGAGGCTCAAGCAATCCTCCTGCCTCAGTCTCTCAACTAGCTAGGACTACAAGTATGTGCCACCACACCCAGATAATTTTATTATTGTTTTTATTTTTTATAGGCATGAGGGTCTCACTTTGTTGTCCAGACTAATCTCAAACTCCTGGGCTCAAGTGATCCTCCTGCCTCAGCCTCCTGAAGTGTTGGGATTACAGGCTCATGCCACTGTGCCTGGCCAGCACATATAAATATGATCACGATGCCCATGGAGCTCGCCACCCTACAAAGTTGATACTGTTTTCTTCATCATTTTACTGAAGAAAGAGGCTCAGAGAAGCCAAGGGACCAGCCAGTCAGTGCCAGAAATGGGACTGGATCTGCCTCCTGACTCCAAAGCTTCACGAATGCATATACTTCAGAGATGTGTTTGGCCAGAGGCCCCTAAGACAAGCCTGCTGGTGGAGCTCCGAGATGCCACCGTGAAGAGAAGATTTACTGAATAGTTAGAGGAAGAACTAAGAACTGAAAAGTTCTTAGAGGAGTAAGGACTGAAGGCAGCAAGGTCCTGGGAGTAATCAGCACAGAGGCAAGGATGGGGCCAACACAACTAGGTCAGGCTGCAGAGTGAGCTCATGGGGGTTGCTGGAGGGGACAATTAGAAGTGGCTGGAGATAAAGAGGCAAGCTGTCCTGAGAGCTGGCCCTGCTCAGGAAAGAGAAAAGGGCACCTGCACCTCCACGTGCAGGTGGCTGGATCCACTGCAATCGCCAT
Source organism: Homo sapiens (assembly GCF_000001405.40). NCBI lineage: Eukaryota > Metazoa > Chordata > Mammalia > Primates > Hominidae > Homo > Homo sapiens. Next base: position 35,352,245 of record NC_000014.9, read on the forward strand.
TCCAGGAAATATGGGACCTCACAGAAGGAAACTAGTCCCAAGGAGTAAAAGACTTGGAGATGGAGCTTTGATTCTGTGGGAGGCAGTGCAAAGGAGGAACCAGGGAGTGCGGTTCCTTCCTCATGGGACAAACACACTGTGAGGAAGGAATTCAGCTGTGTCTGTAACCTAATGCCGAGTGCCTCCCCTACAGCTTCCTTCCTGTGCACACAGGGGTCTGAGGCCACTGGTGCCGGTGGGGACATTTTACACTCTCCAGCCTCCTGGCCCAAAGAAACCCAGAAAAGCAGGAATGGAGGCTGGGGGGCAATGCACTGGGCTGGGGAGGCCTCATCCACAGAGAAGAGCGCTCTCTGGAGAAAACCCTTTCCTCTCACTGGTTCCTTGAGAGTGAACTCACGAAAGTCTTTGGGAGGAAGCAGAAGCCTCAGAGGCCTTTTGAGGGACACTTTGAGGCCCCTCCCTTCCAGGCCTTTGTGGAGAGCACCAAGGACAAGCATAGCCTGGCTGTTAAACCCGTGGGCGCCTGCATGCTACGCACCTGACCGAGGGCCCAGATGTGCAGGCTCACCATCAGATGCCAAGGAGGAGAGCAGGGCCGGCCAGCACCCCGGCAATACCTTCCAGGGAAGCAGCACAGCAAGTGCACAGCCCTCTACGGCCCCAGGACTGCAGCCCCAGGCCCTGATGCCTGGCTGGGCTCTCCTCCCTGACATCCTTCCAGCTTTGGCCTCTCCCCTCCCCAGGAACCACATATACAGACACACACACTCTCACACATACACACACACTGACACACACACACTGACACATATGCGCACACTCATACACTCACACATACACACACACGTGCACACACATACACACACATGCACTCATACACACACTCACATACACTCTCAGACATGCTCACACATACATGCACTCACACACACTCACACATGCCCTCACACACAGACACAAAGACACACACACGTACATGTGCTTGCTCTTCTGGCCATTCCCTGCCTTAAGGAAGAGATATGAGAGTAGACAGAAAAGAAAAGGATAGAAAGAAACAAAGTCTTCTGGAACTCTGGGTTTCTGAATCCTGACTCCTTAGACGGGTGTAAAAGATGCAGAAACATATTTGGTAAGCTGCTTGATAAGAAATTGTGAGGTTTCCCAGAGAAAACTCTAGCGTTTTCTCTGCAACTAGAGAGTGGCCCTGAGCTTGGGAGGAGAGCAGAGCAGGGGTGTCATGAGAATGGGGCCCTGTCTCAGTTTCCTGGGAGGAGCCTGGTGAATGGCAAAAGTCTAGGTGAGAAATGGCCGTGTGGTGTGTCCAGGCAGACGGAGCTCTGTATCACTGCAGGCTGCAGAGAGAGTCCTGTATCTTCAGAAGTGAACGCACATGGACCACGTCTGTGGTCCCAGCAACTCCGGAGGCTGAGGCAGGAAGATCGCCTGAGCCCAGGAATTTGAGAACAGCCTGGCCAGCATAGCGAGACCCTGTCTCTAAAAAGATAAAAATACAAATAATTTCTTAACACTCGATACACATTTCTCAACCATAATTTAGAAATGCAAATTAAAACCACAGTGAGATACCATTTTTCACTGATCATAAAGGCAAAGGCTTACCATTTAATCAAGTCTGATGCTGGTGAGAGGGCAGGGAAGCAGCTTCTGTTGATGGCTGTTGACGGGAGTATGAGTTGGCACAGCCTCTTTGGAGAGCCATTTGGCAATATCTTTCCAAATTAAAGTACACATTTCCTTTGACCCTGCCATTCCAGTTCTACCCTGCAGGTACATCCCACATGTCCACAAGGATGTTTGTTCAAGTCACATTGTTTGTAATGGCAAAAAAAGAGAAACAACTCAAATGTCCATTAATAGGGGACTGGATAATAAGTAAGTACAGTCATCCCTCTATTCTTGGGGGACTGGTTCCTGGAAACCCCTGACCCCTAGCCCTGTAGACACCAACATCCATGATGCTCAAGTCTCTGATATAAAATGGTGTAATATTTGCATATAAACTATTCACAACCTCCCCCACACTTTAAATCACCTTTAGATTAATAAGATGTAAATGCTATGTAGATACTTGTTTATTGTATTATTGTTTTAATTTGTATTATTTGTTGTTGTATTGTTATTTGTGTGTGTGTGTGTGTGTGTGTGTGTCTGTGTGTGTGTTTTGAGACAGGGTCTTGCTGTGTTGCCTAGGCTGGTCTCAAAAGAATTTGAGTTTTGTTTTGTTTTGTTTGAGACGGAGTCTCGCTCTGTCACCCAGGCTGGAGTGCAGTGGTATGATCTTGGCTCACTGCAAGCTCCGCCTCCTGGGTTCAAGTGATTCTTCTGCCTCAGCCTCCCGAGTAGCTGGGACTACAGGCACTCACTACTGTGCCAGGCTAGTTTTTTTGTATTTTCAGTAGAGATGGGATTTCACCATGTTGGCCAGGCTGGTCTCAAGCCCCTGACCTCAGGTGATTAGCCCACCTCTGCCTCCCAAAGTGCTGGGATTACAGGCGTGAGCCACCGCGCCTGGCCTAAAGAATATTTTCTATCCTGCAGTTGATTGAATCCTTGGATGCAGAACCAGCAGGTACGGAGGGCCAACTGTCATGACACATTAGTGGAATATATGTGGCCATTTCAAATGAAATAGATCGCATAGGCTGAAATGGACAGATCTCTGAGAAACATTACTGTTTTTTTAAAGTGAGGCATAGAATACTATGTATAGTTGTTTTCCATTTGCATTTTTAAAAAAGAATCTATATAAAAATACATACATGTTTATGCACGAACTTTTTTTTTTTTTTAGACAAAGTCTCTCTCTGTTGCCCAGGCTGAAGTGCAGTGGCACAATCTTGGCTCGCTGCAACCTCTGCCTCCCAGGTTCAAGCAATTTTCCTGCCTCAGCCTCCTGAGTAGTTGGGATTATAGGCGCATGCCACCACACCCGGCTAAGTTTTTATGTTTTTGGTAGAGATGGGTTTCACCATTTTGGCCAGGCTAGTCTCGAACTCCTGACTTCAAGTGATCCACCTGCCTTGGCCTCCTAAAGTGCTGGGATTGCAGATGTGAGCCACTGCGCCCGGCATGCACAAGCATTTCTAAAAGATCTCAGAGGTTTAAAAATCTATACCTAGGCTGGGTGTGGTGGCTCATGACTGTAATCTGAAGCACTCTGGGAGGCTAAGGCAGGAGGAGTGCTTGAGCCTAGGAGTTCCAGACTAGCCTGGCAACAGAATGAGATCCTGTCTCTAAAAAAAATAACAGGCTGGGCGCGGTGGCTCACGCCTGTAATCTCAGCACTTTGGGAGGCCAAGATGGGCAAATCACTTGAGGTCAGGAGTTTGAGAACAGCCTGGCCAACATGGTGAAACCCCATCTGCAAAAAATACAAAAATAAGCCGGGTGTGGTGTGCGCACCTGTAGTCCCAGCTACTCGGGAGACTGAGACACAAGAATCGCTTGAACCCGGGAGGCAGAGGTTGCAGTGAGCCAAGATTGTGCCACTGCACTCCAGCCTGGGCGACAGAGCGAGACCCTGTCTCAAAAAAAAAAAAAATGGCCCAGCATGGTGGTACATGCCTGTAGTCCTAGCTACTTGAGAGGCTGAGGTGGGAGGATCATTTGAGCCCAGGAGTTGGAGGCTGCAAGGAACCAAGATCACACCACTGGCACTCCAGCGTGGGTGACAGAGCAAGACCCAGTCTCTAAAATCTGTATCTCTCTATTCTCACGGAGTGATGTGGTGCTATTTGAATGGGTTAGCATCTGTGGCTGTTCTATCTTTCTGGTGGCACAAAAGGGACAGGAATAAGCAGTAGCAGACACATAGTGGGAGGAAGGCACAGCAAGCCCTTCTGCAGGTCCAGAACCAGGGCTGGGGGCAGGTTTGTGAGGGTAATTGACACTTTCCATGTGGACAGCCTCAGATATCAGGGGCTGAGTCATAGCCACCCTAGAGGCTGTGACAAAAGTCCACAAGTTTTCAAAGACTGACGTATTCTAGAACAGTTTATCCTTAAGGAAGGAGCACTTGGGAGGCTCCAGGTGGGGCTGGGAGGGACCAAGAAGGAGGTGTCTGTAGGGAGAGGCAGAGAATCAGCCCTCTTGTCACTGGCTGTGTTGTTGTCACCCTGCCAGGTACCACAGAGATCATGACAATGACTCCAGATAGACCCACACTGCTCCGGAAATGGAAACTCCTATTTCTCAACAAAATCCACCTAAGCTCAAAGGTGAAATCAACAAAGAGTTTTAAAGATCATTTTAGATTATTATGAAGAAAGATGCAAATGATAGCACAAGACTGAAAAAGAAATTCAAAGCCCAGTAACGTATGAGTAATGAGGAAACTAAAATCACAAATTCAGAAAGAACCAATTCACGTTCAAACAAGGAGATCCCATTTTCCACTTATCAGATTAGCAAAAATGTTAAGAATTGCTACTATTCAGTGTTAGTGAGGGTGTGGGAAAACAGGCATTCTCAAGCTCCCCACATGTCATAGAGGAGTGAAAATCAGCCCAAACTTTTTGGAGAACAATTAGTCAGTAATAACATGTCAAATGTGGATTCACTCTGATTCAAAAATTCTATTTCTGGGAATCCACCCTCTGATGTTGTCACACAAGGCATATGCAAGGATGTTCGCCAAGGTGTTGATTATCTAGTAAAATGCTGGAAACAACTTAGCTATCAATTAGAGACTGGATAAATAACTTACAGTGTATCCACACTGTGGAACCCTTAAGAGACTGAGGTAGATTTATATACAGTGACATGGAAGATCTCTAAGACACATTGACAAGTGAAATTAACAAATCAAAATATGACACATTAGTATAATTATATATATATGTATATATATTATATGTATTTAAAGTCTCTCCCAAATGCTAAGTCTATATCATTCATAGAAACAGGTATGGAGTCTGGGTGCAGTGGCTCATGCTTGTAATTCCAACATTTTGGGAGGCTGAGGTGGGAGGATTGCTTGAGACCAGGAGTTCTAGACCAGGTAGGGCAATATAGCAAGACCCCATCTCTCTATTTCTAAAAAAATAAATCCATGAAACAATGTAAGAAGAAAAAACAGGTCTGGAAGGAGATACACACACAATGAAGAGTAGTTACCTCGAAGGGGAAAGGAGAATTGGAAGGAGGTGATAAAGGGGGATTATAAATTTTACTCCATATATTTCTGTGTTGGATTTTTAATTTTATCTTATTTATTTATTTTTCATTTCTTTGAGACAAGATCTGAGCTCTGTCACCCAGGCTGGAGTGTAGTGGCATGATCATGGCTCACTGCAGCCTCAACCTCCTGGGCTCAAGTGATCCTCCCACCTCAGCCCCCGAGTAGCTGGAAGTACAGGCGCACACCACTATGCCTGGCTATTTTTATTTTTTGTAGAGATGAAGTCTCACTATGTTGCCCAGGCTGGTCTCGAACTCCTAGGCTCAAGGGATCCACCTGCCTCAGCCTCCCAAAGTGTTGGGATTACAGGCGTGAGCCGCTGTGCCCAGTCTATCTTTGTTTTTAAACAATGAATGTGCATTCATGCATTACTTAGCGGCACTATGCACGGTCATGGTGTTCCGTGTCGACCCTAGCTTCATTAGTTACTAGGTGTGTAAGAAGTAAAGAAAAAAAATAAATAAACCTCAATGTGCCTTACTCTTTTTCTACAAAAATAGAGCTAATATAGGCTTGTTGTGAAGATTAAGTAAATTGATAGAAGCAAAATGCTTGAAATAAGTGTTTCAATTATTATGACTTGTGTAATTAAACATAAGCTGTCACAAATAGGCTGTGTCGGCTTGGATGAAGAATCCCACACTGGTAAGGCCAATGCTTACATGAGCACGAGCCTGAGAAGAGAGGGAAATGCTCGTTGTCCATGTCAGCATTAGGAGGAGATGCACATCCTCCTGGAGGGTAGGAAGCTAGGCTGGGAAGACACAGAGGAACCACTCTCCAGTCAGTACTGGGCTCTTCTGTGGGACATCATCACACTGATGTGAATTCACGTTGGGCGTTGCTGATGCTGTCGGCATCAGCAAATGAGGTGGTCGGCATCACTGACCACAGCAGGTGGAGACCATCGTCTCCAAGACACAGTTCTAGGAAGACACTGAGGTGCATGTGACTTTGGAGGGTGGACAAATGTGTTCAGGCCCCTCCTGTAGGTTCTGGTCCAGAGCCTCTACCACCCAGCACCAGGAAAGAGATGCTGGGAGCAAAGTCAGCCAGGCCGTGGACCAAAAGCACATAACTCGTGTGCTTTAGTGACCCATATAGACTGCTGTGTTCCATTAATAACAGATTCCAATGACAACCTTAAGGACATTTCTAGTCGTTTGTAAAATTTGATGACATTTTCTCTTTCCATTGATAGAAATTAAGCACTATGTTTTTTTTTTCCTCATCACAAACAAAATACTTCTGGAAAGAAAGTTCTTCAATAGGTGTGTAGCCCTCCCTGGAATAAGGATTTAGAAATACATGCAGAGTTGGAGTAAGAAAGATAAGCAACAGAAGGAGGCTAGAAGTGTCCATGTGATAATGAATTAGACTTGGAGGCATTGGTAAGAACTCATATTTAGCTTAATATAGACAAAAATGAGGCTGGGCAAGGTGGCTCTCACCTGAAATCCTATCACTTTGGGAGGCCGAGGTGGGCAGATCGCTTGAGCCCAGGAGTCCGAGACCAGCTTGGGCAACATGGTGAAACCCTGTCTGTACTGAAAATATAAAAACTAGCCAGGTTTGGTGGCACTGGACACAGCTACTCAGGAGGCTGAGGTGGGAGGATCGCTTGACTCCAATAGGTTGAGGCTGCAGTGAGCCAAGATTGTGCCACTGCACTCCAGTCTGGGTGACAGAGTGAGACCCTGTCTCAAAAATATACATGTATATGGACAAAAATGGCTACATATTGAAATATGTATAGTTATGTGTATACAAATGTTAGTAAATGCGTATGTATTTCTTTACTCCATCACCCAAAAGGCTGAGAAATGGCACCCTAGTAGAAATAAGCACATCTAGCACCCAGATCTTGGGTTAGCAATACCATTCTCCAAAGGCACCAGTCTCCTTTGAGAACTGGCTGATTCAAGGACTGGAGCAGAAAATACACAAGATGAGCCTGGGGTATCTTGTAGTGCCAGAAGGTAAGAAAAATTGCTCAACAAATAAAGACATTGATGCGGTATGTCAAAGGGGCACAGCAATAGAGTAAGAGACATATCTTCTGTGCAGAACAATTTATAAACAGAAATTCACGCTAAGTTCAGAAATGCTCAAAACAATGTCCTGGCATTTTCAGAATATATATACACACACATATATATAATATTACATTAAATATAATACAGTTTTATATATTACATATAATTTTATATTGTATTTAATATAATATACTGAGTACTATATTTTAACGTATTAAATATATAAATATACGTGTGATCTGGTTTGGCTCTGTCTCCCCACCCAAATCTCATGTTGAATTGTAATCCCCACGTGTCACAGAGGAGCCTGGTGGGAGGTGATTGGATCATGGGGGTGGATTTCCCCCTTGCTGTTCTCGTGATAGTGAGTTCTATCTGAAATCTGACGGTTTGAAAGTGCGTGGCGCTTCCCCCTTCTCTCTCTCTCTTTCTCCTGCCACCATGTGAAGAAGGTGCTTGATTCCCCTTCACCTTCCACCATGATTGTAAGTTTCCTGAGGCCTCCCAGTCATGCTTCTTGTTAAGCCTGAGAGTTAATTAAACCTCTTTTCTTCATAAATTACCCAGTCTCAGGTAGTTCTTCTTCTTCTTTTTTTTAGATGGAGTCGCATTCACTCTGTTGCCCAGGCTGGAGTGCTGTGGTGCGATCTTGGCTCACTGCAACCTCCACCTCCCAGGTTCAAGTGAGTCTCCTGCCTCAGCCTCCCGAGTAGCTGGGATTACAGGCATCTGCCACCATGCCCGGCTAACTTTTGTATTTTTAGTAGAGACGGGTTTCACCATGTTGGCCAGGCTGGTCTCGAACTCCTGTCCTCAGGTGATCTGCTCGCCTTGGCCTCCCAAAGTGCTGGGATTACAGGTGTGAGCCACCATGCCCAGCCTCAGGTAGTTCTTTATAGCAATGTGGGAATGGACTAATACAATGTGTTTGTGTGTGAATACACACACACACACACACACACACACACACACACACACACAGGTCTGTGAGGCTAAACACCTGATGGAAAAAATGTTCTCAGTTCCAGCTACTCAGGAGGCTGACATGTGAGGAACGCATGAGCCTTGGGGGCAGAAGTTGCAGTGAGCTGAGATCACCTCACTGCATTCCAGCCTGGACAACTGAGCGAGACCCTGTCTCAAAAAAAAAAAAAAAAAAAGAAAAAGAAAAAGAAAAAGAAAAACTGTTCTGTGACTGTTGCTGTGATGTTCTGTAGCACCACTTTAAAAAGTCTCCTAAGGACCAGTGAACCTGGATTCAAACTTGAACAGTGTCTATCCAGGACTCAGTCTCCATTGATGCCTAACGAAAACCCTCCCACAACTCATACATCCTATTCAAAGTTTCCCTTTCTATCACATAGCCACCCATATGACTACCTCAAGTGAGTGCAAGAAAGCCCCTTTGTACCTTTATATGAAGTGCAGGATTTTAAAAGGTCAAGCAGCACTCAGAAAATAGCTGCTTAAACAGCAAAACAGGGCCAGGCATGATGGCTCACACCTGTAATCCCAGCACTTTGCGAGGCTGAGCCAGGTGAATCACTTGAGGCCAGGAATTTAAGACCAGCCTGGGCAACATAGGGAGACCTCATCTCTATTTTAAAAAAAAAAACAAAAGGGTTTTTCAGGGAGATGCTTGGATTTTATCTGGAGAACCCAAAAGTCTAGATACCCACACACCTGGGCTAGTTTACTTCCAGCCCCGTTCCGGGAAAGGGGCTGAGCAAGAGACCTTCATGATTTGGTGGGAAGTTGAAGCGGGGCTGGGACCAGGGCTGTCATCCCAAAGTTACCACCTGAGACGGCCCTGCCTTGTAAATAGAGGGCAGGTGCAGATGGAGCTGGCAGCGTTCTAGTGGCCACATTTTAAAAATAGGTGAAACGGGCCAGGCACAGTGGCTCACGCCTATAATCCCAGCACTTTGGGAGTCTGAGATGGGTGGATCACCTGAGGTCAGGAGTTCGAGACCAGCCTGACCAACATGGTAAAACCCAGTCTCTAGTAAAATACAAAAATTAGCCAGGTGTGGTGGCAGGCGCCTGTAATCTCAGCTACTGGGGAGGCTGAGGCAGTAGAATCACCTGAACCCAGGAGGCAGAGGTTGCAGTGAGCCCAGATCATGCTACTGCACTCCAGCCTGGGTGAGAGTGAGACTCCCTCTCAAAAAATGAAAAATAAAAACAGGTGAAATGAATTCTAATCTATTTTGTTTAATAAAAAATAATTAAAAGATTATTTCAACATGTAATTGATGACAATGACTGTTACTTATTTTACAGTCCCTTTTCCTCACTGAGCCTTTGAAACCCAGTGTCTATTTTACATTTACAGTGAATCCCGTTTCAGACCATCCACATTTCGGTGCTCACTAGCATTATGTGGGCAGTGAACAGCACAGATCTAGAACTTTTATATCTCCTTTTCTTTTATTTTTTCTTTCTTTTTTTTTTCTTTTGAGATGCAGTTTTGCTCTTGTCACCCAGGCTGGAGTGCAATGGTGCAATCTCGGCTCACCGCAACCTCCGCCTCCCGGGTTCAAGCGAGTCTCCTGCCTCAGCCTCCCGAGTAGCTGGGATTACAGGCACGCGCCACCACAGCCAGCTAATTTTTTTTGTATTTTTAGTAGAGATGGGGTTTCACCATGTTGGTCAGGCTGGTCTCAAATTCCTGACCTCAGGTGATCTGCCCACCTCAGCCTCCCAAAGTTCTAGGATTACAGGCGTGAGCCACTGCGCCCGGAGTTCTTTTATTTTTTCTTTACTTTTCCCTTTTTTTCCCTTCCTTCCTTCTTCCCTCCTTCCCTTCTTTCTCCTTTTTTAGAAAATCAGATCATTCTTTAGAAATTGAGACAGATGTCTACCTGCCAACGACATTCACCCAGGCAGATGATGCTGGGAAACCTTATTTTCCAGAATTCTCTGCTTTCCTGTCGCTGCTCCCTCCTGGCACTTTTTGGGCTTCTGGCAGGCCACTGGTTAGCAGGGCACAAAGATCTCCCCTAGCACATTCAGCTTCCCACGGGCTCATCTGTCTCCATGGAATGGTGAGGGCAGGCTCACATGGGGCCTTCCTTCTTTTCCAGCAGTGGCTTCAGTATTTGCCAAGACTCCCCATGTCTTTTTCGTGCCTGGAGTTTCACTTTGCATGGGTGGCTGGTAGCCAGAAGGCCCTTCTACCTTGGAGAGTCCCTGCATCCATCTCTGGGCTTGAGGACAACTTTGAGCCCCAAAATCGGGCTCTCATAGAAGTAATTCCATTGTCACATGTCCTGCAGCAATCCTGGAACACCACTCTGGGAAATAAGCTCCTGGAAAAAAAATTGGGGAGGAATTTTGAGGAGGTGTGTAGTCCAGAAAGATTTGGAATGAAGTAATCTTTTAGGCATAAATTTACCAGAAGCCAGTATTTCTTTATTTGCATTTCCTTTCATTATCAAGCAAAGTAACACACACACACGCGCGCGCGCACACACACGCGCACACACGCACAGGCACGCACGCATGTACACATGCACGCACACGGACACATGCACACACACGCACACGCATATGGACACAACGCAGACATGCATGCACACACGTGCACGCACGCACACACACACTTGCACACACACACACGCACCCTGCTTGCAGTTATGCAATGGTTTGTGCAGTTGCTGTGAGCCCAGAAGCGCTTGTCTGAGTGTGCATATCCCTGGCTTCCTGCACTGAGGGCAACAGGAGGCAGTGGGAATTTCTCAAATGTTCACAAGAATGTCGAGAGGGCGTTCTGAGTAATCAAAACTCCTTGAACTTGTGGGAAAATGCAGTCCCAATTTCCTTTTCGAGACAATGGTCTTTGAAAGCTGTATGCCACGAGAGTTTTCGTTTGTTTATGGTTAGAGAATATGGTAAAATGCACGTCTGTGGAAGGCCCCAGGAGTGAGAAATCCTGCCACATGGATGGTGCGGCCCTAAGTGCAGGGCAAACTTGTATTCTCCAGCTGGCACTAATGCCTGCTGCATCGCTGACCCACTCAGCTTCAGTGTTTTGGCCATTAGTGTGATCAGCCTAACAAAACTCTTATGTCATTCTCGTTACCCTTTTCTCTCTTAGGAAGCCAACTCTCAGGGTCTTCCTCCGCTTCTGTTCTCTCATGCCCCTTGGTGGAGGCTCCCAGATGGACGCTCAGACACGGAAGGTCCAGGGAGATGCGTGGATCTGCCGCCATGTGGGTGGACCAAGCTGTTGCCTCCATTGGAAGCCTCTGTCCGGTGCCACATCCTCCCTGGGTTCCAGTCCCCACCTGCCAGGTTGACAATTAGGCAATTTGATTTACTAAGGAGAAGACAAAGAAAGAAAAGGAGAAATATTTCAAGAAAAAAAAGACTGTGAAAAAGAAAAAGTGAAAAAATAGGGAATATAGAAAAAAAAACCGCAATCAGGAGAGAGAAATAAAGAATTCCAGGATGATGAGTCTGGATGGAGAAAGCCTCCGTTTCCCCACTCCAGAAGTCTGAGCTGAGTGAACTCCTTAGCATTAAGGGAGGTGTCTCTATGGAGGACTGAATATGTCTTGCGAGAGGTGGGGCAGGTGGGATGGGGGGTGGGGTGGAGTGCTATCCCAGTTAAGCCTTTAGGTACTAGGTACCCAGGAGGTCTCATTAATTCTGGAATCATTTTGATATATTAGATACGCTCAAGGATGAGCTGTGTGCTGTTTCTCTTGCTGTACTATGTGGTCCAGATTCCAGACTCCAGAGCCCTTAGGCAAGCCCAGAACTGTCCCCACAATCTCTGGGTGGCAGCTGCCCCAATCATGGCTGTCCAACCTACAGGAGCAACTAAACATGGGATTCCCAGGCAGGGAGGAGATGCTGTAGGGTGGCGGAACCTGCAGCATGGATAGCCACCTACTCTGTCCTCTCTGTCAGGACAGCCTGACCGAGGCCCACAAGTGGCTGCTCACTCCTCCCGGCCTGACTGCACCAGTCTAGACTGGGCTCTTAGCATCTGTCACCTGGCCTTTGTTGTTTTAAGGAGCACAATAATAATAACAATAATTTAAAAAAAAAAAAACTCTTTTGGCTGGGTGTGGTGGCTCACACCTGTTATCCTAGCACTTTGGGAGGCCGAGGTGGGCAGATCACTTGAGGCCAGGAGTTTGAGACCATCCTGGCCAACATGGTGAAACCCTGTCTCTACTAAAAATACAAAAATTAGCTGGGTGTGGAGACAGATGCCTAAAATCCCAGCTACAGATTCTGTCTCCAGAAAAAAAAAAAAAAAAAAAGCCAGGTATGATGGCGCACCACCATAGTCCTAGCTACTCAGAAGGCTGAGGCACAAGAGTCGTTTGAACTCTGGAGGCAGAGGTTGCAATGAGCCAAGATCGCACCACTGCACTCCAGCCTGGATGACAGAGCAAGACTCTGTCTCAAAAAATAAATGAATAAAGATTAAAAAGAAATAAAAAACTATTTTGAGCCAGGCATAGTGGCTCATGCCTGTAATCCCAGCACTTTGGGAGGCTGAGGTGGGAGGATCACTTGAAGCCAAGAGTTCGAGACCATCCTGGGCAACATAGTGAGACTCTGTCTCAATAAATAAAAAAATAAATAAATAAATGAAACTCCTTTGAGGATCTCAACCAACATGAGCTGTTTGTAATTCCAGAAATAGCCCGGACACTGAGTGGCCCTACCCCCTCAAAGGATTCCAGGACAGCTCCCACCTTCTTAGAGGGATGTGGAGGGAGAGCCGGCCCTGGGCATGTGACTTCTGTGCCCTCAGCCGCTGTTGGCTCACTCTGAGGAGGTCCAGCCTCCCTCCCATGGGTCACACAAGCATCTCTCCTCTTCCCCGAGGAGCAAGAACACAGGGAACGTCTACATCGAAAGGAGGAGCTTTAGGGTTTTGTGCCAGCTTCACTTCATTTCTTCTGCTGTTGGTTCATTCATCTAACAGAATTTATTGAAGTCCTAAGGGGTGGGGACACAGAACTGAACTCTCCTGGTCCTGGCCCTGAGGGGCCCCTGCCTGGACGGCTTGAACCCGGGAGGGCCAGGCCCACCTCCCGTGGGGCCCGTTTTCCCCTCTGGGAGGTGGGCAGCCTCACTCAGAAAAGTGCTTGTAGAGCAGTTTCACCCCTTTGTGAATGAGCTTCGGCAAGCACAGGGGTGAGTCACGGCCTTGGTGACACAGAACACATGACTTCGAATTGCCCAGAAGTATGACTGGTGCCCTGGCCTGTGCTTCCCCACCCTGAGGGGGAGGCCACTGTCAGCTCAGAACAAGGGATCCAAAGATGACCTTTCTTGTTTTCCAAAGACCTGCTGTCAGCTGAGGCCTTTCAAGGCCCTGTATATCCATGGTGAATTCCTGGAAGGCAGCTTGAAGTAACCACTGAATGGGTTTGGTTTCTTTTTTTTTTTAATTATCTAAGCAAAGCACCTTTCTCCAAAAAGAGCAAATTCACTTGTGGGTCACTTCCTGTGGGAAGATGGAAAATGTTCTTACTTGGGAGTAGATGGGGAGAGCAGGCCCAGCTCCAATAGCTTGCTGGTGCCACTGAGATTCTTGAGCCTGGAGGATCCTGGCTGACTTGCTCCAGACCTGGCGGAGGGTCTGTCTCAGTCACGGTTCTCCCCAGCGATGACCGAGAACTGGTCCCAGTTCCTGACATGCTGTGGGTCCAGTGTGACCCACAATCTGCCTGGCCCATCCCCTCGGCGGGCGCACCTCTCCTAGTGTAGGATGAAGCATAAATGGCAGAAACCAGCAGGCGCCGCTTCTGTGTCCACCGAGTCAGCTGGGATCCATGCAGCTGGTGGCTTGTCGGTGGCAGGCCAAGGCCTGAGTCATGTCCCCGTCACAGCCTTCAGTGGAGGGCTGACCCACAGAGGAAATTACACAGCACTCTGTGGCCCATGATGGAGTCAGGGGCTTTTCCAAGGGCATCAACTGGGAAGGCAGAAAGAAGTCATCACCCACGCTGGAGTCTAAGGCTTGGGGACCCCCACTTACTCCAGGGGAGAAGGCCTGGTGACCTCGGGGACAGCGAGGCCTGTGCAAACCTCTTCCACAGCCCTCCACTGGCCAGCAGGGTGCCCACAGTCCCGACCCCTCTGTGACAGCGCTGCATGCTCACCGAGCCAGCCTTGCCCCACATGGTTCCTTGGGCTGCAGCCAGAAGTCCATCCGCAGCCTTTTACCCAGATCCACACCAGCCCCAACCCTCAGTCAGAAAACACAGCACCTCCAATGGAGCCAGAGGCCACCCCTCTCAGATAGCTGTGTGACTCTGGCAACTAAATTCAACTCTGTGGGCATCAGTCTCTTCATCTGTAAAATGGGTCTTGAACACGGGGCTTCAGTCTCTTCATCTATAAAATGGGTCTTGAACACCTACCTGACCAACTTGTGGTGAAGATGAAATGAAACTATGCAAAGGCCTGGCATAGAGCCGGCACACAGTGGGTTCTCTGTACATGGTCCTCGCTCTCAGCCTGCTCTGTTGCAAAATCCAGGTTGGCACTACCCCCCAGGGCTCAGCCCTCAGCGTTATCCCTTTCCTTCCCCATACCCAGTCTCCCAACCCTTCGTGCAAGTGTGTGGTGGAGGAGACCGAAGCTCCACATCCAAATGGAGGGGTTGACTCCTCTGTAGTGAGGGGTCAGCCTAGCTTGAGTCACTGGGAGACTGTCTTCCAGCCTCCCCTTGCCCACCCCAGACCTGACATCCCAGGGCCACCCTGCAGGGAGCCTGAGGTGGAGGGGCCTGGCTACCTGTCTGCAAATGTGGAGCCGGGGGAGGTTGGTTGGCAGAAAGGAGGGAGAAGTGACGAGGCGCCCCAGGCCCTGTGCCTGGAGTCAGAAGGGCCAGCTCTGGGAGAACCTTCACCCTCGTGGAGACTTTGCCTCAGAATGTTTGCCTGGAACCCAGCCCACCAGGGCTGACACCTGAGGCTGAGGCTGCCCTGTCATGCCCCTTCCACACCAGGGGCTCTGTGCTGGGATTGCTGTGGCCAGTTACGGGGAGGCCTGCAAGTTTGGGCAGCCGAGGTCATGCCTCTCAAAGAGGAGCCGGATGAATATATCAAGTAAATGTGCATTTCAGCTTGTGGTAGGGCCAGACACAGCTGTGTGTGTGTGTGTGTGTGTGTGTGTGTGTGTGTGTGTGTGTAAGGGGAGCAACATTCACTGTGCACCTACCATGTGGCAAGCTAGTGCTAGGCCCTGTACTTGTACTATTTCATTTAATGAGTTTAATTTGCATGGCTGCTTCTGTGGCATTCCAGAGTGGCTTTTCACACTTTCTTTGGCTGGGGTGGGGGTGGGGAGAACTGTATTTCTATTTTTATCTTCCCATGGTGGGGTGCTCTGCTCATGGGGCCCCTTATCTCCCCCGGCACTTTCCCCTACATCCGGCTGCAACTAGAAGCTTTCGGTATGCAAAGGGAACTTGCAGCTTCACAACAGCCCCCTCACCCGCCTCCTCCCAGCCCTGCATGGGGGTCAGGCCACCTCTTCCCCAGGAGGACCCTTCTTCTCTTCTGGGCTGGATGGAGGCAGGATCTGTGCTTCTCCCTCAAACCTGGGAACCAACTGGGAGGGACATCTTCTCCTTTCACCCTCTTGCCCCAGCAGCTCAGGGGTTCATTTGGATGAATGGGCCCTGCCTGTAGCAGCCTGGCATGGGGGCAAACCAGGACTCCACATGGCTGAGGAGCTCCCCGGGCCCCTGCACTCCATTGGGTTGACTTATTTTAACCCATTGCACTCCCAGCTGAGCTTTAGAGGGCAAGGTTTGGGGTTAGTGGGTAGCCTTGGGGTTGGAGGTGCAGTCCCGCATAGTGACTTGACATCTAGGAAGAGCTCATTGTTCTGAATGTGATCTTTACAACCACCCTGAGGCTGGTCCCTAAAGCTATGCTCTGGAAATGAGTCCAAGTGTCCCCAGTCTGTTTTCCTCATTCCTCTGCTTACAAACAAAGGTGCACTTTTACTTGGTAGGTACAGTTGTGGGTAGTTTATTTGATTTTGCAAAAGCAAAACTCTTTGTAATATTTTATGATGTTGGGATGCGAAGTGCGTTTATTCTCATTTCTTTTTCTTTTGTTTCTCCCCTCACCCCAGAGAGGTGAATAGTCTCATTTTTAAGCAATGTGCAGATACTGGTGCCTTTCTTCAGCTGGAACTGTGTACAAAAGTGGCCCGGAGAAGGATCAATGACAGGCAGCTTAAATTTCTAAGGGGTGTCAGGGTGGAACGTGTGATTCAGAGCTTGCACCCACTCCAGGGGCTTTCCTGGACAGAGGGGCTGGGCTGCCCAGGCCTCCTGGGTGACCGCGGGGGCAGGAGAGCAAATGCCTGGGGACGCCCTCCCAGACTCTGCCAGAAAGAAGCCCGCAAACCCAGCGAGGGGCAGGGCGGCTGGGGTGAGATTTTTTAACTCTTGAGATATCGGAATACAGCTATTTTTCATACGGTTATCTCTAAATTGCAAAGACAAAAGAAAACCACTTAAACATCAGCTAGCTGTGCCAGACATTTGTCCCTCTGGCCACGTCTTGGGGACAGCGGCGCTGCGGCTCTGGCCCGTGGGATCCTGGTTGGGCTCAGCCCCGGGGAAAACGCTGCAGAGATGGGCGGCGGAGGGTGAGCCGAGGTCCGGGTTTATTTCCTGGACTCCCTGTGGGCTCTTCACTGGCGTTGCGGGGTCACCTGAGGGCTGCACTGCGCTCGCGCTGCTGCTCCTCTTTCCTTCTCTCACTGGGTCGCTTCTGGGTTCAGGCAGGGTCCGGGCAGCTGTCGCGCGCCC